>NC_000024.10:15331410-15940958 GCF_000001405.40 Homo sapiens
TATGAGAAGATGGATGTTCATTCTTTTCTGAGATTTGCTGTTTTTCTCTTGCATTTAGTGAAATTATTTCTTCACTTCTCTGCATTTGATAGAGTGCAGAAGGGCCCCATGCCTCTACTTTGTGTTTTCCCAGAGACCATGGTGCCCCAAGAATGGCTCAGCTCTGGCTTAATTCTGCAAAACAGTATAGGGACTCATATGCATGCAATCTGTGTCTAGGTCTCTGTGAGTCAGTGAACTTGAGATCAACACAGCAATGCCTCAAGTTCCCCAAGAATAACAAGCTGCTCTCCATCAGAGGCAGAGAGACTCTGCCGCCAACTGTAATCCCTGGAAACTAGTCTGGAGGAACACAGGCAGCTATGGGTCTGTGAAGAAGACAGAACACTTACTGTGCTGTGACCTGGCCAAAGCACAGCTCCACCTCCTATCAAAGCTGATGATGCACCCAAGGGAAGGGAAGAGCTTGAAAGTGGAAAAGACAGCCTCTCTATCAGCATCTCTGCAGCTGTAGTGGCAGGAGACAGAGACAGGGATCATGAGAATAGGGGTCAGATTTGGTTTTGTGCAATAACACAGAAGGGGAGTGCCTTCTGCATTTGCAGGGAAGTTACAGGAAAAGAAAAATAAGGTGATATGGTTCAGCTGTGTCCCTACCCAAATCTTATCTTGAATTGTAGCTCCCACAATTCCCACATGTTGTGGAAAGGAGCTGGTGGGAGGTAACCGATTCATAGGGGTGGGTCTGTCCCATGCTGTTCTCATGATAGTGAATAAGTCTCATGAGATGTGATGGTTTAATAAGGGAGAGATTCCCTGCATAAGCCCTCTTTTTGCCTGCTGCTATCCATGTAACACGTGACTTGTTCCTCCTTGCCTTCCACCATAATGGGAGGCCTCCCCAGTCATGTGGAAGTTTTGAGTCCATTACACCTCACTGTGAGTCCATTAAACCTCTTTCCTGTATACATTACCCAGTCTCAGGTAAGTCTTTATTAGAAGCATGAAAACAGACTAATGTAGAAGGCCATGCTATACCTGGGAATATAGGTTTTCTTTGCCAATAGTTTTTAGGAACTGAAAATAAAGAGCAAGAAATAACTATTAAATTCAAGTTAAATAAGAAATGACATCGGTTATTATTAAAACTAAATGCCAGTGTGTGCTCCTAAATCACTTGGTATTCTGATATTTTTCAGTGATAAAATGGCACATACATGAAAGGTTCAATAAAAGTTTATGGAGGGGAATTGAGTCTCTTGGTATGAATCTATTTCTTTACCTACAGAATCAGTGACTGGATTCTGTGTCTGTTGGCTTCTGCTTCTGTATATCATGCATTGATAGCCTCTGATTTGGGTGTGGGGACAGGGGAGGAGTCTATGTTTTCAGGCTGGAAATGAAACTTTGAAATCCACACAGAAGCTACTACCTACAGCCTCAATTCAGGAAGGGAAGAAATGTACAAATGAGGACAAGGGAGGTTTTCAGAAGAGAGGACCTAAGAAGTGGATGGATAAATGAGGTTGCTGGCTGCAGATGGCATGTGAGGAGAGAGAATCCTCGTGCAATGAGAAGCTTCAAGATTGGCTGAGGTTCTCCAGGGTGCCTTGAGTGACAGGAGCAGGCTGAAGGAGAATGTGGGAAAATGGTGAGTGTTCGCTGTGTTTTCAGAGGTGCTCATGACTTCCACATAGTGCCGATTCATGAGCCTGGGGCTCAGACAAGCAGCAGGGTCCCCAAGAGTAGATTTAAGATGGGAGAACCTCTACTGAGACTCCTAGTAAGTGTGACCTGGCAGAACTTTTACATAAGATTTTCCCAAGGCTCCTTTCCAGACCACTGGGCCCAGGACTCTACAGGTGTCCAGAAACCAAGATTTGAGTCAGGCATAGTGATTAGAAGTAGCAGATAAGATCACCAAGGAGGATGGGAAAGAGTGAGATGAACATCAAGAACAACACCTGCACACACACAGATGCTGACATTTGGGGACTGATGAACCAAGTTCCTGGGTGAAAGGAAGTGCAGAGAGAAACAATGGGAGCAGTGGATGAGGGCGGATGGGCATGGTGCAGCCAGCACAGGGAGACATTGCAGAGAAGCATGAGAAATGGATGTCTGTGGTCTCAGCAGTCAGGAGTGGCAGATGCCAGGAGGAAATGCCCCCCAAGGTGAGGTGACAAGGTGAAGATACAGTCAGAAACAGGGATTGTGGCATCTGGCAGCTAATGTGGGAACAAGACTGAGGGAGGCCAAGGTTGTCTGGGAGAGCAAGATGCCCCAAGGCTAGTGTTCTGGACATGGACATAAGGCAGAACCTGAGTACCAGGGGCTGGGCACCTCAGGGTCATTTAGAAATAAGGATGTCATGTGTGCTCAGCAGGCAGAGAGCCTCTCATTGGTGCTGGGTGCTGGGCATTCAGAGGAAGGGCAGGGGAGCGACAGTGGGGAGTTGGGAAGAGGCAGATGGGGCCCCCATGGACTGCAGAACATATCACAGTGGCATGAGGGTTATTAGAGCTGGCACAAAGGTTATTAGCGCTGAAGAGAGTGAGCATCAAGTACAGGAAGAGGAGGCTTCTGCACTTCCTTCTTTTCCTAAGGAAAGCCTTCCAGAAGAATTCAGCCCTCCACCCTCATACATTCAATGTTCAGGAGTTTCACAACCAGGAAAGCATGAGTCTTATCACCAAAGATAAGAAGTCAGCACCTGTGGCACCTGGCTGAGAAATTTTCCCAAAACATGTTGTCATAAAATTATCTTATCCTTCGTCTCCTAAGGGCCCACTTGTTTTTCCTAAAAGTCATTTATTCTTCTACTCATCCTTCTGCTCCTTTCCCATCCATGTTAAGATAACATACAATTCCCAAATTCTAATTGACTCCTTGAGTCACAATTTTCTCTGAACTCCTTGGATGTATGTAAATATAAATCTACCTTTACTCTTGATAGTGTGTCTTTTGTTAGTTTGATTTACAAGACCCCAATCACTGCACTTAAGAGGGTAGAGGAAATACTATTCCTCTGATAGTGGAATTTGATTAAAGCAATCAACCTCATGCCAGGAAACTCAGTAGGGACACCAAGCCCAAAGGCAAGTTCAATGAGAGAAAAGAAGTGTAAGGGGAGTATCTGTGAAGGCCATTATTATCATTATGGTTTTTCAAGTAATAAAATAAGGGAGAAAGGGCAATAAAATAATACCAAGGACAAGTGTCCAGAAGCAAGTGTATTTTGCTCAGTGATTGTGGGCGACAGGAGGAAGTGGCCTAGAGGCTGGAGCAATGATGCCCACAGAGGATGGTAAACAATGAAACAATGACAGGTGACTGTCCTCATCCCCTATAGCAGCTCCAGTGGGGCTGCGCCCTTAACTCAGTGTTTCAGGGTAAGAGGCTGATTCAAGGAACAGTTAGTTGATCTCCCAAAAACCAGAGGCATAGGCAGGCTCAGCTGGTTACAAAATATTAACCTTTTTTTTTTTTTTTTTTTTTTTTTTTTTTTTTCTTGAGAAGGAGTCTTGTTCTGTTGCCCAGGCTGGAGTGTAGTTGTGCCATCTGGGCTCACTGAAAACTCTGTCTCTCGGGTTCAAGCGATTCTCTTGCCTCAACCTCCTGAGTAGGTGGAATTACAGGTGTGCACAACCAGGCCCGGATAATTTTTTTATTTTTAGTAGAGATGAGGTTTCACGAGGTTGGCCAAGCTGGTTTCAAACTCCTGACATCAAGTGATCCACTGTAATCCCAAAGTTTGGGATTACAGGCATGAGCCACCTTGCCCAGCCTAAATATTAACTTTAAAATGGACATAAGTAATATACAGCTATTTGTTCTCCATTATCGTTGGAGGAAAAGAAGTTCCAGTTACGAAGGTCAACTCAAACTGATAGGCTGCCTGCTCCTGTATGCCTTCATTTGGGACATATGAAATGTATGATAAGGATAAGTCAAGATTAAACTTTGGGTGAGTTTCACATGAAGTTACAGGTATTAGATATATATATCTACACACATGCATATATATATTTTAACTAGCTACATCTTTTTTTTCACTTTTTTTTAATCTAGGAAAGAGTCATAGAGATGCAAAATGTTCTTCACATTTGGTACAAGTTTATATGAAAATATGCCCAGTGACCATTTTCTTATATTAATTTCACTTTCTCCTAAGCCTCCTCTAAATTTTTTCATTACTCATGTTTTCTAATTGAACTATAAGTTCCTTGAAGGAAATCACATTGGAATCATGCCTGACACTTCCTTCTCCCTTACCACCTATTTCTAACCTGCCACACAATACTCCACTGAGTTATAAAACAAACATGGCCAATATGTCCTTCTGAGAACTTCCAGTGAGCTCAAATGCCTACTGCACCATGTGTAAACTTTTCTAATTTGTTTCCAAAGTCCTCAGGATTGATTCTGTGTTGGCTGCTCCCCTGTTGGCTAATCCCGCTCTCTGTTCCTTCTCTGTAAAAACCTTGAGCATTTATCTCAGGGCCTGTGCCATCCCCAGATCCCCTATGATGTTCTAATTTGTGTCTGAGTGAACTTTCGTTCTTTCTCTCTCACACTGTGTAGAGCTGCCTCCCCCAACATCGCAATGTAAAGATGGTTCAGCTTACATCAGAGTTGAAAGAATTTCACAGAATACTCATATCCCCACACAACCACCCAGACTACTCCCTTTTATTTTTCTTTTGAGACAGTGTCTCGCTCTGTCACTCATGCTGGAGAGCAGCGACATGATCTCGGCTCACTGCAACTTCTGCCTCCCAGACTGGTGATTCTCCCACCTTAAGGTGCATGTCTCCCACCTTCTGAGTAGCTGAGACTACAGGCATGCACCATGATGCCTGCAATATTTGTTATTATTGTAGAGACATGGTTTTGCTGTGTTGCCCAAGCTGGTCTTAACTCCTGAACTCAAGTGATCCTCCCACCCTGGCCTCTCAAAATGTTGAGATTACAGGCATGAACCACCACCTGTAAGACTGTACTCTTAACAAGGTGATAGCATAATAGTTTGGGGTGTGAGTCAAAATGTCTAAAGGTTCATGAAATGAGTCCAGTCTACCTATTTATGTGGACTTAGACCTCCTTTATTAAGAAATATGCAGGTTTTCAGGGAAAAAATATAATCTACCACATCCCTTATTTATGAATGGTGAATATTACCTCACAACTTCAATCCTGGTATTCCAAAAAAAAAGAAAAAAGAAAAAAGATACCAAATATACACAAAACTTAAGCTGGTGAAATTAGTCTACTCTACCTATTTGTGAACTTTAACATAACTCGCTTGAAAGCTGAACAGAAAAACAAAAAAAAATAATAATTTTTTAAAACCCTGAAATTCAGCTCCTAAAACAAGATTAACATAACAGAAAAATGAAAACACGCAAAGTAGTGATGGCTAGGCTTTAAAAAATTTATTTCTGATTTATGGTTTTACTTGTAATAAATATCAACCATACAAGTGATACATAAGCAATGCCATAATTTTTGTTTTGCAACAAAGATGGCATTTTTATGCCTTGGAACAGAGAACCCTAGGGTGCCTTCCAGCTTGGTCTCTCAAGTCCCCACCAGCCAAGGAGTGGCTCACACTCACAAGTCTCAGGGCCTGGCATTAGGCCCAAGGAGGCTCTCTACCCACAGGTCTCTGGGCTTCAGAGGATGTGCTGGCAGAGGCAGCACCCTCAGGCAGGTGCTTTCACTCAGTGAGTGCTCGTTAGATTGAAGGTGGATCCTGGGGGACTTCTGACAATGGTCTTATAATTGCTTTAATTAATTTATTTATTTTTAATTTATTGTACGTTGCATTCTCAGATGCATGTGCAGAACGTACAGGTTTGTTATATAAGTATACATGTGCCACGGTGGTTTGCTGCACCCATCAACCATGATCTACATTAAGTATTTCTCCTAATGCTATCCTTCCCCTAGCCCCCAACCCTTGACAGAACCCAGTGTGTGATGTTCCCCTCCCTGTGCCCAGGTGTTCTCATTGTTCAGCTCCCACTTATGAGTGAGAACATACAGTGTTTGGTCTTCTGCTCTCGTATTAGTTTGCTGAGAATGATGGTTTCCAGCTTCATGATGTCCCTGCAAGGGACATGAAGGACATGAACTCATTCTTTTTTCATGGCTGTATAGTATTCCATGGTATATATGTTCCACATTTTCTTAATCCAGTCTATCATTGATGGACATTTGGGTTGGTTCAAGTCTTTGCTATTGTGAACAGTGCCACAATAAACATATGTGTGCATGTCTGTTTATAGTAGAATGATTTATAATCCTTTGGGTATGTACCCAGTAATGGGATTGCTGGGTGAAATGGTATTTCCAGTTCTAGATCCTTAAGGAATTGCCACACTGTCTTCCACAATAGTTGAACTAATTTACACTCCCACCAGCAGTGTAAAAGTATTCCTGTTTCTTCACATTCTCTACAGCATCTGTTGTTTCCTTGCTTTTTAATGATCACCATTCTAACTGGCATGAGATGGTATCTTATTGTGGTTTTGATTTGCATTTCTATAATGACCAGTAATGATGAGCTTTTTTTTCAATGTTTGTTGGCCACATAAATGTCTTCTTTGAGAAGTGTCTGTTCATATCCTTTGCCCACTTTTTGATGCGGTTGTTTGATTTTAATCCTGTAAACTTGTTTAAATTATCTGTAGATTCTGAATATTAGAACTTTGTCAGATGGATAGATTGCAAAAATTATTTCCCATTTTGTAGGTTGCCTTACAACTCTGATGGGAGTTTCTTTTGCTGTGCAGAAGCCTTTTAGTTTAATTACATCCCAACTGTCAATTTTGCATTTTCGTGCCAGTGCTTTTGGTGTTTTAGTCATGAGGTCTTTGCCCATGCCTATGTCCTGAATGGTACTGCCTAGGTTTTTTTCTAAAGTTTCATGGGTTAAGGTCTTACATTTAAGTCTTTAATCCATCTTGAGTTAATTTTTGTATAAGGTGTAAGAAAGGGGTGCAGTTTCGGTTTTCTGCATAGAGCTAGCCGATTTTCCTAACACCATTTATTAAATAGGGAATCCTTTCCCCATTGTTGTTTTCATCAGGTTTGTCAAAGATCAGATGATTGTAGATGTGTGGTGTTATTTCTGAGGCATCTGTTCTGTTCCATTGGCCTATATATCTATTTTGGTACCAGTACCATGCTGTTTTGGTTAATGTAGACTAGTATTGTGATTTAAAGTCAGGTAGCATGATCCCCGCAGCTTTGTTCTTTTTGCTTAGGATTGCCTTGTCTATACCAGCTCTTTTTTGGTTCCCTGTGAAATTTAAAGTAGTTTTCTTTCTAAATCTGTGAAGAAAGTCAACAGTAGCCTGATGGGTATAGCATTGAATCCACAAATTACTTTGGGCAGCATGGCCATTTTCATGACATTGATACTTCCTATCCATGAGCATGGAATGTTTTTCCATTATGTGGTCTTCTTTTATTTCATTGAGCAGTGGTTTGTAGTTCTCCTTGAAGAGGTCCTTCACATCTCTTGCAGGTTGTTCTCCTAGGTATTTTATTCTCTTTGTTGCAACTGTGAATAGGCATTCACTCATGATTTGGCTCTCTCTTTGTCTATTACTGGTGTATAGGAATGATTGTGATTTTTGCACATTGATTTTGTATCCTGAGGCTTGGCTGAAGTTGCTTATCAGCTTAAGATTTGTTGGTGAGACAATGGGGTTTTCTAAATATACAATCATGTCATTGGCAAACAAAGACAATTTGACTTTCTCTGTCTGTATTTGACTACATTTCATTTCTTTCTCTTGCCTGATTGCCCTGGCCAGAACTTCCAATACTGTGTGGAATAGGAGTGGTGAGAGTGGGCATCCTTATCTTGTGCTAGTTTTCAAAGGGAATGCTTCCAGTTTTTGCCCATTCAGTATTGCATTGGCTGTGGGTTTGTTATAAATAGCGCTTATTATTTTGAGATGTATTCCATCAATGCCTAGTTTATTGAGATGTTTTAGCATGCATAGGTGTTGAATTTTATCGAAGGCCTTTTCTACATCTATTGAGATAATCATGTGGTTTTTGTCATTTATTCTGTTTATGTGATGGATTATGTTTATTGATTTGCATAGGTTGAACCAGCCTTGCATCTCAGGGATGAAGCCAACTTGATCCTGGTGGATAAGCTTTTTAACATGCTTCTGGATTTGGTTTGCCAGGATTTTATTGAGGATTTTCCCATCGGTGTTCATCAGGCAAATCGGGCTGAAATTTTATTTTTTTGTTGTGTCTCTGCCAGGTTTTCATATCAGGATAATGTTGGACTTATAAAATGAGTTAGGGAGGAGTCCCTCTTTTTCTATTCCTTGGAGTAGTTTCAGAAGAAATGGTACCAACTCTTCTTTGTAACTCTGGTAGGACTTGGCTTTGAATTTGTCCAGTCCTGGACTTTTTTGGTTGGTAGTGTATTAGTTACTGCCTCAATTTTAGAACTTGTTACTGGTATATTCAGGCATTCAACTTCTTCCTGGTTTAGTCTTCAGAGGGTGTATGTGTCCAGGAATTTATCCGTTTCTTCTAGATTTTGAAGTTTATTTGCATAGAAGTGTTTGTAGTATTCTCTGCTGGTAGTTTTTATTTCTGTGGTAATATTGGTGATATCCCCTTTATCATTTTTATTGCATTTATTTGATTCTTCTCTCTTTTCTTCTTTATTAGTCTGGCTAGTGATATATCTATTTTGTTGACCTTTTCAAAAATCTAGCTCCTGGATTCACTGATTTTCTTGAAAGGTTTTTCATTTCTCTGTCTCCTTCAGTTCTGCTCTGATCTTAGTTATTTCTTATCTTCTGCTAGCTTTTGGGTTTGTTTGCTGTTGCTTCTGTAGTTCTTTTAATTATGATGCTAGTGTGTCGATTTTGGATCATTCTTGCTTTCTCTTGCAGGCACCTAGTGCTATAAATTACCCCCTACACACTGCTTTCAATGTGTCCCAGAGATTCTGGTTAGGTTGTGTCTTTGTTCTCATTCGTTTCAAATAACTTCTTTATTTCTGCCTTAATGTCATTATTTACTCAGTAGTCACACAGTAGCAGGCTGTTCAGTTTCCTGTAGTTGTGCAGTTTTGAGTGAGTTTCTTCATCCTCGGTTCTAATTTGATTGCTCTGTGGTCTGATAGACTGTTGGTTATGATTTCCGATCTTTTGCATTTGCTGAAGAGTGTTTTACTTCCAGTTATGTGTTGAATTTTAGAATCAGTTTGATGTGGTGCTGAGAATAATGTATATTCTGTTGATTTGGTGTGGGGAGTTCTGTAGATATCTATTAGGTCCACTTGGTCCAGAGCTCAAGTCGTGGATATCTTTGTTAACTTTCTGTCTCGTTGATCTAATATTGACAGTGGGGTGTAAAAGTCTCCCACCATTAGTGCGTGGAGTCTAAATGTCTTTGTAGGTCTCTAAGAACTTGCTTTATGAGTCTGGGTGCTCCTGTATTTAGTGTTTATATATTTAGGATAGTTAGCTCTTCTTGTTGCATTGATCCCTTTACAATTAAGTAATGACCTTCTTTGTCTCTTGCTCTTTGTTGGTTTAAAGTCTGTTTTATCAGAGACTAAAATTGCACCCCCTGCTTTTTTTCTGCTTTCCACTTCCTTGGTAAATCTTCCTCCATCCCTTTATTTTGAGCCTGTGTGTGTCTTTGTACGTGAGATGTGTCTCCTGAATACAGCCCACCAATGGGTCTTGAATCTTTATCTATTTACCAGTCTGTGTCTTTTAATTAGGGCATTTAGCCCATTTACATTTAAGGTTAATATTGTTATATGTGAATTTGATCCTGTCATTATGATGCTAGCTTGTTGTTTTGCCCATTAGTTGATGCAGTTTCTTCACAGTGTTGACAGACTCTACAATGTGGTATGCTTTTGTAGTGGCTGATACTGGTTTGTCTTTTACATGTTTAGTGCTTCATTCAGGAGATCTTATAAGGCAGGCCTGGGGGTGACAAAAATCTCTCAGCATTTGCTTGTCTGTAAAGAATTTCATTTCTCCTTCACTTATGAAGCGTAGTTTGGCTGGGTATGAAATTCTGGGTTGAAAATTCTTTTCTTTAAATGTTGAATATTGGCCCCTACTCTCTTCTGGCTTGTAAGGTTTCTGCAGAGAGAACCACTGTTAGTCTGATGGACTCTTTTTTGTGGGTAACCTGACCTTTCTCTCTGGCTGCACTTAAATTTTTTTCCTTCATTTCAAACTTGGTCAATCTGATGATTATATGTTTTGGGATTGCTCTTCTTAAGGAGTATCTCTGTGGTGTTCTCTGTATTTCCTGAATTTGAATGTTGGCCTGACTTGCTAGGTTGGGGAATTTCTCCCAAATAAAATCCTGAAATGTGTTTTCTAAGTTGGTTCCATTCCCCCCTCACTTTCAGGTACCCCAATCAAATGTAGGTTTTGTCTTCTCACATAGTCCCATAGTTCTTGGAGGCTTTATTCATTTCTTTTTACTCTTTTTTTTTCTCTATTGTTGTCTTTACACTTTATTTTTTGTTTTGTTTTGTTTTTATTATATTATTGTTATACTTTAAGTTTTAGGGTACATGTGCACAATGTGCAGGTTAGTTACATATGTATACATGTGCCATGCTGGTGTGCTGCACCCATTAACTCCTCATTTAGCATTAGGTATATCTTCTAATGCTATCCCTTCCCCCTCCCCCACCCCACAACAGTCCCCAGAATGTGATATTCCCCTTCCTGTGTCCATGTGTTCTCATTGTTCAATTCCCACCTATGAGTGAGAATATGCGGTGTTTGGTTTTTTGTCCTTGTGATAGTTTACTGAGAATGATGATTTCCAATTTCATCCATGTCCCTGCAAAGGACATGAACTCATCATTTTTTATGGCTGCATAGTATTCCATGGTGTATATGTGCCACATTTTCTTAATCCAGTCTATCATTGTTGGACATTTGGGTTGGTTCTAAGTCTTTGCTATTGTGAATAGTGCCGCAATAAACATACGTGTGCATGTGTCTTTATAGCAGCATGATTTATAATCCTTTGGGTATATACCCAGTAATGGGATGGCTGGGTCAAATGGTATTTCTAGTTCTAGATCCCTGAGGAATTGCCACATGGACTCCCACTGTGGTTGACCTAGTTTACAGTCCCACCAACAGTGTAAAAGGTCTTTATACTTTATTTCATTAAGTTGATCTTCAATCTCTGATATCCTTTCTTCTGCTTGATCAATTCAGCTGTTTTTTGTGTATGCTTCACGAACTTCTCCACTATGTTTTTGGCTCCATCAGATCATTTATGTTCTTCTCTAAACTGGGTATTCTAGTTAGCAATTTCTATAACCTTTTTTTCTAGGTTCTTAGCTTCCTCACATTGGGTTAGAACATGTTCCTTAGCACAGAGGAATTTATTACCCACTTTCTGAAGCCTACTTCTGTCAGTTCATCAAACTCATTCTCTGTCCAGTTTTGTTCCCTCGCTGGTGAGGAGTTGTGATCCTTTGGAGAAGAAGTGGTGCTCTGGTTTTTGGAATTTTCATCCTTTTTGTGCTGGCTTTTCTCATCTTCCTGGATTTATCTACCTTTGGTCTTTGATTTTGGTGGCTCCTTTGGATTGGGTTTTTGAGTGGATGTCCTTTTTGTTGATGTTGATGCTATTGTTGTCTGTTTGTTAGTTTTCCTTCTAACAGACAGTCCCCACTGCTGCAGGTCTGCTGGAGTTTGCTGGAGGTCCATTCCAGACCATGTTTGCCTGGGTATCACCAGCGGAGGCTGCAGAACAGCAAAAATCGCTGCCTGCTCCTTCCTCTGAATGCTTCATCTCAGAGGGGCACCTGCCAATGCCAGCTGGAGATCTTCTGTATGAGGTGTCTGTTGACCCTTGCTGGGAGGTGTGTCCCCATCAGGAGGCACTGGGGTGAGGCACCCACTTGAGGAGGCAGTCTGTCCCCTAGTAGAGCTCAAACACTGCTGGGACATCTGCTGCTCTCTTCAGAGCTGGCAGGCAGGGACATTTAAGTTGGCTGAAGGTGCATCCACAGCCATCCCTTCTCCCAGGTGCTCAGTCCCAGCGAGTTGGGGGTTTTATCTATAAGCCCCTGCCTGGGGCTGCTGCCTTTCTTTCAGAAATGCCCTGCTCAGAGAGGAGGAATCTAGAGAGGCAGTCTGACTGCCGTGGCTTTGCTGAGCTGCGGTGGGTTCCACCCAGTTTGAACTTCCCAGTGGCTTTGTTTACATTGTGAGGGTAAAACTGCCTACTCAAGCCTCACAGATGGCCAACGCCCCTCCCCCCACCAAGCGCAAGTGTTCAAGGTCAACTTGAGACTGCTGTGTTAGTAATGAGAATTTTAAGCCAGTGGATCTTAGTTTGCTGGGCTCCATGGGGATGGGATCTACTGAGCTAGAGCACTTGGCTCCCTGATTTCAGCCCCTTTTCCAGGGGAGTGAGTGGTTCTGTCTTGCTGGCATTTCAAGTGCCACTGAGGTTATGAAAAATAACTCCTGCTGCTAGCACAGTGTCTGCCCAAATGGATGCCCAATTTTGTGCTTTAAATCAAGGGCCCCAGTGGCATAGGCACTCAAGGGAATCTTCTGGTCTGTGGGTTACTAAGACTGTGGGAAAAGCATAGCATCTCAGCTGGAGTGCACTATTCCTCACAGCACAGTCTCTCACAGCTTCCCTTGACTAGGGTAGGGAGTTCCTCAACCCCTTGCATTTCCTGGGTGACGCGATGCCCCACCCTGCTTCTGCTCACCCTTTGTGGGCTGCACTCACTGTGTAACTAGTCCCAGTGAGACGAGCTGGGTATATCAGTTGGAAATGCAGAAATCATTTGCCTTCTGTATTGATCTCGCTGGGAGCTGCAGACTGGATCTCTTTATATTTGGCCATCTTGACACCACCCCATTTTGCACAATTGCTTTATTTTTTTTAGAACAAAATGATACATAAATAACCTAGAAAATATTCTCAGTAAAAACTTGATTCTTTAATGTCAGCTTTGTTGGAAAATTTCTCTTACTAAGATGGGAATTATATTTAACAAAACTAATAACCCTTTGATCCTATTTGTTTTTGACTAGTTTCCTATTACTACTATTACTGCACCTAATTAATCTGGTGACAGCTATGGCATACTAAATTCCCTAAGGCAATTAACTAAGAGATTCAGAAATCTCTTCAGTGATTGCTGATTTAATGGAATGCCCTTGAACTCTGGAGGGATGCTGCCCCTGTGAGTTCACACCCACACTGTGGCCAAGAGGAAGCAGCAGGGCCTGACTTAAGAATTCCAAGATCGTCCATGAGCCTCCTGGCCACTGCCTCCTGTATTCCTGACTCAAACACCAAGTACAAAACCAGGGCTGCTTTTCTGGCAGGAGCTTGCGAAAATCTTCCTTAATATTACAATATGCACATCACAAGAGGAAAATCCACAAGGTCTCACTGTCTCTAAGAAAGAAGATGAGAGGAAACATTTCATTTCTGCAAGAGAAATACATCTGTAAGTAAACACAGATAACATTAACGATAATGTTTAAAACTTTCTAAGAGCTAAATGACTTTTAAAAATGCAATTGCTCATTTTTCTATGACAAGTCTAAACAAACATTGTCAGTGAGAACACCAAGATGTTAAAACAGTTCATTCCATGGTCCTTTTTTTTGCAGGGTACCTTGTGAGAGACATTCCTGTTCATGAGGGCCCTTGCTTTGTGGGTTTCACCATAACTGGTCCCATGCAAAGGCAGCATGTGTTTTCCACATACACTTTGCTTCTACATACATTTTAAAACATGGCTAATGTTTTGTGAATACAGGGTCTGGCTGTGTTGCCCTAGCTGGTCTCAAACTCCAGGGTCTTAGCATCCTTCTGCCCTCAGGATCACAAACTGCTGGGGTTACAGGTGTGAGCTCCCACACCTGGCTGTGCATGGTGGTGTGTGCCTGTGGTCCCAGCTACTCAGGAGACAGAGGCAAAAGGATTGCTGAACCCCAGGAGTTGGAGGCTGCAGTGATCTATGATTGTGCCACTACTGCCTATGGCCTGGGCAACAAAGTGGGACCCTATCTGAAAAACAAAATGAAAACCAAAAAAACCCCACATAGATCACCATGTTTCCATTAACACAGTGCATTGCAAAACAAGGACTGCCTGTACTTGAAATTTAGTTTAATTGCCTTAGTTATAGGAACAGCTCATGTTACAAAGGCAAATATTTTACCTCGTCTTTATCAGTTCATAAGTACAGCGCTGAATGCAAGTGCCAACATACTGTGATCAACTCTGGGACCTCCTGTATGGAATGCACCACCTTCATTTTTCTAGGAACCATAATTCAGGTTAAACAACAACAAAAAAAATGGTGTTTCTGAGAGGAAGGCTTTACAGCCTTCTGAGAGGAAGCTATGGGATAAGTCTTTCATGAGGAGAAATTCGTAGGAAAAACGAACATGTTACAGTGGAATTTGTAACAGGATGCCAAGCATGGAGACATACACATGTCCAGACATAAAAAGCAGATACATGTTCCCACTGGGAACTGTTCCAGCTGCACCTGGAGGCTCATTCCAGCTGCACCTGGAGGCTCAGACTTGACTCTCTGATTTACTAGCTAAGAGGTCTCAGGCACATCCCACATCAAGCAATTGCAGTCAAGTTGAATTCAATAATGAGACTTAAATCAAGAATGAAATTTAAATCAGCCCAGGTATATGTGTTGCTAAGAATGTCCCACTCTCTTTCAATGACTGTTTATAGCTGTGGTATCATAAAAACTACACACTCAATTTTTGTCCTTAGTTCATGACACAGAGCTCCTAAACCACTTGGAATTTCCAAATGATTAATGAGCCATTTTCAACCAAATGAGGTGCCTCTTGTGGGCCCAGGATAGCTTAACGACAGGGTCTAGAGGTCAGAAAGACCAAACATGTGATTAAAATATTGGAGCCAGGTGCAGTGGCTCACACTTGTAATCTCAGCACTTTGGGAGGCCAACGGGGTTGGATCACCTGAGGGCAGTTTCAGACCAGCCTGGTCAATATGACAAGACCATCTTTACTAAAAATACAAAAATTATGCGGGCGTGGTGGTGGGTGTCTGTAATCCCAGTTACTCAGGAGGCTGGGGGCAGAAGAATCACTTGAACCCAGGAGGCGGAAGTTGCCGTGAGCCAAGATTGCAGGACTGCACTCCAGCCTGGGTGACAGAACAAGACTCCAACTCAAAATAAACAAACAAACAAACAAAATTGGAACTTTCAGCCCTCTCCCCATCTCCAGGAAGGGAGTGGTGGCATGGACTGACTTCAAAGAGCCATGGTTAGTGAAGGCATCACTAACGCCTATGTAAAAACTTCCATAAAAACCCATACATTAGGAGGCTGGGGAGCTTTGAGTTTGGTGAGCACACGGAGGTGCTGGGAGGGTCAGGTACCCAGAGAGGGCAGGGGAGCACTGTACCCACATGCTGTGGGTACAGCCCATGCTTTGCTTCCATTTGGCTGTCTCTGAGTTGTATCCTTCATAACAAACCAGCAAGTGTATCAAAGTGTTTTCCTGAGCTCTATCAGTCACATTAGGGGATTATCAGATCGGAAAAGAGGGTTGCAGGAACCCCTGAATTTTTTTTTTTTTTTTTGAGATGGAGTCTTGCTCTGTCACCCAGATCTAGAGTGCAGTGTTGTGATCCCGGCTCACTGCAACCTCCACCTCCAGGGTTCAAGTGATTCTCCTGCATCAGTCTACCAAGTAACTGGGATGACAGGTAACTGCCACCACACTGGCTAATTTTGGTATTTTTAATACAGAGAGGGTTTCACCATGTTGACCACCCTAGTCTTGAACTCCTGACCTCAGGTGATCTGCCCACCTCGACCTCACAATGTGCTGGCATTACAGGCATGAGCCACCATGCCTAGCCAAGAGCCCCCAATTTGTAGCCAGTCAATCAGAAGTACAGGTAGGAGGCCCCTGGAATGTGTGATGGGCATCTTCATTGGGTGTCTTGGGGGACTGAGGAGTTAACCTGTGTGGTCTGGGCTGAACCTAGGTGTCAGTGTCAGAATTGAAGTGAATTGTTGGATACCAAATTGGCTTCAGAGAATGAGAGGTCTGCATACTGAGGCACATGTTCTGGCTGCCTCTATAGGTTTGAGGTACTAAGTTGGACGCTAGGCAAAAAAAAAAAAAAAAAAAAAAAAAGTCAAAACTCCAGGTCTTCCAAGACTACTCCAGTAGCTCAGTTTTATTGGGAAGGAGGTTTCTGAGTAATTTCCCTGAGCTTGTGATTGGTGTCAGTGGTTAGCAGTGAGAGGTGCGGTATTAAAAAGACCATTCACCAAAATGTTCCTCCACACAAATCACTGAAGTCCTTACACGCAGGCACCCAAGGGAAAGAGGCATTTGCAGGGACTCCCTGATGGACACCCTCCCCAGCTGCTTACACTAATATCAACAGAAAAGCTCCTCTTTCAAGGGTGCCCTGCTGTGATTCTAGAATGTATATCTGCAAATCGTTCAGGCCAAGGACTCCATGTCAGCAGTAATAGAGCTGTCAGAGGAATCTGGAGCCAGGCCCGGCCGGCCACCATGAGCGGTTAGCTCTCTAAACCCTCTGCCCAAGTCACCTGTGGAGGAGACTCATATAACAAGAGGGAACCAAGGGCTGAGGTGCAGGACAGGAGGTGTTATGGAATACAAGCCCACCAGCTGCCCTTTCCAATGGAGAAATAGATGGAAGCGCAAAAAACCCAGCTGGCCATAAAAACTCAATGTCACTACACAAGAAAAATTCTTCAGCAACCGATGAGAACTCTATAAGCAGTTGGGGAGGGGAAGTGAGTTTTAGTGATTTACATCTGAACTGCAGTGAATACTCACCTTAAAGCCTGCATCTAGACAATAAGACTGTTTTAAGCCCCACATCATTAAAACCACTGCTTCCCTGGAAAATGTCTGAATAGGCCTTTTCCTGTCACTGTAATCTTACCAGCCTGTCCCTGAGACCCAGTGGATTCTGGCTGAGTCTCCCTGGCCTAGAGACTTAGGTGTGGCCACGATTCCTCACAAAATCTTCCAACCAGACCATCTCCCTGCCCACATACCCAAATTCTAAGGAGCACTGCAAAGTGGCCTTCAATAGCACAAATTACAGCTTTTCACATTTGGTAAACACTACGTGGATATTATGTGGGGTAACATGGTTGTGGAACACGGCCCATGTCACTGGCACCCTCTTACCTTCTCCACGGCAGGAGTGGGAGAGAACCTCTTGGCGCAAGCTAGGAAGATGTCGGGGTCTGGCTTGCCACGCTGCACTTTGGGGTCATCTCCCAGCACAGTCTGGGAAAACAAGCTGAAGATCTCCTTGTGGCGGCTTGTCTTCATCTCAAACGATGCAGACTTCAACCTGGTGGCCAGCGCAAAGGGGATGCCTTTTTTCTGACAACCAGTTTCTCAGCTCCTGGGGAGATGGAGGGAAGGAGTGCAGTGAGGGGTGAGGCCTCCACTACAAGGCCTTCTTCCAGGGACGGTCCTTCCAGCTGAGTGGCAGCACACTCTCAGGCTGCTTCTTTTGAGGAATTTCTGACTTAGGATAGACTGTCTGAAAGGGGGTTCTCGGCTCCAAAATATCCCTGCTCAAAATAAACCAAAAACTCAAAAAAGCTATTGGCGGTTGAGCAGTGCATTTCCCAAAGGAACAGAAAAGAAGTGCACTGGGAGGCACTGCTGCTTTGTCTGCTGGGCCTCTTTATTAAATGTGGAGAAGGGCAGGTAGCAGGTCCAGGAAATGACTAGACCTGGGATCTGGCCAGGGCACAGGGAAGGCCACAGAGCAGGGACTCGCTGAACCATACTTTTATTCCACAGCAGCAAATACACAATGACTGTGCTTTTTGTGTTTTCTGCAAAACTGCCGTATTCTGCAGAAAACATTTCAATCATTCTTCACCCTGCTGAGAAGAGGAAATCACACAACGTCCTCCACCAGACACTGGAAAAGGCTGAGGCTGAGGGACTGCTGCAGCATTACTTAACAAGGGATTGGGACAAAAGAAAGCTGCTGAACACAGCTGATCAACAGCAACATGCCATATGAAAAGAGCATCCTCACACTGTCATTAGCCATATGGATTAATTCCAGGGACCACACGCATTCATGGAGGTCACCATAGAGCCAATTATGAGAGGACTAGTTATCAGAAAGAATAAAAAATACCAGGATCCTTCCCAACTTTAACTTATGCTGACTAGCACATCAGGAACATCTAAATCCATACAAGGTATGATGGTTTCTCTAAAATTTTATTTTAAATTGTCATATAATCACGTCTATTTTAATAATATCACAACCTAACGTCCCTACTTTGTCAATTGTTACACAAAAGAATCAACATAGTCATTTTTTCCAAACATCTAAAGCCATTCAAGGTAAGGCAACACACAGATATCTGGAGCACATAACAGATAAGCCTTTAGAACAATGAATGACTATCATCAGAGATAAATAGGGACATTTCATAATCATAAATATGTCAGTTCATTAATAAGACATAATCCTAAATAACACCAAATAGCAGAGCTTCACAATGTATACAGCAAAAACTAATAGAACTGAATGGAGAAACACAAATGTAGAAATAAGTTTAAAACTCCTCTATGAAAAATTTATATAAAAATTAGAAAAGAAGTAAGAATATAGAAGACTTCAGAACCACTGTCAAGCAACCTGACCTAATAGATGTTCACACAATAATTCTCCCAACAACAGCAAAATCCACATTATTTTTAAGTGCACACAGAACACCCAATAGGAAAGATCCTATTATAAACAATAAAACAATTCTCAAAAATTATAAAATACTTAAAATCATATAGAATAACTTCTCTAATGATGATAGAATTAAAATAGACATTAATAATTATAGAAAGGAATTTGGAGAGCCACAAATATTTGGATGTTAAACTTCTACGTAAGGCATGGGTCAAAAATGAAATCACAAAGGGAAACTAGTAGTATTTTGTAGAGAACCAAAAACTATCAAAATTTCTGAGATGTAGCTAAAACACAGTTTAGAGGAAAACTGATGGCATTGAGTGATATGTTAAATAATAAGGTCTCAAATAAGTGATCTAAGTTGACACATTAAACACCTTAAAGAAAATTCAATGATGTAAGCTTTTACCCCAAGAAAGTGAAGTAAAATTGCAAAATAAACCCAAAACAAATAAAAGGAAGGAAATAATAAAAATAAGAGAGAAAATGAACGAAATGAAAAGTAGAATACAGAAAACCAACTAAATCAAAAGTGGGTTCTTTGAAAAGAGAAATTAGATTAGTAGATTTCTAGCTAAGCTGATCAAAAAAAATAAAGAAGATCCAAATGTACCAATATTAGCAGGGAAAGAGGGGACATCACTACAGATCCCAACATCAATAAAATGATAAAAACTTAATTTTTACAGGATTAATGGCAACACATTTGACCATTTAGATGAAATGAGATAATTCTTTGAAAGATATAACTCCCTCAAGAAGACATGAATAACCTGAATAGCTTTCTGCCTATGAAAAGAATTGAATTTGTAGTTAAAAACCTCCTTCTCACATCTAGGATCAGACACCCTCACTGGTAAATTTACCGACTTCCCAAGAAAAAAAAGAATGCCAATTCTAAACACACTTTTCAGAAAATTGGAGGGAACACCTCTCAACTCATTTTACATCAGCACTTCCCTGATCCCAAAACCAGACAAAAGCCAGACAAGAAAACGACAGATCTCATGAACACATATATACACCTCCACACATAAAAACAATATTCAATCAGTGTAGAAGTACTCCACCTGAAGAGCTTCTACAGAACATGAATTCATTAGTTAAAAATACTAAAATATCGCACTACTTCATTAGTTTGCAACAATCACTGATTAGTATCACAGAAGACTACATTTATAAGCTAAACTTCAGTGTTAACCTTAACACAACTGGTAGATGAGATAAAATAAAGGTTATATATATATATATATATATATATATAAAATAGCCAAGCATGTGTGGTAGTGCATGCTGTAATCCCAGTTAATTGGGAGGCTTAGGCAAGAGAATCGCTTGAACCCAGAAGTGGAGGTTGCAGTGAGCCAATATTGCACCACTACACTCCAGCCTGGGCAGCAGAGCCAGATTCCATCTCAAGAAAACAAACAAAAAAAAGAAACAAAAAAAATTAGGCAATCATGAACTTCTGTCTGGATGTACATAGTCATTAAAGCTGAGTATCAAAACCTGAATTTAAAACAAGATTTTAAAATTACTGTATCACACATCTTTAAAGCAATATTTAAAAAAATAATGGAGGACATTTAAACACATGGCTCTCTGTAAAACACAATGCATAAAGAAAATTTTGTTAAAGTACTTTGGTGCTATTAATTTTAAAAACTTAAATACATATTTTTTATTATTATTATTGTTCTGAGACAGGGTCTTGCATTGTGATGCAGGCTGGAGTACAGTCAAGCAATCATAGCAGCCTCAACCTCCTGGGATCAAACAATCCCCCAGACTCACCTTCCCTAATAGCTGGGACTACAGGAGCATGCCACCATGCCCAGTAAATTTTTATGTTTTGTAGAGACAAAGTCTCCCTCTGTTGCCTAAGCTGATCTCAAACTTCTGCCTTAAGCAATCCTCTTGCCTTAGCCTCTCAAAGTCCTGAGCTTACAGGTGTGAGCCACTGTGCCCAGCCTATTATTTTATTTTAGCTTATCCTTTTTGCATTTCTATTGCTGTGAATTCTTTCTAAGATACCAGCTGTAACAGTGGAGTACATAAACAAATGCACACCAATGTGTTTAGACTGGAATGCAGCTCAATATTCTTATTGACGGAGAATGAATCAAAAATGGTTTTGGAAGATTGCTTTACAGCACCACAGCATACTGACATCTTCAAAATGCTACGGACTCCTATGAAGATGAAAGCCAAGACAAGACTATGACCACAGTCAGAGACTATGGGACATCCGTCAATTATATGCCCTCTTTGAGCTTCAATTTTGTCATCTGTCAAAGAGAAATGATTACTGTTCCTCATGGAATTAATTCACAAGAAGAACAATGCCTGGAAAATGACATGGGTGAGGAAGCCCCAGATAAATGTTAGGTAGTGTCGTTATCATCAGATATAGCTCCAGTGTATCAGCAGGAAGGAACGATCCTAATCACCTGATTGAAAACTGCCTGATGCCTTCACAAAGTTTTTCATCTTTTAAAGATTGCACACAAACTTTGTCTTACTCACTGGCCTTCCCTGAGAAGTAAAAGACTAAAAAATGCAAATGGAGTTCTGTTCTAGGGAGAAGCTGGTTAATTACGTGTATAAATGAACTCCAGTTCCCAGCTCCTAGAATTTGGTGTGCTTCCGTGGGTTTACAGGAAGCGCAGAGAGACAGATATCTAGATATCTGTTGCTCCAAACAATCAGCTCACAGGACACCTCTCCAGGGGAAGAACTGGGGAATGTGGAGAATCAGCACTGTGAGTGGGAAGAAACGCTCCTGCTTTCCTCCATCCTAGAGACCCAAGGTGGGTGAGAACAGGGATGTGCAATTAAACAGGATTAAACAAAGGAAAGAGGCAGAAGACAGGCAGCTGCCGCGCGGTCTCAGGTGTTCTTGGCATTCATTTTTGGGTGATCTGGCCATCAGAACCCTACGAGCCTGGACATTCTCTGTACTGAGACCTGCAGTGAGCAGCAGAAGCAAGTTGGGGGTAATAGGGGTTGACAGCGCAAATGGGGAGAGGGAACCGCTTAGAGGGCCAGGCATGTCATTAATGCTGTGTGCCGAGAACCATGTCCTAGGCCTCAGTCTAGAAGAGCTCTATGAAGTGAGACATGGAAGACAGCTCTATGAAGACAGTGTGACATGGAGGACTTGAAGTGAGCCATGGAAGTCTGCCACTGGGGCAGACGATGTGGTCAGCTGATGGATGCCACCTTGCTATGAGAAGAGAAGACAGTGATGCTGTTGCAGACAAGACACACCTGTGGGATTCTGCTGAGCCTCCACCTCCTACATGGGCATCCTAAGGGTTCCTAGCCCCTCTCACCTGACCCCACCATGGGGAAGGTGCCTTGGCATGCTGTCTTTCTTAGGGGCTACTTTCGCAATTGCCTGAAGGGAAGCTGTTATGCTTTAAAAGCTGTGTGTGACTGAGAGCAGTAGGTGGAATGGTGGCCCCCAAACAGAAGCCCTAACGCAAGGTACTTCTGCTTTTGTTTAGAAAAAGTCTTTGAAGATGTAATTAAGTTAAAAATCTTCAGATAAGCTCACCTTGGATTTAGGATGGGCCCTAAATGTGATAACTGTTGTCTTTGGAAGTGACCGAAAAGGGGTGAGAAAAACAGAGAAGAAGGCCACGTGGAAACAGAGGCAGAGACTGGAGAGATGTGGCCACAAGGCCAGGGAAGCCTGGAGTCTCCAGGAGCTGGGAGAAGCAGGAAGGACACTCCCCTAGAACTTCCAGAGGGCGTGTGGCCCTGAGACACCTTGATTTCAGACTTCCGGTCTCCAGAACTGGGAGCGAGTCAATTTCTTGTATTAGAAGTTGAGAGTTTTCAGTATCTTGTGGCAGCAGCCCAAGAAATGAATACACAAGTGCTCTGTTCTTGAATGTGAATGAGCAGAACAGACACTGCCACGTGTTTGTGGAAGAAGACACAAACAGGCAGAAGACAAGAATCTGCCAGAAAACAATGGCAATACAGAGAAAAGTGGGCAAAGAAGCAACAGTCATGATAATAGTATTCATGGAGACATAAGTTACTGAGTCTTTAAAACAAAAACAGAAAGCTAGGAAAGTACAATGCCCAGAAGAAGAAAGAGCATAGAAGGGTTAAAACAAATCAGGAGATGAGGGCGGACACAGGCAATGTCAGCTAAAACACCAAGCTGTCTGGCATGCGGTTCAAGGAGGTTGCCGGGCAGGTGGTAAACAGACTGCTTCCCTTTCTCGCTCCCTAGAAATATGTCAGATGTGCAGGTTTGGCCGGTCACGGTGGCTCACACCTGCAATCCTGGCACTTTGGGAGGTCGCGGCGGGCAGATTACTTCAGGTCAGCAGTTTGAGACCTGCCTGGCTAACGTGGTGAAACCCCGTGTGTGCTAAAAATACAAAAATCCAGCCAGGCACAGTGGCTCATTCCGATAATCCCAGCATTTTGGGATGCTGAGGCTGGCAGATCACGAGGTCAGGAGACAAGGACACTAACACGGTGAAACCGCGTCTCTACTAAAAATACAAAAAATTAGCCGGGCATGGTAGTGGGCGTCTGTAGTCCCAGCTTCTCGGGAGGCTGCCGCAGGAGAATGACGTGAACCCTGGAGGCGGAGCTTGCAGTGAGCCGAGATTGAGCCACTGCACTCCAGCCTGGGCAATAGAGCGAGACTCTGCCCGGAAAAAAAAAAAAAAAAAATGTAGAAGGATATTGGGCCGGGCGTGGTGGCTCACGCCTGTAATCCCAGCACTTTGGGAGGCTGAGGTGGGCGGATCAGGAGGTCAGGAGAAGGAGACCATCCTGGCTAATACAGTGAAACCCCAACTCTACTAAAAATACAAAAAATTAGCCGGGCGTGGTGGCGGGCGCCTGTAGTCCCGGCTACTCAGGAGGCAGAGGCAGGAGAATGACGTGAACCCGGGAGGTGGAGCTTGCATTGAGCCGAGATCGTGCCACTGCACTCCAGCCTGGGCGACAGAGCGAGACTCCATCTCAATCAATCAATCAATCAATAACACAAAAATCAGCCAAGTGTGGTGGCGCGTGCCTGTAATTCCAGCTACTCGGGAGGCAGAGGTTGCAGTGAGCCAGATCGTGCCACTGCACTCCAGCATGAGTAATAGAGTGTAACTCTGTCTCACAAAAGCAAAAACAAAACAAAACAAAAGATATATGTCATGTGTGATTTTTAAAACACTGACAATATTCAAATATACATAGAAACTGCCTGATTGATGTTGCTTTGTTCCCTGTGAGGCAGTTTCACTTCCTGAGGACTACAGAGAAACCCTGCCACCCTCTGGCCTCCACCCTCTTCCTAAGGCTCAGAATCTGAGCTGTTACCTGCATCTTTGCCGTGAAGACATAGCTCATGTGCTATCACTTCCTGGAAATTTTACCAGGCTCCTCACACCCTTGTAACCCTCTGGGATTCACCGCAACACCTCCAGCAGCTGGCTGCAGTTATTTCACTTGTATGTATGCGGTTAGAAACTTCCACTCAAGAAGGAGTCATAACCTCTGCACTCCCAAGACCCCCATGCAGACATCCCGTCAATAAACTGCTTATTTCCTGCCCTCTGTTTTCCTCATCCTCATACTCCATTCCCTCTGTTCTTAGGAATGGAAGGCAGTGGTGGGGGCAGGAATCATTCCTTTTCCTTGCAGTACATGTGTGCACATTGGAATAGAAAGTGATTTCAGATACATAGTGGGAAGGCGAGCTAGTTTTCCTTTGACTCCATCCATGGCTGATGAAGCAAGCTGAATGCTGGCTGTGGGGGTGTGAGGATGCCCACTGCGCTACACGACAATGCTCAGAGTTTCTTAGAGTTTGTGTTTCCAATTAGGAGGCCACGCTTGGCTGGCACATGCTGGGCCCTCAATAAATATGACTGATATTGAATAGAAAATTAGGGCAAAGTTCATTAAAAATAACATCTGGCTACGTGAAAATCACTCAGATTCTAGATTTTAAGTGTTCTCCCCACAAAACATGATCAGAAAGTGAGATGATACATGTGATCATTAGCTTGATGCAGCCACTCCACAATGTATACACACTTCAAAACATGTTGTGCATGATATCTACATATGATTTTTATTTGTCAATTAACAATTAAGTTAAAAAAATAGCATCCAGTTATCCGAGTTCATGGTGGGGAGCCTTCTCATGGAGCGGTTAGTGTTCTCCTCTACACAAGACAGACCTGTTACTCTCTAATAAGATGCTGCCTCCTGGAGAATGTGTACCCAGGGAGCACACACGCTCCATCAGACTTTGCTGTTGTGGTATAGCATACGGAGACGGTATAAGATTCGATGTGACTGACAGGCACATTTATCCAAGAGAAAACTTTCAAGATCTGATGCAGTAATGCAGTGTTTCCATTCTTATTTCTTGCTTACTTGAAGTTCCTTGAGCTAGCTGAAAGCACTTACTGTTGTGAGGCTTCCTAAGGAAACATCAGTGCCAGGTTCTTCACAAATGTCACACATGATCTCACAAGGAAGGTACCATGTTCTGAAAAACACTGTGCTTTAGAATACTAGAATTTTTGGCACTTTACAATGCAAGGACTTGTCTTGCTCTCTGAACACTGGGTCTTACATGGGCAACTTGGCCCATGAGCCAAGTCCCTGAGCATTCAGTCATTAATGGACAGTCAGAGGCCACATGCAGGAAGCTGCTGCTGTGCGAATAGCTGATGCCCTGAGTGAGTTGACCAGGAAAGCAGAAAGATGTCTGCAGGCCAAACAGGCACCTGGGATTCCATAAAATGGATGCAAGTTAACTTTACATCATACGGGGTAGGCTGTATAGGTCAGGTATTCACAGAGGGGTCCACAAAATGGATTTTAGCAAACTGCAAGTTTAACATCTGTTTAATTTTAAAAGAAATGTGGTGATTCATTTATTTCTTGTTCAAGGTTTATTGAAGGAAACATAAGTCCATGAGGACAGGTCGCTAGCACTGTGAGTAATGGACTGGTCGCGCTCAGTGACAAAGTGTCTCCTGGACCAGACTCTACCCAGGCTGCTCTGAGTCTTTTTCTCTACAATGCCCCTACACTGGCCTATAAAGACTTGAACATGTTCAGCAGCTCAAGGTCATACCCCTAGATGACTCTAATCCCCTTAAAGTACTTGCCTATGAAAACTCAAGGCTGCCAAAATAACTAACTAATCATTGGTTCCAGCCATCCCTGCTAGACAAGCCTCTGTGGAAGGGCAGGAGCCTGACTTCTATCAGCACCAGTGAAACCCAGATGGCTTCACACTGACCAAACCCTCTTCCCGCTTTTTGCAATTTTCACTTCCCTGACTCTGCTGAGCCCCTCCTAACCCTTCCCTACTCCCTGAGTTTCCGTTTAAAATGTCCGGTCACCTCTGGGCTAATTGATGTTGAGTCCAGTTTCACATATGTGTTTTCTCTATTGCAAAAGTGTAAATTATGGAAGAAAATCTGTGCTGACCACTTTAACTACTGTTTGGCTGTGTTTATCCTTGACGCTAGAAAATAACCAAAGTCATATTCCCCAGAGTACATAGTATTCACATTCATATACATAGTTTTAAAAATTGTAACTTCAAGTATAAATTTAAAAGAAATATTAACTAATTTAAGAAATGTCAATAATATAGATTCTTGATTTTTATAAGTTCTGTAAGTTTATCTATTAAAATGGAACCATCACTTACAAACACTACTGTGTGCTTTTTAGTTCCCTCACAGGAAACTTCTGGTAGCCACAGCCACTGTGATTGGGCATCTCTTAATAATTTACTGCAGAGCCATGCCTAGGCCTATTCCTCTTCTGAACTTCTCCAAGCTCTAGGGAGCAAGCTTCTTTCTCAGACATCACTGATTTTGGCAAAGCACCTCTTTCCTTTTTCCAGGCCTTCCAAATGAATTCTGCTGCTTTGAAAAGGTGCTTGCTGGGAGGAACAGGGCCCCTGGTCATGTGCAGATCTTCAGTCCTAATTTACTAGGGACCTTTCACCAACTCAAAGCTAGTATCAAGGATCACCACTGCTTGCACCATGAGATCTGTCTCATGGAATTGAGTCACTCACCTATATCCTCAGTGTAAGACAGTGTGGTAGCATAGAAGGAAGGGAAACAAGAGAAAGGAATTGGGCTGGGGGGCTGGAAGAGGAACAGGGCTCTGGCCAAGTCTGGCTGAACCTCCCGGAACACTCCAGCCAAACGTAAGTGACTGAGCCCACACCCCAGCTCAGGGCCCTCCTGGAACACTCCAGCCAAATAGCAGTGACTAAGCCTGCACCCCAGATCAGGGCAGCATCAGGTTCTGGGGCACCCTGGACACTGGCAGTCTGGGCTATGAATAGGAAAGTATGGGTGGAGGTATAATGGCTTGACAGTGCCCTCCTCGCAAAATTCATGTTCACCTAAAATGTCGGAATAGGACCTTATTTGGAAATAGGGTCTTTGCAGATGTAATCAAGTTATTATGAGGCCATTCTAAATTAAGGTTGGACCCTAAATCCAATGAAAGGAGAGGGAAATTTGGAGAAAGTGACACATAGGCTGTGGGAGGGCATGTGAAAATGGAGGCAGAGATTGGGGAGATGAAGCTACAAGTCAAGGAAAGCTAAGGGTGGCCGGCAACTACCAGCAGCTGAAAAAAGGCAGGAAGGATCCTTCCCTAGAGCCTTGAGAGGGAGTGCAGCCCTGCTCACACCTTGACTTCGGACTTCTAGCCTTCTGAGGTGTCAGACAATAAGTTTCTGCTGCTTTAAGCCACGGAGTTTCTTAATTAACACAGCACTACCAGGAAGCTAATACAGTGCATTGACCCTGGAGGAAAAAACTTGGATAGACTGAGGTTCTATCTGTGAGATGACCTTAAACCACCTTAATTATCTTTCTCAAATTCTGGTACTTGACACACAAATTTGTGATACTTGATGGGGAGACAGTGTGGGAAACCTGTGTTTCCTTCTTTGGCAAACATTAAATACTGATGGAAATAAAGCAGTTATGGAAATAAATATAAACTAACTCCTTTTAAATCTTCAAACAAACAGTTGCAAGAGTCTAGTTTGCATTTATTTGATCTGCAGGTCTTGGTGCAACACAGAGGATGAGCATCCGACTACCTTCAAATGTACTGCTGTTCTATCCACAGCTGGCTGCTTGCTCTGCAGCAATATATGCTGTCTAATGCTCTCTGGGATCGCTGAAATGTGACTGGCATAAACTCCTCCAACCAAAGAAGCGCCTTTCTCTAGAATCTCCTTATCAGTATCATGAATGGCATAGTTTGTGTTCTGCTCCAATTTCACAGACTTACAGCAGAATTTCAGATTAAAATGGAAAGCCGGGGAGGGCAATTCAAACCACTGAGCAATGCCTGGTAATTACAGATGGATCAAACAATAAAAGTTAAAACAAAACTTTTTTTTCAGACATTGAAAACAAGAGACAAAGTAATACTGAGTAATGCAGGAATTTTATTTCAGAAAAATTGATTCTGCATTTCTACATTAGTTTCTGTGAAGTGAACGTAAGACTACAGTGTGTAATTTCCTTTTCTTAAGTAGTGACAGGATTTTACTTTGTTGGCCAGGATTGTCTCGAGTTCCTGTCCTCAAGCAACCTGCCTCCCTCAGTCTCCTACAATGCTGGCATTACAGGTGTAGAGTGTGATAGTGGGAGTGAATGTCTGCCCTTTCTCATTCCTTTGCTAAGCACTAGGACTTTGGAAGGAAGGGCTCTCCACCTGATCTTACTGACCTTAAGTGCCCCTCATCCAGGCAGGACTTGATGTCCTAATGTTAAAAAATGACTGTAAATTTCCCTGCAGTATAGACTTGCCTCTGTAACATCTTACATGAAAACTTCACTCTCACTATAGAATGGTGTACTGGTCCTTGCTTCTTTCCCTTATAAAGAATAACTATGACTTTACAAAAAAAAATGCCATTTTACTAATAGCATGGGATACGTATGAGTGTCCTTGTGATCCAGATTTGCCACTGTAGCAATTTACACACAAATTGTTCTCTGACTCTAGCAAGTAGTACTAACCCCTGATCCCTTTTTTTTTAAACCCCTTGCAGAGAATGACTGGACTAGTACTTTGCAGTATAATGCCATTTTACAACACATGAAATGCATGAGAGTTTCCTTGTGTTCTAGATGTGCCTCTGTGACAACCTGCATGCAAACTGCTCTCTGACTCTAACGTTGGCTACTGATCCATGATCTTTGCTTTTCTTTCCTTTTAGAAAATGGCTATACTAGGACTGAAGAGCATAATATCAACAAAAATGACAACCAAAGTTTAAGTTCTAAGCCTCTTGAAAGGCAGGGAAGAATATATAGATTACAGGAGCATCTGGAAAGGATGTGTGTTCCCCAGAGAGGACTACATTTCAGATGTGGATCCCCACAACAGAAGACTGGGGGCTGAGTCACCAGGCAGATTCTAAGTAAGCTACACAGCACCACTTGGGGGCACAAGTGGGAGCCTTCTCCAAACTGGAAGTTACTACCTGTAGTTAGTTTTTTCATCAATAGGCCTTGAAATATTGGTATTTGAGGGTTGTTGTCATGAGGTAACTTCCTTCCCCAGAGAAGAGTTCTCTAGGATCTTTTTTGGCTGTGCATAAAAAAGAGTGAGGTGAAGGGACCTGGCGGGCTCACAGCGCAGGGTGCAGGGATCTTTTATCTACATCCTCCACTGTGCCTGATCACCAGAGATCTGAAGTCTTTCTGGCTCTGTGTATAAACCTGTTTTCTGCCCCAGGTGGCATTTTGAATGCACAACTTGGGGTGGAGGGCCCAGTGGCTCGGCTACTTCATATTTTGAATTTAAACTGCTCTGCAGTGTTTTAGCTCTTTGTTTTATCCTGTGTTTTTTTAAAAACAGAAATTCACCCTACTACATGTTTTTAAATGAAAAGAGTATTTTCACTCTTTCACAACGTGTTTTAACAATGATCTTATAACCTGTGAAAATGAGATGAAGTTCCACTTTCTATGTCTTTACAGACAGTTCGGAGCGCAGCACCAGCACGCACTCACCACTGTTTACGGCTACTTGCTTCTCAACACAGCAAAGCTGAAGGCTTCACACATACACCATGGGGTCTGCAAAGCTGAAAACATAGAGAAAGCTTGCTGGCTTCTGCTAGATAGCAAACAAATCATGCGCAGGCCCAAGAGGTGAAAGGAAAGCGGTAACATTAGGTAGGATGGAAATATAAGAGGTATATTTTGTAATGCAGGAAGTCAGCCAGGCATTGACACCTAACCCCTTCGCCCCCTTGCCTGTGACACTAATGAGAAGAATTACTGTCAGTTTTTCAAGGAATTCATGCACAGACCAGATAGGAAATTAACCTCATGAGAGAATTACCATCCTAGAAACAGAATCCAAAAGCCCCCAGTGAGTTTCTTCCATTAACCATTTAGTTAAATAATGTCTAACACTCCTCAAATTATTACAGCATTATTGGAGCAAATTATCAAAATAATATTGAGAATTTAAAGTATATTTGGAATCTACATATTATATATATTGTATAATAACTCACTAAAAATATGTAGCATAAAGGTTTATTAATGTTAGTTTGAAGTACAGTTCCTGTACTATGCAGCTGAATCCAAATAGAGTTTTTTTAGTTAACCAAGTATAGAACATTTTATGAGCCACAGACCCCCCATTTCAATGCAACCAGAAAGGAGCAGAATTTTTTAAATTAAAAAAAAAATTCTTAGTCCCATGAAATAAAATTCATATAAATCTCTAATCGACAAAAAGGATGTATATAAAGATTAAATCAGTTTGATATACCAACATGCTTAAATTTCCTTATTAAATTGCCCTTACAATAGGCTGTGCATCGTACAAAGAAAAATCAGAAAAATAAGATTCATACAACCCAGACAGTATCTCTTTTGGGAGTTTTATAGTATTTTTCTAAAATGTGGGACATTCAGAAAATGCCCACTTCCCTCAAGCTAGCTGGTAAGTGACCCTCTGATTATATGCGTCACATCTCACCTGTATCTAACAGGGAGAGCCAGTTGCAACAACAGAAACTCCTGTGTTGTCACAATGAAGAGGCTGGAGGCTACCATGCGGGCTCCCACAAGCCCCCACCTCACCCCAAACAGGTCAGACCCCACCCCCTCAGACACAATCTTGTGCTCCATCCTGTGTGACAAAGGATAACACCATTGGCAAATTCGCAGTTCAATGTGGGAGTCTACTATCAGTTTTAGAATTTGCTCTTTGCCCTCAAAATCAAGTAAATTTTTTTTTGTGTTATGTAACAGATGAGAAGCAGAGGACTTTTCACAGTTTTACATTGATATGAGAAACAAGTGGCACTGAACACTTCCAAAGGGTCATTGGCAACTCCATGAAAAAGACTTTTTGATCATCAGGAGTCTCTTCTCCTTACAGAAGCTACACCAGCATTCTTTCTGGACATTATGCCATCTCTATAGCCAGCTGTCAATAGTACATAAAAAAGAAAGGGAAAGATACTGATGAACAGTATTTTGTTCTGATCAGGACATACTTAGTTCATCACTTGACTGTGCTAACTCAGGTCTCCTAGGTTTCACTAGAATGTGCAAAGCTTTGGAAACTTAAAGGAAAGGCACATTTAACTGGACTTTTTATTTGTTCTTTCTTTCCTTCTTGTTTTTTTTTTTAAGATGGAGTCTCACTCTGTTCCCCAGGCTGGAGTACAGTGGTGTAATCTCAGCCCACTGCAACCTCTGCTTCCCAGTTTCAAGCAATTCTCCTGCCTCAATCTCCCAAGTAGCTGGGATTACAGGCACCTGCCACCACACCCAGCTAATTTTTTTTTTTTCTTTTTTTTTTTTTTTGAGACGGAGTCTCGCTCTGTCGCCCAGGCTGGAGTGCAGTGGCGGGATCTCGGCTCACTGCAAGCTCCGCCTCCCGGGTTCACGCCATTCTCCTGCCTCAGCCTCCCAAGTAGCTGGGACTACAGGCGCCCGCCACTACGCCCGGCTAATTTTTTTTGTATTTTTAGTAGAGACGGGGTTTCACCGTTTTAGCCGAGATGGTCTCGATCTCCTGACCTCGTGATCCGCCCGCCTCGGCCTCCCAAAGTGCTGGGATTACAGGCGTGAGCCACCGCGCCCGGCCAATTTTTTTGTATCTTTATAGAGACATGGTTTCACCATGTTGGTCGGGCTGCTGTCAAACTCCTGACCTCCAGCGATACACCTGCCTTGACCTCCCAAAGTGCTGGGATTACAGGTGTGAGCCATTGCACCCAGGCTTAACTGGACTTTTTTTCTTCCACTGGCTTTCTTAAGATTTGAAGAACCTGACCAACTATCTCAAAACACTGAGGATCCTCAGAAAAATATTTGATTTTGTGTCTTCTTTGATTTGCCAGAAAGCTGCTTACAGTACTAATTTCATTTACTTTGAATCACTTTTCAGGTTGCTACTTCTAAGGATCTATCACTACAAAATAAATGTATAAAACAGCTATTTAAATAGCTTATGATTAATAGCCAATGGAAGAAAAACATAAACTAGAAAATGATAACTCATTGAATTTTCCTGATTCTCTACTAAGGTCTCCATATGATTAAACAATGTAAATTATCTTAACTAAACAAGCACAAGTATTATAAAACCCAATCTGATTAAGGCATTTAACTCATTGCAGAGAAAGCCATACCAGAGGTTCTAAATAAAAGCAACCTGGTAATAGCCTACCATGCCAGGGTCAAACTTCTTCTCTGCTTCACTTCTCTGAACCTGTATCCTCACTTCCTATATAATGCAAATAAGACCATCCTGACTATGTCACACGGCCAACATAAAAGTGCAAATGATATAAAGACTGGGAAAGAGTTTCAGTTTTCAATTCCTTCACAAATAAGAGGTAATAGAAAAGTATGCTTCTTTTAAATAACACATGAAAATGGATTCATTTTGCCTTATTCAACAATAAGGCAATAAGTTTCTGTTGATATTGTCTCTGTCAATAATCTCAAATATTAAAGTCTTGCTTTTACAGTCTACTCTCTAAGGAATCCTCTAGAAAGGAGAGAGTAAGACTTTCCCTGTATTCTTGTGTCTACTGTGCTACGGCGATGAAAGTTCCCACCATATAGAAGTGGTGCAGAAACCACCTCAGGAGAGCAGGTGTGGTGCAAGGTGCTCCTGACCTCACTGAAACCTGCCCATGACAATGGGCCCAGGTCCCCATGACCCAGGTGCTTGGGGCATACAAGAGACACCTGTCTTCCCGGACGGAGTGTATAATTCTGTTGGGGATGGGGAGATGCACTTATCCACAACATTTATGTGAAAACCCACATTTGTGTCTATACACCACAGGCTTTCTACCTCATCTGCACAGAAGCTTTGCCAAAACACAACTCCAAAATCCTTGAATGGCTTCTTGTCTTTTGAAAAAGAATAACTATGGTTGTATACGGTAAAACACCGACTATATAAAATTTACTTTTAATGATTTCTCAGGGTACAATTCTGTGGCATTCAGTACATTCACACTGTTGTACAGCCATCACCACCATCCATGTCCAGAACTTGTTCATCTCCTGAAGGTGAAACTCTGTCCCCATTAATCGCTAAAACCTCCATCCCCTCCCCCAGCCCCTGGCAATCACAATTCTCCTTTCTGTCTCTATGGATTTGACAACTCTAGGGACATCATACTGAGACAGGAGAATAAGGTCTGGAGGCAGATTCACACTGACTTCCCAGAACTCAATCAAAAGGAAAACTTCAAGTTTCTATGCCCAAGTAACAAAAGGACCAGATCCTATTCCCTTTGCAAGCCTCTCCTACCTTCTCTGTGTGGCAGATGGAAAATTGAAAGTAATTCTCACTGGTTGCTTTCTGCAACCATGTCCACTGCTGGCGCCAGAAGGCTGTGAGGCGTTGCTAGGACTAGAGGCAAGCTGGCAGTGCTCTGTATCCTGGCTGTTCACCTGCCAAGCACTGCCCTCACTGTTTGCTCATCCTGACTGCAGTGTGCAGAGTGTGTTGGCACCTAACACCCCTCAAAGCCTGTCTGTGCAGCTCCACACTGTGGTCCTATGCTGTGGGCACACCCCTCCCAGAGGGGAAGTGACTTGATTAAACCGAACGTGGTCATTTATCTACTCATTTCCTCTCCTTTGAGTTGAGAGGTCCTTGAGGTAAGGATTTCTCTTATTCATTATCCTATACTCCTAAAGACTTAGAAATCAGCAGCAGAACCACCACACATTTAAAAAATAGAAACTGGGCCAGGTGTTGTGGCTCATTTCTGTAACCATAGCACTTTGGGAGGCTGCAGCAGGAGGATCACTTGAACCCAGGAGTTTGAAATCAGCCTAGGGCCATGTCTCTACAGAAAAGAAAAAAAAAAAAAAGCTGGGCATGGTGGGCATACACTTGTAGTGTCAGCTACTCAGCAGGGTGAGGTGGGGGAATAACTTGAGCCCGGGAGGTCAAGGCTGCAGTAAGCCATGACTGACCACTACACTCCAGCCTTGGCAAGAGGGTAAGATCCTATGTCAAACAAACAAAGCAAAAAACAGAAATTGTAATTATTTGAGAAACATCTCCACCTGCGCAGTGAGGTAATATCTAGGATGATCAGAAGCAAAGATCTGTATCTTATTTTCCTTAGTCTAGGATGTTTTCATTACAATTTGCTAAATAACAAGGCAATTAGCTGCCTATGAAAGCCACCATAGTCAGAAAAGAGGAATAATGTCCATATACATCATCGAATAATGTGATATTTTAAAGGAAAAAGGGAGTAAGAATTTTAAAGACTCGTCATTTACATTTGACTGGCAAATGGGCTTCTTCCTCCCTACAATCACAAATTTTCCTGAACATGGGGCTAATTAGATTTGTTAAAAGCAACAGGAGTACAGCATAAGTTGAATGTGTTACCATAACTGTCTGCATACAATTTCCCTTTTCACTTGTTGTATGTGTCCGTTAATTATGCTATTATCCAAGAAGTACAATCTGCCTAAGTAAAAATCCCTGAGGTCCAGCTTTGCCAGCAGGGCCCCTCCAGTGCCTGAGAATCAGCTGAGTCTCCCAAATTGAAACCACTACCAGAAACGGAGAGGGGCAAGGCAGACTCCCCAAGAACTGGGGACTTATCCACATGACTTATACAGGCCTTAAAGGGCTCAGCCTTGTGGCCTGTGTCAGAACACATCTTCTCCCCTTTGTACTCTGATGTTGTCTACCTCAACAGAAGGTCACCGCCACATCATCTGGGGCAATAGAGCACCGTAGCTAAGAGCTATGGACTCTTCATTCCCCAACTGGGTTTGAGGCCAGCCTCCATAATCAGAGGCTGCAAGCTTTTGGGCAAGAAACTTGACCCCTGCAGCCCTCTCTGCCATTCTCTGTGCTAAGACTGGCTGCTTCTTAGAGGTGGCAGGAGGCTGACACATACCCCCATGAGTGAAAGCACTGAAAACATGACATGCAGCGAGTCCTCAATGCTTGTGAACCAACACGACCATAGTGGACACCAACAAGGACAAGGGGCATGAATACTCTTTGGGTGTATGTTTCCTGAACATGGCACAGAGAATGTGTTCTGGGGTTCCTAGGCACTGTCCATCTAATGAGACTCGAAGCCCCAACACCCTGGGTAGATCTAACTGGCATAGCCCCAGCACCAGGTGATAAATCTGGATGAGGGGAGGCCAGGAATGACAGGCAGGTGGAGACATAGTTTGTGACATGTACACAAATGGGTCCCTCTCCTGTGAGGCTCCTGCCACCTAGGTGTTATACTGCCCCTCAACACTGAGGCCCGCTGACCAGACTTAGAAAGTAATGGATTATCAAAGCAGCCTATAAACCAAGGGCTATAATTCTTCTGCTGGCTTCCTTCCTGGCCTGGTAGCTGACGTTGGTGCTTTCTGGTTCCTAAAGGTAACAGCTGGCCCTGAAGCCACTGGCACAGGAGACGGAACAAGAGATGTGACTGTGTCAGTGTGGACATATGAAAATCTACAGGACTGTAAATGTGTGGACAGCACAATACCTCCATCACTAAGGAGGACAAACCAAAGCAGAACAGCTTGCTTGCTGAGGTCCTCTGGAAGCTATCCTTGACACAAGAATCATGTTAGCACTGCACAGACTAATGCAACTTGTAAGTGCTACCAGGCAGGAAGTGCTCTGAGTGCCTTCCCATCCCAAGGGATGTCCAGCATTTCAGGGATCCACAGTGACAATTCACTTAAGAGCCTAGGAAAAAGATGTCATCACTTTTGTTAGACCTACTTCCAAAAAAAAAAAAATTGACTAAAAATTTAATTAAAGCATTTGGGATTTCTGTCCCATTAATCTATAGGTACTTGCTTTGGATGTTGGTGAATTAGTCAGCGGCCTCATTCCATAAAGGTGCATGTAGGTGAGTGTAGTTTAGCATATCTCTGTGTACATGTGGGTCTACACACAAATACAGTGGCATCATAAGAAAAGGGCTAAAACGATGTACCCTAAATAGTTAAACACTGAGTAATGGTTACCTCCAGGGAGTGGGAGTTAGAAGGCTTCCAATTTTAATGCTATGCATTTTTGTATTGTGTGAAGCAAGTGTAATTTGTGTAATTAAAAAAAAAAAAAGCCCAGTGTGGTGGCTCATGTCTGTAATCCCAGCACTTTGGGAGGCTGAGGAAGGAGGATTGCTTGAGGTAGGAGTTTTGAGACCAGACTGGCAATATATCAAGACTCTGTCTCTACAAAAGAGAAAAAAAGAAAAAAATCTTAGCTGGGTGTGGTGGCATATACTTGCAGTTCTAGCCATGCCAGAGGCTGAGGTGAAAAGATTGCTTCAGCCCAGCAGTTAGAGGCTGCAGTGAACTATGATAGCACCACTGTACTGCAGTCTGGGAAACAGAATGAGACTCTATCTCCAGTGGGGAAAAAAAAAAAAGCATATCATGATTGTGTTTTTTTCTTTTTTTTATCCTGAAGGGATATTCTCCCTACTTAAGATCATCCTTTCATTCCTCTAGTGACAAATTTCAAGAAATGAAAAATTATGTGTTTCATGAGACACATTGGAAAGGAAAATCTCCTTTACTGAATCCACCAATTCAAATGCTAATCTCCTCCAGAAAAACCCTCACACACACACTCCAAAGAATATACCATCTGGACACCTCATGGCCCAGTCAAGGGGGGTGCATGTCTTTTACCATCACCCTGGCCTTCCTCTGGCCCATCTCTTCTAGGCTGCAGGCATTGTGTGCCACAAACCCAGAGGATTCTCCCCAAGTGCAGGTTGCATTCTGACATGCCTCCTTTTAAAAATCCCAATAGTTGTCCCTATCCAGAAAGCAAACATATGAGCTGGGGAATAAGAAGGTTAACTCATAAAGCCATAATTCCTCTCTGAAGCTTGTGAGCCATGAGAAGCTTGGCTTCATGCTGTATAGAAGCAAACTCACTGGCAGACTGGAATCCCCCACATGTGCTGTTTTCCTTTTGAAATGGCTTCTCCAATCTGTATCTCTTTTGTTGTGGACTCCCAGAAGGTCACCCCCTACCCCAGGAGCAGCCACTACTCCAAGAATATCTTGCTTTACTTAATTCTATATCCCTTTGGCAACTCTTTCCTGAATTTCTCATTTTGTTTGTAACAATATCCTCCCATGGGTTTTCACTTGGACACGGTAGATACGCCTAACCTCTCTCCCCAAATGGATGACACACTCCATTAGGAAAGAGATCTTTCTCCTGTGTGCCCCCAAGCACTTACTCAGCAATACATGCACAAGAATTCAGAGGAAAGAGAGGCAAGTTCTTAGCCGACTTCCAGAGGATGAGTGCCTTCCTGCCAGATGTTCCTAATGGAAAGGGTGGGGGTGTATCTGTAAACAGTCAGGAAGACAATGATGTAAGAAAATAAACCAAGAACAAAATTAAAAAGAAAAAAGGCAAAAAAGCAGCCAGGAAGCTTGAACTGAGGGGAGCCCGCCACAGCTGCACAAGGCTTACTGCCTCTCTAGGTTCCAACTCTGTGGGCAGGGTATAGCTGAACAAAAGGCAGACAGCCTCTGCAGACTTAAACGACCCTGTCTGACAGCTCTCAAGAGAGCAGTGGTTGTCCTAGCATGGCATTCAAGCTCTGAGAATGAACAGACTGCCTCCTCAAATGGGTCCCTGACCCGAGTGTAGCCTGACTGGAAGACACCTCCCACTTGGGGCCAACAGACACCTCATATAGGTGGGTGCCCCTCTGGGATGAAGCTTCCAGAGGAAGGATCAGGCAGCAATATTTGCTGTTCTGCAGCCTCTGCTGGTGATATCCAGGCAAACAGCGTCGGAGTTGACCTCCAGCAAACTCCAACAGAACTGTAGCTGAGGGGCCTGACTGTTAGAAGGAAAACTAACAAACAGAAAGGAATAGCATCAACAACAACAAAAAGGACATCAACACTAAAACTGCATCTCTAGGTCACCAAAATCAAAGACCAAAGGTAGATACAATGACAAACATTGGAGAAACCAGAGTAGAAAAGCAGAAAATTCCAAAAACCAGAGCACCTCTTCTCCAAAGGATCTCAGCTCCTCACCTATAAGGAAACAAAACTGGATGGAGAATTAGTTTGACAAGTTAACAGAAGTAGGCTTCAGAAGGTTGGTAATAACAAATTTCTCCGAGCTAAAGGAGCATGTTCTAACCCATTGCAAGGAAGCTAAACACCTTGAAAAAAGGTTAGACAAATGGCTAACTGGAATAAACATGTAGAGAAGACTAGAAATGACCTGATGGAGCTGAAAACCAAGGCACAAGAACTTTGTGACACATAAACTAGCTTCAATAGCCAATGCAATCCAGTAGAAGAAAGGATAGCAGTGGGTGAAGCAAATTAATGAAATAAAGTGAGAAGACAAGATTAGAGAAAAAAGAGTGAAAAACAATGAACAAAGCCTCCAAGAAATATGGGACAATGTGAAAAGACCAAATTTACATTTTTGATTGGTGTACCTGAAAGTAACGGGGAGAGTGGAACCAGTTTTGACAGCACTCATCAGGATATTATCCAGGAAAACTTCCCCATCCTAGCAAGGCAGGCCAACATTAAATTCAGGAAATGCATAGAACACCACAAAGATTCTTCTAGAGAAGAGCAAACCCAAGACATATAATTGTCGGATTCACCAAGGTTGAAATGAAGAAAAAATATGTTAAGAGCAGCCAGAGAGAAAGGTCAGGTTACACACAAAGGGAAGCCCATGAGACTACAGTGGATCTAACAGCAGAAACCCTACAAGCCAGAAGACAGTGGGGGCCAATATTCAACATTTTAAAGAAAAGAATTTTCAACCCAGGATTCCATAGCCAGCCAAACTAAGCTTCATTAGTGATGGAGAAATAAAATCCTTTACAGACAAGCAAATGCTGAGAGATTTTCTCACCATCAGGCCTCCTTCACAAGAGCTGCTGAAGAAAGCCCTAAACATAGAAAGGAGCACTGGTACCAGGCACTGCAAAAACATGCCAAAGTGTAAAGACCATCAATGCTATGAAGAAACTTCATCAATTAACGGCAAAATAACCAGCTAACATCATAATGACAGGATCAAATTCACACATAACAATATTAACCTTAAATTAAACAGGCTAAATATCCCAATTAAAAGGCACAGACTGGCAAATAGGATAGAGTCAAGACCCATCACTGTACTGTATTTAGGAGACTCAAGTCACATGCAGAGAAACACATAGGATTCAAATAAAGGAATGGAGGGAGATCTACCAAGCAAATGGAAAGAAAAAAAAAAAGCAGGGGTTGCAGTCTTCATCTCTGATAAAACAGACTTTAAACCAACAAAGATCAGTAGAGACAAAGAAGGGCATTAAATAATGGTAAAGGGATCAATTCAACATAAAGAGCTAACTATCCTAAATATATATGCACCCAATACAGGAGCACAGAGATTCATAAAGCAAGTCCTTAGAGACCTACAAAGAGTCCCATACAATGATGGTGGGAGACTTTAACACCCCACTGTCAATATTAGACAGATCAACAAGACAGAAGATTAACAAGGATTACCAGAACTTGAACTCAGCTTTGCATGAAGCAGACCTAATAGACATCTACAGAACTCTCCACCCCAAATCAAAACAATGTACATTCTTGTCAGCACCACATCACATTTATTCTAAAATTAAGCACATAATTGGAAGTAAAACACTCCTCAGCAAATGTAAAAGAACAGAAATGGCAAGAAACCGTCTCTCAGGCCACAGTACAATCAAATTAGAACTGAGGATTTAAAAACTCACTGAAAATTGCACAACTGCAGGGAAACTGAACAACCTGCTCCTGAATGACTACTGGTTAATAACAAAATGAAGGCAGAAATAAAGATGTTCTTTGAAACCAATGAGAAAAAAGACACAAAATACCAGTATCTCTGGCACACATTTAAACCAGTGTGTAGAGAAAAATTTGTCAAGCAGAAAAAAACTCTTTAAACAATTAATGAATCCAGGAGCCAGTTTTTTGGAAAGATCAACAAAATTGATAGACCACTAGCAAAACTAATAAAGAAGAAAAGAGAGAAGAATCAAATAGAGGCAATAAAAAAATGATAAAGGGGATATCACCACCCATCACACAGAAATACAAACTACCATCAGAGAATGCTGTAAACTCATCTATGCAAATCAACTAGAAAATCTAGAAGAAATGGATAAATTCCTGGATACATACACCCTCCCAAGACTAAACCAGGGAGAAGCTGAATCTCTGACAAGACCAATAACACATTCTGAAATTGAGGCAACAATTAATGGCCAACCAACCAAGAAAAGACCAGGACCAGAACAGATTCACAGCTGAATTCTACCAGAGGTACAAAGAGGAACTGGTACCCGTCCTTCTGAAACTATTCCAACCAAAGCCTGGCAGAGACACAACAAAAAAAGTGAATTTTAGACTAATAACACTGATGAACACTGATGCACAAATCCTCAATAAAACACTGGCAAACCAAATCCAGCAGCACCTCAAAAAGCTTATCTACCACAATCAATTTGGCTTCATCCCTGGGATGCAAGGCTGGTTCAACATACAAAAATAAAATAAATGTAATCCATCATGTAAACAGAACCAACAAGAAAAATCCCATGATTATCTCAATAGATGCAGAAAAAGCCTTTGACAAAATTCAACAGCACTTCAAGCTAAAGAGGACTTCAAGCACTTCAAGCACGTCAAGCTAAAGAGCACTTCAAGCTAAACATCAATAAACTAGGTAGTGATGGAATGTATTTCAAAATAATAGCTATTATGACAAACTCACTGCCAATATCATACTAAATGGGCAAAAACTCAAAGCATTCCCTTTGAAAACTGGCACAAGACAAGGATGTCCTCTCTCACCACTCCTATTCAACAGAGTGCTGGAAGTTCTGGCCAGAGTAATCAGGCAACAGAAAGAAAATAAAGGGTATTCAATTAGGAAAAGAAGAAGTCAAATTGTGTCTGTTTGCGGATGACATGATTGTATATTTGGAAAACCCCATTGTCTCAGCCCAAAATCTCCTTAAGCTGACAAGTAACTTCAGCAAAATCTCAGGATACAAATCATGGGTGAACTCCCTTTCACAATTACGACAAAAAGAATAAAATACCTAGGAATCCAACTTACAAGGGATGTGAAGGACATCTTCAAGGAGAACTACAAGCCACTGCTCAATGAAATAAAAGATGACAAAAACAAATAGAAGAACGTTCCATGCTCATGGATAGGGAGAATCAATATCATGAAAATGGCCAAACTGCCTAAGATAATTTACAGATTCAATACTATCCCCATCAAGCTACCACTGATTTTCTTCACAGAATTGGAAAAAACTACTTAAAGTTCATATGAAACCATAAAAGAGCCCAGATAGCCAAGACTAATCTAAGTAAAAAGAAGGAAGCTGGAGGCATCACGCTACCTGACTTCAAACTATGCTAGGAGGATCCAGTAACCAAAACAGAATGGTTGGTGCCAAAACAGATATAGAGACCAACGGAACAGAACAGAGGCCTCAGAAATAACACCACACATCTACAACCATCTGATCTTTGAGAAACTGACAAAAACAAGAAATGGGGAAAGGATTCCCTATTTAATAAATAGTGCTTGGAATACTGTCTAGCCATATGTAGAAAGCTGAAACTGGATCCCTTCCTTACACCATATACAAAAATTAACTCGAGATGGATTAAAGACTTAAAACCATAAAAACCCAGAAGATCTAGGCAATACCATTCAGGACATAAGCATGGGCAAAGACTTCATGACTAAAATGCCAAAAGCAATGGCAACAAAACCAAAATAGACAAAAGAGATCTAATTAAACTAAAGAGCTTCTGAACAGCAAAATAAACTATCATCAGAGTGAACAGGCAATGTACAGAATGCGAGAAAATTTTTTCAATCTACCCATCTGACAAAGGGTTAATATCTAAAATCTACAAGGAGCTTAAACAAATATACGAGAAAAAAACAAACAACCCCCTCAAAAAATGGGCAAAGGATATGAACAGACATTTCTGAAAGATATTTACGGAGCCAACAGACATATGAAAAAATGTTCATCATCACTGGTCATCACTGAAATGCAAATCAAAACCACAATGAGATACCATCTCACACCAGTTAGAATGGTCATCATTAAAAAGTCAGGAAACAACAAATGCTGGAGAGGATGTGGAGAAATAAGAACACTTTTACCTTGATGGTGGGAGTGTAAATTAGTTCAACTATTGTGGAAGACAGTGTGGCAATTCCTCAGGGATCTAGAACTAGAAATACCATTTAACCCAGTTATCCCATTACTGGGTATGTACCCAAAGGATTATGAATCTTTCTACTATAAAGACATATGCACACGTATGTTTATTGTGGCACTATTCATGACAGCAAAGACTTGGAATCAACCCAAATGTCCATCAATGACATACCCAATTAAGAAAATGTGGCACATACATTCATATCCTTTGCAGGGTCATGGATGAAGCTGGAAACCATCATTCTCAGCACACTAACACAGGAACAGAAAACCAAACACCCCATGTTCTCACTCATAAGTGGGAGTTGAACAAGGAGAAAACATAGACACAGGGTGGGGAATATCACAGACTGGGGCCTGTTGGAGGATGGGAGGATGGGGGAGAGATAGCATTAGGATAAATATCTAGTGTAAATGACAAGTTGATGGGTGCAGCAAACCAAAATGGTACATGTATACCTATGTAACAAACCTGCACATTCCTCCCATCTACCCTAGAACTTAATTTATAATAAAAAATAAAAAGAAAAAGAGAAAAAGTAGAATGATGGAAACCATAATTATCTAAGTAAGCTAGAGGAGGAAGGCTTACTTACAAGAGGAAGACACGGTTTTGATAGAAAAAGGACCAGAGCCCATGTCATGTGCATCATGTCCATGTCATGACTGGTGTGTGCTTTTCAACAAAGCTGAGCAGGGATGGAGAATGACCTTACTGACTCCTCAAGGTGGGATTCAGAGTGAGGACTGGATCCTCCTGGGTTCAGAAATGACACAAGTGCCTTCTAGGAGCCACTCACTGGACCAGGTGTGACCACACACAATCCAAGTTTGTCTTACAGCAAAGCCTCAGGTCATAGTATGCTTGTGCAACTGTAACAGAATATCTGGGACTGGAAAATTTGTAAAGAATCGAAATGTATTTCTCACACCTCTGGAGGCTGGGAAGTCCAATATCAAGGCAACTGTAGGTCTGTCTCTGCAGAGGGCTGCTCCCTGTTTCAAGATGGTACCTTGCAGCTGCAAGGAATTCATCTATCCCAAGAAATTCATTACTGAAAGGATTTGTTCAAGATACAATGGAGGAAATCATCACAGGCTATATTTTGAATAAGATTTTCTGTTATCCCAAGAGAAGAGTTTTTTTTAAGTAATGCGACTTACATTTCCAGTTGTAATATTGTTCTGTTTTAAAATACCTAGAACTCACAAGAAATGCACCACATGCATTTTTTACTCTAAGGTTTGCACAATTTAAAAGACTTTATTTTCTTAAAATAATTTCAGTCTTGGCTGACTGACAGTTTACAATGACCCATGAAGCCATGTAGGAAATGCCTACAGAATAAACTGCTCAAAATGATTTCCCACTAAGGACATCATAGGCCTGCCCACCTTTTTATAGAGAGGGGCTTCCAGAAACCTGATTAGGCAGCAAATAGGCAGCTGATATGCGAGTGCTTCAGGGCTGTTCTGCCTCGTCTTTCAAGTCCATTAGGTCCACCTTGTCTTCTTAGCAGCTAGACTGACCAAGGCAAAAAGCCCTACTGTACCTTGATCAGGCAGACTTGCCACTGCTTCATAATCAGAGCAAAGACATACTTCTATACCATGATCAAGGCAAGGACATACCTCTGCACCATAATCAGGGTGTTGATTCCCTAGTCACTGGCCCAGGCAAACATGTCCCTGCAGCATAATCTTGCTGATGCCCTGGTGATTGGCCAAGAAAGACATACCCCACAGAATAATAAGGCTGATTCCCTTGTGTTTGACCAAGGGAGACACACCCTGACAGCATAATCAGGCTGATTTTCTGGTGATGGCCAAGGCAGACACCCCCACAGCAGGATTAGTCTGATTCCCTGGTGACTGGCCCAGGAAGACACCCCCCAGAGCCTAATCACAGCAATCAGTCCTTGAAGCATGATCAGGCGCTGTTTCTCCTGGTAATGTACCATTCACTCTTGCCATTTAACTTGCTAAATACCTGCTTGGCCTCAGCTGTCACTTTGAAAGCAGATGAAAAATAATGATGTTGAATTAAGCCCTCCCTACAGGCAGCTTTCTTTTCTAATGAGGTCAAGATGACTTCCACAAACCAACATATCCTACCACAAAATTCTTTCAGAAGGAAAAGAAATGAAATTAAAGGTTATATTATGATCTACAGCTTAAGAACAGGAACAAAGTAGTACTTAAGCAAAATGAACACCTAGAAGAAGGAAGATGATAGCAGCAAATTTTGCTGAATGTAGTCACCAGAGCAATGACACTACAATGTCACCTTCCCAGGGGAATTCAGGCTTGGTGCAGATAAAAAACGAGGTGGGAGGAGTGGAAAATGAATGGAAACTAGGCCTCCCAGAATGTTCTTTTAGGATGGAAGTTCTATTTTATTTTTATTTTTGTGACTGGTGTAATATTGAGCAGAAACCCTAAGGAAGAACACATTTCTGGATCAAAATTAGGCACAGCCTATCTTTCTGCTGTACACATCACATCCAACATTGCCCTCCTCTAGTTTGCTTTCCCTTCAGGTTAAGTATTATTTCTAATCATTTTGTCTTATCCTGCCTAATTCATTTCAGAATATCAAAGCGGCACATCATCTGACCGCTGTTGCTGGCACATCATGTGAGCTAGCATCCCAGCATGATTTTAAATTTCTTTCCAGTATTACCTTGTGCATTTCTTTATACTCTTCAATTCTTCTGCATGTTCTGCTCTGTCAAAGCACAGCTAATTGTGTACATGGCACTCAGATATGATCATTTTCAAAGACAGACTTTCAATATCGTTGATAAGTCCCTACTCACAACCATGCAGCTAGGAGAAATTAAAATAAGTATACCTGCATGCACACACACACACACATGCACACATACAAATTGTATGCCAAAAAAAAAAACCAAACAATTTGTCAAGTCAAAAAGAATTAAATAGTTTCTTTAACCCTGTCACCTGAAATAGGTCAAAAAGTAGTTAAAAAAATAAGAGAGCCATCTAGACAAGTTCTGTAGGACTGAACTAATTTTAAAAAAGTAGCTCCTGGCTAGTTGTTCATCTTTGATGAGTTTCTATGATTGGCACCTCACTTAATCTGATACCTGCTCACTTAGAAAGCCAAATGAAGACACTATGTTGATGAGATCATCAAGTAGATTCCATAAAACAAATTCACTACCACTCCACCCAAACTACCAGGCTAGCTAGATAAAACATCATTTTTTTAAGAATTGCAGTATAATATATTTCAAGTATATCTTCGCATGTAGAACAAAAAATATAGAAGACAAACCATATGAAAGGCTTGGGTAGATGAGCAAGAAATAAGACATATGCACACCTCATACATCATGAGTGCTTTGTATGTTAAGTCAGAAGAAATGCTGGGTCACAGAATAACTTTATGGACAAACCTTAGCTACAGTAACAAAGAAAAAAAAACACTCATATGACTAAAATCAGAAATGCTAGGGCCCACGTTATAACCAATGCCACAAAAATAAATGGAGTATACCATTTGTTGGCATATCCTTTGACAACAAATAGGATAACCTAAAAGAAATAAAAGAATTCCTACAAACAAACAACTTATCAAAACTGAATCATAAAGACAGAGAATCACTGAGGATTTTGAAAAGAGGGGAAAAATGAAGACACAGAAAATCTGAACAGACCTATAAGTAGTAAGGAGACTGAATCAATAATAAAAGAAAATATCCCCAGAAAGAAAAGCCCAGGACCAACTGGCATCACTGGAGAAGTCTACCAAACATGTAAAATACTGTATGAAAAACAAAATACAGATCAATATCCCTGATGAACACAGATTTAAAAATCTAAATAAAATATTAGCTAACATTCCACAACAAATTAAAAGGATCATATACATGAACAAGTGAAGTTTATTCCTGGAATGCAAATACGTTAAACATATGAAACCACATTTACAGAATAAGAAACCAAAACATAAAGAAAAAAAAACCCTTAATTGATGAGAAAGAAAAAGCATTTGAAAAACTCCAGCACTCTTTCATGATGAAAACACTCAAATTGATGAGGCAGGAAAATCACTTAAACCCAGGAAGTGCAGCTTGTCGTGAGCCAAGATTGCGCCACTGCACTCCAGACTGGGTGACAGAGCAAGACTCCATCTCAAAAAAAAAAAAAAGTTACCTCAACATATTGAAGGCCTTATATGAGAAGTTCACAGCTAATATAATTCTCAGCAAACACTGACGCTTTCTTTCTAAGTTCAGGAATAAGACAAGGACACCCATCTGAACCAGGCAATTAGGCAAGATAACACAATAAAAGGCATCCAAACTGGAAAGGAAGAAACAAAATTATATTTGCATACTTGCTCACAGATTACATGATCTTATATATAGAAAACACTAAAATTCAGCACATTAAAAAAAGAAAGGTGTTAGAACCAATAAACCAATTCAGCAAAGTTGTAGAATACAAATCAAACAAAAATCAGTTGCATTTTAATCTACTAGCAATGAATAACTTGAAGAGAAAATTAAAAACAATCCCATTTATAATAGTATACAAAGAACAAAATACCTAGAAATAAGAGAGGTGAAAGACCTGCTTACTGAAACTACAAAACACTACTGAAAGAAAGACAAATGAATTGAAAGATTATGCTCATGGGTGGGAAGGCTTAATATTGTTAAGATATTCATAGCATCCAAAGCAATCCTACAGATTCAATGCCATCACTATCAAAATCCCAATGGCATTTTGAGCAAAAATAGGAAAAACATCCTAAAATACATATGAAATTTCAAGGGATCCCAAATAGCCAGAACAATCTTGAAAAAGGACAAAATTGTGGGTCTCACATGTCAGGATTTCCAAATATATTACAAAGCAGCATTCATCAAAACAGTTCAGTACTGTCCTAAATACTAATAGAATAGAAGAGACAGCTCAGAAATAAATTGTCACACATTTGTCAACAAGCAGTCAAGACTATTCAATGGAGAAAAGATAAGTCTCTTCAACAAACAGTGCTTGGGAAAACTGGATATCTACATGCAAAAGAATGAAACTGCACTCTAATTAACACCATATTCAAAAAATAACTCAAGGTGGATTAAAGTATTGAATGTAAGACCTAAAACTAAAATGGCTAGAAGAAAATATAGGTTAAAGCTTCATGAAATTGGATTTGGCAATCGCTTCTTGGCTGTGACACCAAAAGCACAGGTAACAAAGGCAAAATTACACAAATAAGATGACGTGTCATATTCATCTAATCAAAAACTTATGCACACCAAAGATGACAACTAAGCAAAAAGTCAACCAGGAAGGGAGAAAATGATCATAAGTCATATGTCTGAAAAGTGCTTAATATCCAGAATACGTAGGAACTCCTACAACATAAGAACAAAAAAAAATTAAAAATAGGCAAAGGATGGGCACAGACATTTCTCCAAAGATAATGCAGAAATGGCCAAAAAGAAAATGAAGATTCTCACCATCCCCAACCATCAGATATGCAAATCAAAATCATAATAAGAGATTAACTCACACCCATTAGGATGAGTACTGTCAAAAAAATCTAGAAAATGACAAGTTTTGATGAGAATGTGTAAAAATTTGAACCCTTATAGATTGTTGGTGGGAATATGCAATGGTTTAACAACTATGGAAAACAATATGGTAATCATTCAAAAAATTAAAAATAAAATTGCCACCTCATCCAGCAATTCCACTTCTGGGTATATCCCAACAGAACAGAAAGCAGGAACTCAAAGAGATATTTGTGCACTCATATTTACATTAGCATTATTCACAAGAACAGCTAAGGAGTGGAAGCAAACCAAATGTCCCTCAACAGATGAACAAATAAACAAAATGTGGTCTAACATAGCATGAAATATTGTTCAGCCTTAAAAAGAAAGAAATTCTTATTGCGTGCTCTAACATGGATGAAACTTGAAGGCATTATGCTAAGTGAAATGAGCCAATCAAATATTTTTGAGATGAAGCCTTGCTCTGGTGCAATGGCACCAGCTGGGCTCACTACAACCTCCATCTCCCAGGTTTAAGGGATTCTCCTGCCTCAGCCTCCAGTGTAGCTGGGATTACAGGTGCCCATCACCATGCCCGGCTAATTTTTGCATTTTTAGTAGAGATGAGGTTTCACCATGTTGGCCAGGCTGGTCTGGAACTCCTGACCTCAGGTCAGCCACCTGCCTCAGCTTCCCAAAGTGTGGGATTACAGGCATGAGCGACCACCCCCAGCCAAAAGAAAAATACTATATAATTCTTATTTGAGGTACTTAGAGTAGTAAAAAACTTAGAAATACAAAGTAGAATGATGGTTGTCAGGAGCTGAGGGTAGGGGGAAATGGGGAGTTGTTCAATGAGCACAGAATTTCAGATTTGCAAGATGAAAAAGTTCTGGAAGTCCATTGTATAGCAATGTGAGCAGACCTAACACTACTGAACTGTACACTTAAAAATAGGTAAGATGGTAAATTTTAGTTTTTAGTTTTAAATTTTAAATTTTAGCATGTGTCTGTGTGTGTGTTTCCTACCACAATTAAATTTTTACATAGTAACTATATGGTTTGTGTTTCATCAAGACTTGATAGAGTAACTTCATGTGCAAATGGTGCAGAAAGACACTAGAGGCAGAGAATTGAGTATCATGGTTCTCATACCCATGCCTGAGATTCACAGACACTACCATTTGTAGCAGATGCAGACAGAGTGATTATAAAGGGTGTGTGTTTGCATGTGTGTGCACGCTTCCCAAGAATAGTCAATCCACGTTCGGATGTATGTATAAATATAAATAACATAAATTTCAAAGGTATATATGCTTTATATTAATACAATTTTAAATCAAAGATTACTCACATAACTGCAATTTTTTTTCTCCCCTGGCAACAGGAATTCTTAAGACAGAGTATTCATCCTGTTATCACAGAAGAATCTTCAAATAGTCTATTTTCTATCTGTAATCTAGACCATTCTTGAATAAGAGGCAATTGGAAAGCCCATTCTGATTGATGTCAGTTAACAAGCCTGAAGTGAACAATATTGTCTTTCCTTTCAGAATAAAACAGGATACAAATAAAGCAATGGCTGAAGGGGACACAAACACACAGGGTAAAAATGAATTGGGCTTTTTACTTTTTTTAAATTAAGTTTCTTTAGGGAGATTTAGCTGCTTATCAATTTGCTAAGTTTGAATAGTTGCTGAAATATTAATCCTATATCAGATTTTGAAAAGAAAAATGCTAAACCATCTATTAAGTTAAACTTTGAAGCCATTCTGTCATTAACATAACTTTATAGATACCAATATAAACAATGCTCAAATGTTTTTGGAACTCAGAAATAACTGAAACTAATGCATATTATTTTAATAAGACTTTAAAGAGAAAATTGAATCACAGCATCAGCCAAACTCTTTCAGGAGCACCAAGAAGAGGCTTAGTTTTGAGACTGAGGAAAAGAGGACAAACTATGTATGCCCTGCACTACTCTTTAAAGTTGAGTTACAAATCTGATTGCTAATATTCCCAAACCATCCTGCAAACAGCAAGGCAATCGCACCTGGTGTGAGCACAGCTGTGGGGAACACTTCCCCTTAACTTCCTTTGGTTTTCTTCCATCAGCTCCTCTTTGGACATCGGGAGCTGCAAGATGGGTATCTGTGCTGCCTCTAATGCAATCTTACCCATAACCAGGGACTTTATATCCCAGCTGTATTTCTCATCATAGTGATCACATATTTCTTCAAACACCACTGAGTACAGCCATTCAGTATCTGCAGAAAAATAAAGACACAAAGACAGAGATTTTTAGAGTGCATATAAGAGTAAGTTTGTATCAAGTCAGCAAAAACACACTGTGTAGGTAGCATCCTATGAACAGAGGTTTTCATGGTGACCTAAGTGAACAGGAGAAAGGTTTGCAGGTCATTCTCACTAAATTATACTGTGGGCATCCTCCTCTCAAGGCTGCTGGAATTATGTCTGGAGTTGTGATCTGCAAATGTGGAACTCAGGAGAGAAATGAAATCTGTATTATTGTGTTTTCTGTTCAAATGTACATATTTAATCTAAATATGTCCTTGGAATGGTCAATTCCATCTGATAGCACAAGGCATCATTACTTGGTGTTCCCAACAACATGGAAACCACCATCAACTGACAAAGTCCACTGTATGGCCCAGTAGTATTAAGGACATTTCCACTGCCCAGTGGAATGAGTCCCCACCATGTCTGGCCAGGATGCTGCTGTGAAGCTCCCAGGTGAGAGCAGAATATTTAGGATGGTGAAAGCTGACCTGAGAATTAACTCCCGGCTCGGCACTTACTTGAAGCACAGCCTCAGAAACACAGTAGAACTGCAGGTGACTCCTTCCCTCATGTTTACACAAGGTGGACAGGAATACTGCTAATAATAACACCAGTACCACTAATATAGGCTACATTACACTACATACAATATAATAACTAGTACTAGCTCACACCCATTTCTATTCATGTGTTTTTTCTGTATGTATATTTAATATATACATAGTATCAATTGCACTCATATTACCAATAAGAATACTACTGAGGATGCTACTACAGTGAAATAATCCTACTTTACAGAATTAATACTTCAGGGCACATAAGTAACATTCTAGTGCCAGCCTGCTAGGGCATACTTGTTACACACTAGCTGTCTTCCCCACTCTTACTGTCTCCAGTGTGGGCCTAGAAAGATTACTTTACTGAAGAACCAACTAACTGACCTGCTAGGAGGCATTATGCCAAAAAAATAAAATAAAAAGAAAAAGAAATACTTTAACACAGAGGAATGTCTACCAAGTGGAATTTCAAAACCAGGTAAGCTCCATGGAGCTGAGTGTTGCCTGGTGACAATCCCCCCAAGACCCCAGTGAAGGCAGAAGGCTGTCCTGAGGCTTGGGCAGAGCCCTTGTCTTCTAGTCTGTGGTGGCACAGAGGCAGTCCCTGAACCTGAGAGGCTGGGAATAGTCCTGTTTACACCTGATTTAAAAAGAAGACACACAGATGCATCTGACAAAAATCTGAATTCAAATTCAGTTAGAAGACTGGCCACCTGTCCTAGATTTAGCACGGAAACCTTCCCATGGGGTGTGGAGCAGCATTAGCAGGATGTAGTCTACCCTGAATCTGTACAGCTGTACCCAACAAGACCTGAAAAGAGCAGGTGATCTCAATGGCCTTTAACTGTCCCACAATGACAGAAACAAATATAATAATCATCCCTAAATACTACTTTTTTTTCCCCATAAGATAGTATCTGGGAGACATAGGACACACTGAGGGAAGTAATGTGTATGCACAGAGAAGGCTGTGTGTATCCAAGAGGCATATAAGTCTTCCTACTCCTGTGTATGTTCACATGCTTACATGCACATAGGCATGCATGCTTGTCTCTAATTGCTTCAACACATTTTGAAAGTTGGCAGGGTATGAATAGCTATTAAAAGAGTTATGGGCTAGGTGGGGTGGCTCATGTCTATAATCACAGTACTTTCATAGGCTGAGGCAGATGGATTGACTGAGCTCAGTAGCATAAGACCAGCCTGGGCAACATAGCAAAACCCTGTCTGTGTTAAAAATATAAAAAAACTAGCTGGACTGCTGGCACATGTTGGTAATCCCAGCTACTCAGGAGGCTGAGGCAGGAGAATCACTTGAACCTAGGAGGTTGCAGTGAGCTGAGATCATGCCATTGCACTTCAGCCTAGGTGACAGAGTGAGATTCTTTTAGAAGAAAAAAAAAAGTTATGGCAGGTTTTAATTCCAAAATATCTGCTACTCTCAGAAAAGCATGCAGAGGGCTGCCTGCCGGGCAGTGTGGGATTCACTGTGTCAGGCATGGAGGAGGCCGGGAAGGTCTCTTGTCAGCCCTCCCACAATGGTAGGGCTACCTGTGCTTTGTCTCCTGCATCTTTCTCACAGGAAGTGATGGTCATCTGTGTAGACACATGGCCTGGGCAGGCAACGATATCCACCACCTATTTACAAAATTCCTGAATGTACCAAGAGCAGAGTGCTGCTGTCTCAAGAAAGACATTTCTCATGTGGCCCTGTACCCTGTCACTTCAACAGCATCCAAACTGTATCTCTTGGCAGCTCCTGTAGTATTTTTCTAGGGCTCTTGCCACCTTGTACTCAGAGGTCTGGGCTTGTTGATTGCTCTGACTGTCACGGTGTGGACTTTGCCTCTGTGTGTGCTTCTCTCCTTGTCCCAGGGCTCACCGCACTTGCCTAGTGAACCAGCTCTTCCTCCTTGGGATGGGGCTGAGGCTGAGCCCAGTCTGCCCTGTGGACAGTGAGAGGCTGGTTGTTGTGGACAGGTCTCTTCCTTGGGCTTTTTGGTGTCCACTGCCCTGCACTCCCCATCCTCCTTCCTCCTCCTGAGCACTGACCCCTTCTGTGGCCCTCTTTCCTGGGCTCTTTGCCTCTTTATGGATACCCTGGCTTTGACTGCTACCAGCAACAAGAAGAGCCCTCCTCCATTCTTTCTCTGCTTTTCTTGGCAAATTCACCCATAGCTGCATGCCAGGTGCCACTTCATTGTCAGCCTGTAATATTTTTCTCCTTGCTTTTCTACCACAACTGTATTTTATTGTTTGTAGATATAGGAGCCATGACCTTTGGCTTAGGCTGGTCTCAAACTCGTGGGCTCAATTGATCCTCCAAAATAGGTCTCCCAGTGTTGGGATGAGGGCATGAGCCACCATGGCTGGCCTTGAGCTGTATTTTATTAAGATTACTGTAAAACACACCAAACCTCAGAATCTCCACCATTCTGGATATTGGAGATTGAGAAGGCCTGCTCCCTGAACTTTTCCTCACAATTTAGATAAAATCATCCTAAATTCATGGAATAATCAAGGATCTAAACAAGTAATTAAACTCCTCAGATCAAATGATGACTACAGCCATTGATGATGGCACACTTAAAGGGACAGCGTTGTGAAAGGAAAAATGCTGAAATAAAATAAAGGAGGATAAAACAATTGCACCAGCCATCAGATGTATATTCTTCCCTGCTTATTAACAAGCTTGCAGCTTTAACATTGCTTCAGTGTCCTTTTTGTCAGGAAAGGTCATATTGTTTTTAACATGCTAGGGCCACATACACTACTACCCTCCTTAGGTGAGTTAGAAAATATCCCTTGTGACTGTGACCACTCCCCTCCTCCCAGCTGCAATCTGTGTGGCATGTTGAGAGCAGCTTCTGCAGCAGCTGCAAGGGCAACATGGGGAGGAGAGGGAAGCTCTGAAGAAGCTGCAGGCTGCCCCAGGCTGGTGGATGTTTTCAGCCTTAGAGGCAGTCAGAGTTCCCAGGGGGTTCATGGGAGGCATTGTGGGTTAAATTAATTCAATTGTTATGGAAAGGCTGGGCCTGGAGGAAGCCTAGGCCAATGGCCTACAAGTTTCTAAGGCGAAGGTTGGGTAATTGCAACAAAACAACTAACATCTCTTATAATTGGAAATGTACTTTAAATGCTTGCTAAGTCTACCCTGAGGCACAGTGGTCAATGTTTTACCCAATAAAGATATAAGATCCTGCTCTCAGGAAGCTGTATCTGCTTACCATGCAAATGGGTACCTATCTTCAATTTTGTAACTCTGAGTTGAGTTATTTAAGGGGAAAACACTTTAAGCCAACTGTCATTAAAGCATATATCTGGTGATACAGTTTGGCTGTGTCCCCACATAAATCTCATCTCAAATTGTAATCCCCATGTGTGGAGGGAGGGAGGTGATTGGATCATTGGGGTGGTTTCCGCCATGCTGTTCTCATGATAGTGAGTTCTCACAATAACTTATGGTTTTATAAGTGTTTGCAAGTTCCCCCTTCCCCCTCTTTCTCCTGCTGCCTTGCAAAAAAAGTGGCTGCTTCCCATTCTGCCATGATTGTAAGTTTCCTGAGGCCTCCCCAGCCATGTGGAACTGTGACTCTATTAAACCTCCTTCCCCTATAGAGTACCCAGTCTCAGGGAAGTTGTTTATAGCAGTGTGAGAATGAACTAACATTAATACATATGGGAAGGCCTGATTTTCCTCCTACCCCTATGTTCATACAAGACTTAGGTCTTTGGTAACCCAGGAGACCAGCAGAAAACTCTCAGCTCAGCTGCACACCCTGGGACAAGTTTGTTAGCCTGTCTGACCTACAGTGTCTGTTGGAGAAATGTATTTAATAAATAGCTGCTGGTCTGGAGAGGGGGGTAGCCTTAAACCTGGTGGGGGCGGGGGGTGAGATGCTCTAGGTGTGGGAGGTGGCAGGCAGCCCAAGGAATGAAGCCAGGCCCTCTAAAGCCCAGTGGCCTTACAGGAAATCCCAGCTCTGCAGCTTTCTAGCCAGAAACTTTGTAAGCTAGCAGCCCTGGGTAAAGCAACTATAAAATGAGGATCCTAGTCATACTGCATGTCTTATTGTGTCTGGAATTGGTGGGTTCTTGGTCTCACTGACTTCAAGAATGAAGCCACGGACACTTCCGGTGAGTGTTACAGTTCTTAAAGATGATGTGTCCGGAGTTGTTTGCTTCTGATATTTGGACCTGTCCAGAGTTTCTTCCTTCTGGTGTTTCATGGTCTCACTGACTTCAGGAGTGAAGCTGCAGACCTTCACAGTGAGTGTTACGGCTCCTAAAACAGCTCTTAAAGGCAGCACATGGACCAAAAGAGTCAGCAGCAGTGAGATTTATTGTGAAGAGTGAAAGAAAAAAGCTTCCACAGCATGGAAGTGGACCCCAGTGGGTTGCTGCTGCTGGCTCAGTTGGCCTGCTTTTATTCCCTTATCTGGCCACCACCACCTCCTCCTGATTGGTCCATTTTACAGAGAGCTGACTGGTCCATTTTACAGAGAACTGATTGGTCCATTTTGACAGAGTGCTTATTGGTGTATTTACAAACCTTTAGCTAGACACAGAGTGCTGATTGGTGCATTTATAATCCATTAGCTAGACAGACAATTTCTCCAAGTCTCCACTTGACCCAGAAGCACAGCCAGCTTCACCTCTCAATCACCCCTCTAAACAGGACACCACGACTGCTGTTGGGAATTTGGCCAACGACCACTCTAGCTACTTCCGGCTGGATGGGGGTGAAGAAGGGGTCCAGTGGGTTGGTAGAAGTTGTTAGTTAAACTCATTTGGGGTTTCATTTGTAAGGCCATCTGAAGCTTGATGGCCTCAATTCTAGAGGAAACAAATTTGACAAGAGGGTTAAAAATACAGGGCCCAAAGGCTAGTAACAACAAGATGGCTGCCACAGGACATAGAAAGGGGAGAAGCCATGTTGCCCAACTCCAGAGGTTGGTATAAGAGTTTGAAAGGCATTGTCTAATTTCAGAAGACATTTCCTGTAAATGCCAGGTGGCATCTCATACTATCCCTGACTGGTTAGTGTAAAAACAACTCTCTTCCCCTAAGAAGGTGCAGAGTACTCCTTTCTCAGCAGTGAGGAGGTCTAGGCCTTGGTGCTTTTGGAGAGGCACTGATGCAGAAGACTCTATTTGGGATTGTAGTTACTATCCTTACTGGATAGATTTTGTTATTTCTTGCAGACTGAGAAATCCTTTGAGAATGTGGTAGTAAGATAATGCATGTTACATTATTCATTTTTAGCAAATTTTACTTTAGTAGAAAACTTTGTAAGTTTGGGATTTTAATTTTTCTTTGCTATTAAAAAAACCTCATTCAGTCCATATTAACTAAGAATTGGTATAGATGGCTCCGTCCTGATTCTGTAAGTACTTTAAGGTTTGGCTGAGTGCAAACAGCTAGCGCATTTGAGCAGACCAATTATTAGGCAATTTTCCTAACTCTGCTTCTATAAGAGTTTCCTTATCATTTACTCAATACCCATTGTGACTTTTTCCTTGATCACCTAGGAGGAACCATCTATCATCCAGTCCTGAAGGGAGTTCCTCCTATGTCTGGCCGGACCTCCAGATTTAGATCCCCTATTAGGAAATCTGCTGGGTTACGGATTTTTTATAGGAAGGGTACAGGTTGTCAGTGGCCTTAGTGCTTTCAGGCTATGCCCTTGTTTACACTGACAACAAAGTAGTTTTGGAGTGTTACAGAGTTACAGAGAAGACCTTCGATTATCAATTATAGGTTTTAAATTCAGCTTGGCTTTTAAAGTAATAGGGTGCACTATTATTTTCTTTACTATTTCCATTTCTCTTTCTTTCTCTTTGACTTTCTGTCTCTCTCTGACTCCTTTTTCTCTGTCTCTTCCTCTCTCTCTGTGTCTTTGTTTCTGCCTCTCTCTCTCTCTTTCTTTCTCTTTCTCTGTTTCCTTCTGCCTTTGACTTTGTCTCTCTCTTTCTCTCTGTTGTTCTTTCCCTGTCACTGCCAGCCATTTACACTGCTGTTCTCCCTTCTCCTTCCCCTTTTTGATAGCTTCAGCAGTGTAAGACTGCCACCTCCTTGGGTTTTTGCACTATGTGCAATAACTCTATGATTTTCTTGTGGTATTTAGTAGCGGTTCCCCCAGAGGTTAGGGACTTTCTTTCTTTCCATATTGCAGCATGGGCACATAGGATTAGATAAGCATACTTGCTATCTGTATACACATTTATTCTTCTTCCATTTCCCAGTTCTAAGGCTCGGATAAGTACCATTAGTTCTGTTAACTGCATGCTGGTCCTTGGGGGAAGAGGCTTACTTTCAAGTACAGTTACATCACTAACTATGGCATAACCTGTCTTTCATGTCCCATTCTCCACAAATGAACTTCCATTGATATATAGGTTAAGGTCAGGATTAGCTAAGGGGACTTCTAAGAGACTATTTTGAGCGGCATAAATCTGGACTATATTTTGTTGGCAGTCATGCTCGATTGGTTCGCCAGCCTCTGGGAGAAAAGTGGCAGGGTTGAGGGCCACACATATACATATTTGAAGCACCAGTCCCTCAAGGAGTAGCACCTGTTATCTAAGCAGGCAGTTGTCTGATAGCCATAAACTTCCTTTGGCACCTAGTAAACCATTTTCATCATGAGTAGTTCAGACAGTGAGATCCTTTCCTTGTGTTATTTTGATAGCCTCTGACACTAAGACAACCACCAACACAACTATCCTTAAACAGTGAGGCCAGCCTTTTGCTACTAAATCAATTTCCTTACTCAAGTATGCCACTGGTTGTGGGGTTGTCCCAGGAGTCTGAGTAAGGACTCCAAGAGCTATCCCTGCTCCCTCTCTGACATATAGAGAGAAGCTTTGTCTTATGGGAAGGCTTAAAGTTGGAGCAGGTACTAGGGCCTGCTTTAAGGTTTTGAAGGCTGTTTCTGCCCCTGGTTCCCATTCTACTAGTTGAGTATTTGCCCATTGGGTCTCCTTGATTAGAGTATAGAGGGGTCTGCTTATCTCGCTGTATCCAGGGATCCATAGTTGGCAAAACCCAGTGATTCCAAAGAATCCCCACAGCTGTTTAATATCTCTGGGCAAGGATAAGCCAGTATAGACTGTATTCACTCCTTGCTGAGAGCCTTGGTTCCTCTGGCTAAGATTAGGCCTAGATATTTTGCCTGTCACAAGCAAAGCTGGGCCTTCAACCTAGATGTCTTGTACCCTTGATTAGCTAAAAAGTCCAAGAGCTCTAGAGTAGCCTGCTGGCATGGAGCTTCTGAAATGGCAGCCAAAAGTAAATCATCCACATATTGATGTACCAGAGTTCCTAGACTTGAGAAGTGGCATAGATCTTGGGCCAGTGTCTGACCAAACAGGTGAGACCTGTCCCTAAACCCTTGGGGCAAGACTGTCCACGTAATTTGGGATGTGTGGTATGTGAGATCCTCAAAGGCAAAGAGAAACTGGGAGTCGGAGTGTGGGGGAATACAGAAGAAGGCATCCTTGAGCTCCAGAACAGTGAACCATTATGCTTCCTCAGGTATTTGAGAGAGCAGGATATAGGGGTTCGATACACCTGGATATGGAGGAATTAGTACCTCATTGATGAGTCTAAGATGTTGCACTAGTCTCCATTGACCATTCGGTCCTTGTACTCCAAGAATTGGGGTGTCACCAGGACTGCTGCATTTCCTTACTAAGACTTGAGCTTTTAAATGTTTAACAATATCCTGGAATCCTTTATGAACTTCAGGCCTTAAGGGATACTGCCTTTGATAAGGAAAACTGATGGGATATTTTAGCCTGATTTGACTGTGTAGGCATTTTTTGCCCTTCCAAATTGTCCTTCCAATACCCAGAATTCAGGGTTGATTCCCTCCTCAAGTAGGGGACAACAAATGGGTAAATTGCTCCCCATATTCATGTAAATAATAGCTCCATGTTTGACTAATATGTCTCTCCCTAATAAGGGTGTGGGACTTTCAGGCATAACAAGAAAGGCATGTGAAGAGAGTAAAGTCTCCCAATTAAAACTGAGGAGGTGAGAGAAATACCTGGTTACAGGCTGTCTCAGGATTCCTCAGATTGTAACGGATCTTGACAGGAGATTAGCACTGAGAAGGCTGTGCCAGTGTCAAGGAGGAAGTAAATTTCCTGGTCCTCAGTGGTTCAGTGTACCTGGGGCTCAGTGAGGGTCATGACATGAGCTGTTGCTTGCCCTGGACACCCTCAGTCCTGTTGTTGGATCATCTGGTTGGGAGCTTCTGACCCAGAGAACCTTTGTCTTCTGGGGCAGTGCACCTTCCAGTGATTGCCTTGGCATAACAGACATGGATGAGGGGGCAGCTTATTTCTCACTGGACAATCTTTTAAAGTGTACTTGTAAACCACACTGATAACAAGCCCTATCAGGTGATTGGCCTACTCCATTTTCTGTCCTCTCTGAACCACCAAGTTTGGTTGTCTGAGGGCCATGACTAAGGCTGTGGTCTTTCTCTGATCTTGCTTTTCCATTTGGGCCTGTTTCTCTTGGTCCCTATTATAAAACACCAAGGTTGCCAAGTTTAATAATGCCTCCAGATTTTGTTCAGGGCTCAGGGCTTGCTTTTCAAGCTTTCTCCTGATATCTGTGGCTCACTGGGTAATAAACTTATCTTTTAGAATCAATTGACACTCAAGTGATTCAGGTGACAGGGGAGTATATTTTCTTAAGGCATCCTGTAGCCACTTGAGGAAGGGAGAAGGATTTTCTTCCTTTCTCTGAGTTATGGTGGACATCATTGAATAATTCATGGGCTTTTTTCTAATTCTCCTTAGTCCTTCTAGAACACAGGTCAACAGATGTTTACAACTCCAGGCCCCATGATCTGAGGCAAGTTCACAGTGGGGATCTATACTGGAGATGGCTTGCTGACTGGTAGGGAATTTGTCCCTTTCTTCAGCTGTCATTCTATCATTCACTTGACTATGATACCATGTATCCCCAAACTCTCAGGCTGCAGCTAAAGCTGCATTCTTTTCATTAAAGGCCAGGGTTTGATCTAACAATAACATGACATCTCTCCAAGTGAGATTGAAGGCTTGCCCTGGACCCTGTAGGACATCTATGTACCTATCAGGATCATCTGCAAACTTCCCCAGGTCTGCCCTTATCTGCTTTAAATCAGAGAGAGAGAAAGGCACATGTACCCAGGTTGGGCCAAATTCTCATCCCCCTGTAACTTAAAGGGGACAGAACAGATAGCCCAGGGAGTTTTGTGGTCCTTTGGATATTTCTTTGCTTATTTCCTTCTGGGAAGGGGAGATTAGAGGAGAATTATCATTAATAGGAAGGGGTGCTATAGGGAGGCTAGGATATAGGGGTAAGCCGAGAGGTCCTCCTGTGGGATGTAAATTGCAAGCTTAGCATAGTTGTAGATTCTCCTTCAGTGAAAAGAGCTTGGACATAAAGTATTTCACTCCAATTGCCTTCCCTCTTACAGAAAATGTCAAGCTGCAGGATAGTATTGTAATTTATACTTCCCTCAGGTGGCCATTTTTCCCCATCAGAGAGAGAATATTGGGGCCAGGCCATAGTGCAGAAAAAAATGAGCCACCTCTTTTTCAGGGTTTCTGGGTCAATTGGTCCCAATGGCTTAGAAGGCATATCAAAAGTGAGCCTGTTGATTTCTGAGTGTTTCCCATCTGAAAGAAAAAACTATCTACAGTGTTGATTTGTTTTATTTCTCCCCTGACCAAGAATCTGCAATGGTCCCTGGACCCTGCTGATCGGAGAGTTGCACTCACCAACACAGAAGAAGAAACATTAATTTTCCTCTTAGACCACAAAGAGGGCCAAGGAAGGTCGGATTGAGTGGCCCTTACTGACACATTCTTGAAAAGCTGCACCCTTGCCTGTCCTCCTAGACCACAAAGAGGACCTAGAAAAAAATTGTATTTATTGGCCTTTACTGATGCATTCTCCAAAACCTGTTAGAGTCCTAAGCATTCCCTTGTTAGTATTGGGACCTTCCCTGTGTCCTATAAAGATGCTATTCTCCAAAAATGAAGTGGAGGGCCATACCCTGAGGGAGGGAAGGGATCTCCAAGGTTCAAAGAGTAAAATCTTTTGTCCTCATTTGTATAGGAAGGATATCATTTCTGAAGCTCCCAATAGCCTAGCTTCAGGAATGGCTCTTGTTAGGCCTGCTTGTCTGAGGAGGGACCCTAAAATTCCAGATAGTCCCCCCTACAATGGGGCTCTGGGCAAAAATTATGATTTTCTGATTGGTGAGCCCAAGTGCCTAAAGAAGGTAACAGACTCCTGAAGATTATACTGGAAATCATTCTTACAGGAGAAACTAGAAATGCACCAGAGAGAGGGAGTGGTTTTTACAAGCAGGGCTAGCCTTGGAGAAGAGAGGTGAGAGGAAGTTTGTCTGAAAGGCATTAGGATCCAGGCAGCAAGGGTCAGGATAGATAGGATATATGGGTGAGTCTCACTTGGGCAACATGACTTTGAGAGTTCCGCTCATGGCCACAGGGTCAACCAACTTGTTGTCAGGACCCCAGAGCTGAATGGTTTTCCTCTTTGTCAACCCTCAGCTCAGCCCAGAAGTACAGGAAAAGCAGAAGCTGGTTCCAGGCAAACCAACCCTCCCAACCCTGAAGAGTGAGGAGTTGTTAGAGAGCCCTTTCCCAGAAAGCCTGACACCCATATCTTTAGTCCGGTGACCACACTAGTCACATTTAACTGACAGACAGATGCCCGGTATTTAGCCCCCAAATTCTAAGGAAAAATAGGACAGAATAGCAAGCAAAAGGGTTCTGATGGTGCTTACTGCTCAGCAATAGTCGATTTCCCTTCATGGTTGCCAAAATGTGTCTGAAATTGGTGGGTTCTTGGTCTTGCTGATTTCAAGAATGAAGCCGCGGAATCTTGTGGTAAGTGTAACAGTTCTTAAAGATGGTGTGTCTGGAGTTTTTTCCTTCTGATGTTTGGACATGTCCAGAGTTTCTTCCTTCTAGTGGGTTCATGGTCTCACTGACTTCAAGAGTGAAGCTGCAGGCCTTCAAAGTGAGTGTTACTGCTCTTAAAACAGCTCTTAAAGGTGGCACATGGACACAAAGAGTGAGCAGGCGCAAGATTTATTGTGAAGAGCAAAATAACAAAGCTTCCACAGCATGAAAGGGGACGCAAGCAGGTTGTTGCTGCTGGCTGGGGTGGCCTGCTTTTATTCCCTTATCTGGCCCCACCCACATCCTGCTGATTTGTCCATTTTACAGAGAACTGATTGCTCCATTTTACAGAGAGCTGATTGGTCCGTTCTATAAAGAGCTGATTGGACCATTTTGACAGAGTGCTTACTGGTGCATTTACAAAACTTTAGCTAGACACAGAGTGCTGATTGGTGCATTTACAATACTTTAGCTAGACAAAAAAGTTCTCCAGGCCCCACCAAACTACCTAGACATAGAGAACTGATTGGTGCGTTTACAAAACTTGAGCTAGACACAGAGTGCTGATTGTTGCATTTATAATCCTTTAGCTAGACAGAAAAGTTCTCCAAGTCCCCACTCAACCCAGAAGCCCAACTGGCTTCAACTCTCATTAGTACAACTCTTCAAGCATTTCCCTATACAAATGCTAAAGGATTTGACTATGGTTACTGCCTGAGAACCCCTGAGAATGTTACATGTCATGGAACATATGAATTATAATACCTTTTAAAAATAATAATTAAAAAATCTAAATTTTTAAATTTTTAAATCTGCCTCCATAGGTCTTGGATAAGGAATTATGAACCCAAGTTTATGACTGCTTACTTATGAAGTTACACTTTAAACATCTTACACAAATGAATCAACTTAATGCATTTCTCCCTTAAATTTACTTGATATATCTTGAACCTAATTTTTATTATTCCTAATTACAAAAAGGACAAAAATCCCAAAGCCAGTGTTTTGTGCTAGTTAGGCTGGTTCCTTAAAGACACAAAATAAACTATAAAAAGGGCTGATCTTGAGTTAGAATCAAATTGTCACAATCTGACAGTTATAACGATATTCACTGACTCTGTGTGTGTTTTAAAAGTTCGGTTTGTTTTCATTATGAGACAAGGTCTCATCCCAGTGTAGTGGGGTGATCACATCCCACTGCAGCACTGACCTCTTGGAGACAAGTGATCCTCCTGCCTCACCCTCCCAAGTACCTGGGGCTAAAGATGTGCACCACCACACCAGGCTAATTTTTAAATTTTTTGTAGAGACAGGGTCTCCTTATATTGCCCAGCCTAGTCTTGAACTCCTGGCCTGAAGTGATCTTTCCACCTTGGCTTCCCAAAGTGCTCGGATTACAGACATGAGCCAAGGTGCCCAGCCAGGAGTTTAACCTCTTACTGATCATGTTACCAAAGAGATTTGGTCAACAAGATCAAGGCCCATCTCCTGGGTAGACTCCTCTGATACTTCTTTCCTTGCTTGTACTTCCTTCTGTTCAGCTGGGAAAGCAGTGAGGCGGGAGGACTGCCTACAGGTACGGGTCCAGCAGCCCTTATACTACTCCTGGAGGCTCTCAACGTTGACTCTAGCTGAGGCAGGTGTATAGGGGCAGAACTGCATGTGGATGCAGGTCTATCAGCCTGTCCACGCTATCAAAATGGCTCCTGATGTTGACACTGGCCAGGCCCTTGAAAACAGGAAAGGTGAAAATGGTTCACCATTTACACTAGCTGCTTTAAGTAGGGCAATGATCTTATGTGATGGCCACCTCATTGCAGTGCAGAATTAGGGCCAAGTAGATGCAAGTGAGTTCCAACAAAGACAGAGGCCATGGTGTGCGGCTGCCACCACGGGACAGGGTGCTACTCACCCAATAAGTGACGTTTCACCACAATATTAAGCTAAGCTTAAGATAAGCTAAGGCTTTATCTTCTTTGGAAGGGCTGAGAACCTTAATGGCAGCTGAGGAAAAAGGGTCAGCAGTGTCTTTGAATGTGTGGAAAGTAATGTATTTTAAAGTGATGTTTCTTTAATTAGAAAACCCAGCATCCAGTACGTTTTGATAGAAGTGGTGTCATTTTTCTAAACCATTCTGACGGTACACTGTAGATAATCAGTAATTGTTGAATTTATTTAAAATGTACACCCACTAGCTTTGTTCATTGAAGATATTCTACTGCTTGTTTCCTTAACACCCTGATTCTCAAAGTGAGGTTGCAGGACCAGCAGCATCAGTATTATGTGAGACGCTGTCCAACTACATATTCTTGGGCTCTGTCTTAGTCTATTTTCCGTTGCTTATTAACAGCCTACCTAAAACGTGATAATTGATTAAGATATTTATTCTTACAGTTATGGGGGCTGAGAAGACCAATGTCAAGAGACTGCTTTTGGGGGTGGTCTTCTTCCTCATGGGGACTCCATACAGCCCCAAGATGTCACATGGCATCACATCTCAAGGGGTCTGAGGGCACAAGCTCAGGTCTCTCTTCCTCTTCTTATAAAGCCACAGTCCCACTCCTTTGATGATAACCCATTCATCCAATAACTCATTAATCTATTAATCCATGAATGAAAGGGTCCATTTATGAGGTCAGAGCCTTCATGACCCAACACCTCTTAAAGGTCCCACACCTCTCAATACTGCCACAGTAGAGATTAAGTTTCAACATGAGTTTCAGAGAGAATAAACATTCAAACCACACAGCAGGCCCCACACCAGGTCTACAGAATCAGAAACTGGGGTGGGGCCCAGCAATGCGTGTTTTACAGAGCCCTCTCAGTGATTTGAATGTGTGCTCAAGTGGAGGGCCACTGACCTGGCATTATGTTTTCATGGAAGACTTATGTTCTATAAAGTTGTGATTTTAAAAATGTATTAATCTTAACTAAGAAGTGTTTAATTATACATATACAAATGTAGAAGTTAGTACAAATTAAAGAATAAACTGTCTATGATGACATTCATCCCAGTACTTACTTGCCTTTATATTGTATTCCATTATGACTCTGCTACATTTCTTTTCCTATTTCCTTCTGTTACCTGCTAAATCAGACTTATCTTAATGTGTTTGTAATGAAAACAAGATTTAAAAGTAAGTACCCTTAAATATACCCCATTCTTTCTCAAGTTAATTGCAGTAAATAATTCCAATAAACTGGAGTTCTCAGTTAATCATAGTTAATTAGGTCTGGATGAAATCAGACGTACAATTCAATGAAAGTAATGCACAGCATTCTCACGGACATGGCCAGCATAAAGCGCTTATGAAGAGACATCTTAATACAATAGTTCTTTTAAATAAACATGAATCTTGGAATAAAAACATTGACAATTTAATGGCACATACTATATTCAAAGATTAATTGGCTCATCTCTCTTAAATGAAAATCAAGTAAGAACCATTTTCTAGGCTAGAATCATTACACATGTAACCACAGTTGTCCTTGGTGACCTTCTTTTGAGAGTAACTACTGAAGCTTTTACATCTTTGTTATATGTGTATGTTCTAACATAAGATCCTCCTTTTCTTCTAGTGAAAGAATTTCCAGGTTTATGAAAGGTATTATTGGAAAATAAGGGTCAATTTCCAAAACCCAACTTTCAATCAGTAGCACAGCAATCCTAAAAATTGAGCTTTGAACTACATAAGCTTGGAAACACAGCCCTTCACAGCAGAAGGGTTTCAGCCCTCTGAAATGGCTAGTTCGGATATCTGGGGTTGCCTTGGGCTTTTTTTGACCTTTGTACACATCCAAACTTACTTAATAATTCCTAGAACCCTAATGCAAAAACTGTTCTGGAAGGTCTGCTGTGGGCAACAGCTGTTTAACATTGCTCTCTATGCTCCTGGCACACAGCACAGAGCCCAGATCCTGTCGGCAGCGCTATTTCACTTAACTACCAGAGTTGCTTCCATGCACATGCCTGCAAAGAGGGGCTGGCCTGAGCCTGCAGTGAGGAGTGAGGCCAAACCACACCACCATGGACTGGAAGAGTCTTACCTGCTCAAAGCTTCCTAGTGTCACAAGAAGGCATTATTAGATTTGCGGGAAGACAGGAGAAGCCCATGAAAAACAACAGATTTTGGTTAATGAGGAGGCACTGGGTTAAGTTATAAAGATCCTGTACATGTGTGAAGGTAAATGAGAATGACTTCAAATAAGAATGAGCAGAAGCTGTTCATTTAGAGCTTGCACAGCAAGAGAGTTGGACATTGGCACATGCCTCTGGCTGAAGTTCAAATGCAGATGGGGGAGCAGGAAAGCTTTACAATGGGAAAAGACAGGCCTAAGGTGGGCCCTGACTGGAGGCTGTTGTTGTGGGGACTGGGGGTGACTAACTAGAAGTGAGTCATCCCATGGGATTGGCTGGGGAAACATTTTTGTTCTCTGGCTGGTGGTGGAAAGTCTTCAGGCATGCCTGAGACAATCAAGTCCCTTAAAAGAGAGATAGTCATTGAGCTGACCAAGGACCCTGTGGCTTCCAGCTAGACACATGGGATGAGTATAGCAGCCCTTCCTACTCTGGCCTACCTCCTGGCTTCCTCGCAGCCACCTTGGCCATCCAAAAGCAAACCCATAGCATGTTCCCAGTTGAACACTGAGCCAGGCTCTTGTCTCTAGGTCCTGGGCCCTGGGCCCCCTGCCATGCTCAGCCACATTCACAATTCCACATTCCACAAGCATTCCTGCATCCCTTAACACATGCCCTTGCCTAGCCTTTGGTAATAACCAATCAGAATGAACTAATCTCCATGCCACATCTACATCAAAAAGACCCTGCATCAGGTCAATGTTTATGAGGAGAAACTGCAATGGGCAGTAATAGAGTTTGTATACTTACTGCCTCCTAAATCTCATGCTGAATTTTAGCCCCCAGTGTTGGAGTCAAGACTTGGTGGGTGCTATCTTGATCATGGGGGCATATCCTCCATGAATGGCTTGGGCCAGTCCCACCTTGGTGATGAGTGAGCTCTCGCTCTGAGTTCACACAAGATCTGGTGGTTTTAGTGTGTGGCACCTCCCTCACAATTATCTCTTGCTCATGCTTTCACCATGTTACAAGCCTGCTCCCACTTAGTTTTCCACCATGATTGTAAGCCTCCTGAGCACTCCCCCAAAGCAGCTGCTTCTATGCTTCCTGTAAAACCTGCAGAAATGTGAGCCTATTAAACTGCTGCTTTTATAAATTATCTAGACTCAGACTTTTCTTTAAATAAATGCAAGCACAGCCTAATATAGGAAATTTGTAGCAGAAGTGGTGTGTTCCTACAAGGATGTCAGAACAGAGAAGGATGAAAATTTGCAGTGTCTTAGGGAATGGTTGTGATCAAAATGCTGATAGTGATATGGTTGGTGAAGTCCAGGCTAACAAGGTCTCAGATGGAAATGAGAAACTGCAAACTGGAGGAAAGGTCACACATGTTATTTCTTAGCAAAGAAATTGGCTGCATTCTCTTCATGTCCTACGGTTCTGTGGAAGTTTGAACTTCAGGGTAATCATTTAGGCTGTCTAGCAGAGGAAATTTCTAAGCAGCAAAGCATGCCTGATGTAACCTGGCTGCTTCTAATAGCCTCTACTCAGATGTGGAAACAAATAAATGACAAAATTGGAAGTTATATTTAAAGGGGAGACAGCATAAAAGTTTGGGAAATATGTGCTTGTCCATGTGGCAAACAAAAAGCTTTTTCAGGAAAGGAACTCAAGCAGGCTGTGAAACAACCACTTGCCAGAGACATTTGCATACCTAAAAAAGAGGCAAATGCTGATACAAAGACGGTGGGGGAAAAGGCCTCAATGGTATTTCAGAAGTCTCCAAGGCAGCATCTCCCATCACAGGCCTAGGGTCCTAGAAAGGAAGAGTGGTTTCCTGAGACAGGCCCAGGGCCCAGCTGCCTCAGGACACTGCTACCCACATCCCAGCTGTTCCAGCTTCAGCCAGGGCTCAAAGGGAGCTCACCCTGGTGCTCTGAACAGCAAAAACCACATGGCTCGTTGGCTTCCACAGGATGCTAAGTCTGCAGGCACACAAACTGCAAGAGTGAATAAGGCTTGGTCCTCTCTGCCTAGATTTCAAAGGTTGTATAGAAAAATCTGAATGTCAAGGCAGAAGCCTCCTGTAGGGGCAGAGCTCTCACTGAGAACCTATACTACAGCAATATGGAGGGGAAATGTGGGATTGGAGGCCTCATAATGTCCTCACTGCGGCACTGCCTAGTGGAGCTGTAGGAAGACGGCCACGATCCTCCAGACCCAAGAATGGTAGATCCATCAATATCTTGCTCCCTGTAAAAGCTGTAGACACTCAACTCCAGCCAGTGACCAGCAGCCTTGAGGGCTGCATGCTGCAAAGCCAAAGGGGTGGAGTTGCCCAAGGCCTTAGGATCCCACTTCTTGGACAAGTGTTGTCTGAATATGGGACATGGAATCAAAGGACATTATTTTGTAGCTTTCAAATTTAATGACTGTCCTGTTAGGTGTCAGATTGTGTGGGGCCTGCAGCCAATATCTGTTGGCTGATTTCTCCCTTATGGAACGGGAATATTTACCCAATGCTTATTCCTCCATTGTATCCTAGAAGTAAATAACTTGTTTTTGATTGTGCACGCTCACAGGTAGAAAGGACTTGCCTTGCCTCAGATGGGAGTTTGCACTTTTGAGTTAATATTGGAATGAGTTAAGATTTGTGGGGGTTATTGGGAAGGCGTGATTGTATTTTGCAAAGTGAGAAGGACAGAAGATTCAGGAAGGGCCAGGGACAGGATGATATAGTTTGTGCATTTGCTCCCATCCAAACCTCATGTTGAATTGTAATCTTCAGTGCCGGAGGTGAAGCCTGGTGGTGGGCGTATGGATCATGGTGGCAAATCCCTCATGAATGGTTTGGGACATCCCCTTAGTGGTTGTTGGGAGAAAAGCTGAGTGTTGGGAGACAAGCCATGGCTGGGCTTGGAACATGTCTGGGGTCCAGGGTTCTAAAACTCTAGTGGCCTTTGGAATGTGTCCAGACTAGCTGGATCCTTGTTTCCAGCACTCCCATTATCTCAAGAAGCCATCTGTTTCAAAGAAAATGCTAAACCGTCACAGCTGTAGTTCGTTCACTTGACACATCACTTCCTTTCAACTCCCACATTCTCACCAACTGTTTCTTTGTTTGATCACCAATAAATAGTGTGGAATCCCAGAGCTCAGGGTCTTCGCATCCTCCATACTAGCTTTGGCTCCCTGGTCCAACTTTCTGTCTTGTCTTTTCTCATTCCTTTGACTCCACTGGACTTTGTCGCCCCCATGGCCTGGTGTTGGGTCCAATCTCCCGAACATTCCTGGCACCCAACTTGGGGTGATGAAGACCCTGGTGAAGGAACGCTAGAGTGTGTAAAAGCAGAGGGCACATCATTAGAGGACACCTGAGGACGACTGAAAGAAGTTCAGCATGTAAGCTGGGTGCTTGGAAGAACCAGGGTAACAATGTGACAAGGTGAAAGCAAACATTCTGCTTATTTGAATTTCTTAAGGCATTTATTATGAAGAGGGGGAGTGAAATTTAGTACTCAGAATTTATCGCTCTTTAGTACAGAAAAACAGTTTTGCTCATGGTTTCTGGAACAAGAGACTGTGGAGTTAGATGAATAGGAGAGAACTGGAAGATATTTTAAAAAGGCGTATAAAGATGGAGCAAAAATTCCAGTTGCCATTTGGCCAATATGAGCGCTAATAAAGTCAGCTCTTGAGCAATTTCAAACAGATGATGAGGCAGATTCAGATGGGGAAGAGGAAAACAAGTGTAAAAAAACTAACCTCAGATTCTGAGTATAAGGAACAGCTATCAGAGGAGATTAAAGAAAACAAAGGAAAACTAAAAAAGGTATGTTTTACTAGCCCATCCGCTCCACCTGCTGAATTAAGTGAATGGCCACTTCCTCTCTCTCCCCTTAATGGGAGAGAAAATGAATTAGCTGAAAAACTTACTGCTCCTGTAGTTGCAACATTAACACCTGCAGCAATTGGTGGTGCTATAAAAACTCTATTCAAAAAGCTAGAGCTGAGGGAGACCTTGAAGCATGGCATTTTCCAGTAACCCAGTAAGTTGGACAGAATATAGCAAATTGAGCAGCTTTTCCTTTTAAGTTATTAAAAGAATTTAAACAAACCATTAGTTAATATGACTGAACTCTCCTTTCGTGCAAATTTGTCGAGAAATGTGGCTCTTGATAATAGGTTAATACCTCATGATTGGGATACTTTAACAAAACCTGTTCTCACTCCATCTCAGTATTTACAGTTTAAAACTTGGTGGGCTGATGAAGGTCAAACTTGGCAAGGGAAAAAACACAAGCGCAGCCACCTGAGCCTGTTTCCTTTGAATGGTTAATGGGAGTTGGCCTAAAATGGGGTTGATTAGAGAATCAAGCAGTAATGGAGGATGTTGCCATTGTTCACATGCACTCTGTGTGCTTACAGATATGGGAAAGGATAAATATTATAGGGGAAAAATATCCTTTCAGTTCTGCTTGTCAAGGACCTAAAGAACCATATATTGATTTTATTGCTCAGCTCCAAGAGGTTGTGTATAAATCCATAACTGATAAAACAGCTCAGGATGTTATAATACACCCTCTTGTATATGATAATGCTAATACAGAATGTCAAACTGCTATTAGACACCTGAGAGGGAAGTCTCATTAAGCTGAATATATGAAGGCTTGCTATGGCATTGGAGGTAACTTACATAAGGCTACTCTTTTAGTTCAGGCTATGGCTGGATTGAAAGTAGGAAAGAATATGCCCCATTTCTCAGGCTCTTCCTTTAATTGTGCGCAATTTGGACACAAGGAATGTAGAAAAGGAAATGCTATTTAGTAATGGAAAGGCCTCATTTGCAGGACTTCAACAGCAAGTTTTTCAAACCACTTTTGCTTCCGCTCAAAGGGCTGAACTTACAGCTGTGACAACAGTGTTAAAATCTTTTAAACAGCCAGTAAACATTGTTTCTGATTCAGCCTATGTAGTGCAAGCCACACAAAATATTCAATGTGCCTTAATTCAAAATGTGGCTGATGAACAACATAATTTCATTCTTTACAGCAAGCAGTAAAACAGTCATTCCCCTTTCTATATCACTCATGTGAGAGCGCATACTTACCTCCCTGGCCCTTTAACTAAACTTAATCAAAGGACAGACTCATTGGTGTCTGTGGTCTTTTTTGACGCACAAACATTCCATTCTTTAATCTATCTTAATGCTGTAGGCCTTAGAAAAATATATGGTCTATCATGGAAACAAGCTAAAGAAATAGTGCAACACTGTTCTGCCTGACAAGGCCTGCATCTGCCACATCAAGGAACAGGAGTTAACCCTAGAGGATTATCTCCAAATTCCATCTGGCAGATGGATGTAACACATATTCCTGTTTTGGAAAATTGTCCATTGTTCATGTGTCAGTAGATATCTATTCACATTTTATCTGGGCCTCAGGTTAAACAGGGGAAGCTACAGCTCATGTTAAAATATATCTTTTATCTTGCTTTTCAGTTATGGGAATCCCAGAAAAAATTAAAACTAATAATGGCTAAAGATACTGTAGTAAAGCCATGGCTACATTTTTTCAACACCAGAATATTACCCATACTATCGGTATTCCACATAACTCTCAAGGACAGGCAATAGTGGAAAGAGCTAATAGTACTCTAAAAACTCAAATACAAAAGCAAAAGGGAGGGGACCAGGAATATAAGACACCACACATGCAATTCCATTTCACTTTATTAACATTCAATTTTTTTAATTTACAAAAGATCAGCAGATGACTGCAGCTGAACAATACCTGACAGGGCAAAGGAAAATAAAAAGGCTGGACAAGGTATATGGTGGAGAGATTCCCATATAAAGAGCTGGGAAGATAGGAAGATAATTATATCGGAAAGAGGATTTGCTTGTGTCTCTCCAGGTGACAACCAGGTGCCTGTGTGGGTGCCCACAAAACATCTGAAAATCTATCAAGAACCATAGCATCACTGGGTGTGGTGGCTCACACCTGTAATCCCAGCACTTTGGGAGGCCGAGACGGGCAGATCATGAGGTCAGGAGATTGAAACCATCCTGGCTAACATGGTGAAACCCCACCTCTACTAAAAATACAAAAAATTAGGTGGGTGTGGTTGTGGGCACCTGTAGTCCCAGCTACTTGGGAGGCTGAGGCAGGAGAATGGCGTGATCCGGGAGGCGGAGGTTGCAGTGAGCTGAGATCGTGCCACTGCACTCCAGCCTGGGCGACAGAGCAAGACTCCATCTAAAAAAAAAAAAAAAAAGAACCATAACATCTAGTGGATCCAGCTGTACATTGCAAACTGAAGGTTTAAGGATTCCTTTTTTGCTATACTCTTGCACAAGAAGGATAAACCTCGATTTGCTTTCTGTATGCCTTCTGTTAATCAGAAAAAACCTGCTTCTGGTTATCAATGGTAAGTTTTGCCCCATGATAATTAACCAAAGAGTCAGAAGCTGAGTTACAAATGCTTCAGCAATAGCATGCCTCTTGGCTACAGAAAAAAAAAGAAAAAGAAAAAAGAAAAAAAAAAAGCCTTTTCTTCTCTTTCAGTAGATTTAGTAATGTGGGGGTTAGGGTATGTTTGTGTGTTTGCAGGAGATGAACAAACCATGTGGGTGCCCTCAAGATGTGTATGACCATGGAATGGGATACTGGAGGGACCCACGGATCCCAACCATGGACTGGGTTCCCCCAGTATGAGCCATGAACCAGTTGAATCTCAGTCATGCTGACATCAAACCCCATAACATGGGGACAGATCAAGAAAACCACACAGAAAGCTGGGAAACTGCTGGAGCACTAGGGTTTTACCTTTTACTGGGATTCAGAGGTACAACAGATGCTTAATGGATCAATGCTTTCTGACTGAACTCCTCTCTACCATGAATACAAGAGGCACTAATAGGTAGGCAGGAATATCATCACCCCAATTCAGCATGAAGAAGTTACAGAAGATGGACATTCATCCTTCTGCCACCCTTAGAACTAAGGGTCCTCTTGTAAAAGAGAAAGGAGAAATATGTAAGAGGCATTCAAATCATCAATCCTCTGAAATGGATTAAGATCACTGGAAGATCTACACTTAGGGATTTTGTTCTAATAATTTTGTGCTTGTCCTATCTCGTTTTAGTCTGAAGTTGCAGAAGCTGCCACTGGAGAGTAAGCTTCCATTGAGTACAAGCAATGATAGCTGTGGAGGTTTCACCAAAAAGAAAAGGGGGGCATTTGGGAGAAAAGCTGAATGTTGGGAGAGAAGCCAAGGCTGGGCTTGGAACATGTCCAGGGTCCAGGTTGTAAAACCCTTGTGGACTTTGTAATGTTTCCAGTCTTGCAGGCTCCTTCCTTCTAGTTCTCCCATTATCTCAAGTAGCCATATGTTTCAAAGAAAATGCTAAACCATCACAGCTATAGTTCATTCACTTGATACACTGCTTCCTTTCAATCTCCACATCCTCACCACCTGTTTCTTTCTTTGACCATCAATAAATAGCATGGCCCCCAGAGGTCTGGGCCTTTGCAGCCTCCATACTAACATTGGACCCCTGGTCCCACTCTCTCTTGTCTTTTCTTGTTCCTTTAACTCCACCAGACTTTGTCGCCCCCACAGCCTGGTGTTGGGTCTGATCACCCTAACAGTGGTAAGTAAGTTACCTCTTTCTCTGAATTCACACAAGCTCTGTTCATTTAAAAGTGTGTGGCACCTTCCCCTGCTTGTTTCACTGCTTGCTGTAAATAATGAAATAAAAGATTACATTGTTCATCCATCATATTTTGAATTAAGTTACATTCAATATTTTGCATGGCTTTCACTATATTGAATCAGAAACAATATTTACTGGCTGTTTAAAAGATTTTAACAGTGTTATCACAGCCATAAGTTCAGCCCTTTGAGCAGAAGCAAAGTCAGTTTGAAAAACTTGCTATTGAGGTCCTGCTTTGACCATGTGATTTGGCTGCTCCTGCTTTGCCTTCTGCCATGATTGTAAGCTCCTAGGCTTCCCCCAAATCTGATGGTTCTTCACTTTCTATACAGCCTGCATAACTGTGAACCATTTAAACCAATTTTCATACAAATTACCCAGACTCAGGAATTTCTATATAGCAATACAATATGTCCTAACACAATCAGGAAATTTTAACATAGTCTGGAGAATTGTCACACCTATGTGAGTCAGGATGCTGACATATTTGTGTTTTACCCTTTGTTCTATTCTCAAGGCCTGCCATTACCAGATCTAATTCATGAATATATTTTCTTATCCCAGTGTGTAGCAGAAAGACACTGTGATTTCTAGAAAACACTCCAAAACTACATAACAGAGAGGCTGAGTATGAACAAATCAGAGGTAAGTATGTCACAGGAATAGGCAAAAAAAGTGTTGTCAAAGTCTAAAAATAAAAAACATGTTCCTCTCTTTTAGGTTTTCTGTAATCTCCATCCAGCTTACTGTCCATGAATAAATACCTGTCTATATACTAGGAGAAGATCCAAACCTACCTGGTTCAAAATTTAACAGTATGGTTTGCTTGTTTTGGTTGATAAGTGCTGTACTACACTCCTCTGACTGGCTCACTGCTCTTTGCTGCTATATGTCTTATTTCATTTATGCTGTGGATATTGAAGAACAAAATTGTAATGGTATGAACTAGAATCCAAAAGGACTTAAAATTGACTTTCCCTCTTAAATTAAAATTCAGTCCAGGTTTCCAATGACTGAACACAGAGCCCCCTCTGAGACAAATATTCAATAAGTTGGGAACATCCTGGGTTGCACAAGTAAACAAGACATATAACACCGATTAGAACCACAGATGAAAACCCTTGATAAGCCAGATATCAATCTTGGGTATGCCAAAATTACACATACTCAGAATACAATCCATTTAATTACACAAATGTTGACTGGTACCTACGTAGTGTTAGACACCAAGAAAAATGTGACAGCAGATACTGAAACAGTAATTACAAGGTTAAATAAATCAGTAGTCAGAAATGATAAGTTCATTAATATATTTTGGAACAAATACTAACAAAGAGAAACCTTGCAAAAACATTGATTAAGAATACATCACAATGTGGCAGCTAGGCTGGGGGAGGGGTGGCTGCCATTGCCCAGGTTTGCTTAGGTAAAGAAAGCAGTCTGAAAGCTACAACTGGGTGGAGCCCACCACAGCTCAAAGAGGTCTGCCTGCCTCTGTAGGCTCCACCTCTGGGGGCAGGGCACAGATCAACAAAAGGACAGCAGTAACTTCTGCAGACTTAAGTCCCTGTCTGACAGCTTTGAAGAGAGCAGTGGTTCTCCCAGCACACAGTTGAAGATCTGAGAACGGGCAGATGGCCTCCTCAAGTGGGTCCCTGACACCTGACCCCCAAGCAGCCTAACTGGGAGGCACCCCCCCGCAGGGGCAGACTGACACCTCATACGGCCGTGTACTCCTCTGAGACAAAACTTCCAGAGGAATGATCAGACAGCAGCATTCATGGTCACGAAAAACCACTGTTCTGCAGACACCACTGCTGATACCCAGGCAAACAGGGTCTGGAGTGGACCTCTCCAAACTCCAACAGACCTGCACCTGAGGGTCCTGTTTGTTAGAAGGAAAACTAACAAACAGAAAGGACATCCACACAAAAAACCCATCTGTACATCACCATCATCAAAGACCAAAAGTAGATAAAACCACAAAGGTGGGGAAAAATCAGAGCAGAAAAACTGGAAACTCTAAAAAGCAGAACACATCTCCTTCTCCAAAGGATCGCAATTCCTCACCAGCAATGGAACACAGCTGGATGGAGAATGACTTTGACGAGTTGAGAGAAGAAGGCTTCAGATGATCAAACTACGAGTTATGGGAGGAAATTCAAACCATAGGCAAAGAAGTTAAAAACTTTGAAAAAATTTAGAAGAATGTGTAACTAGAATAACCAATACAGAGAAGTGCTTAAAGGAGCTGATGCATCTGAAAGCCAAGGCTCGAGAACTACTTGAAGAATGCAGAAGCCTCAGGAGCCAAAGCGCTCAACTGGAAGAAAGGGTATCAGTGATGGAAGATGAAATGAAAGAAACGAAGCAAGAAGGGAAGTTTAGAGAAAAAAGAATAAAAAGAAACGAACAAACTCTCCAAGAAATATGGGACTATGTGAAAAGACAAAATCTACGTCTGATTGGTGTACCTGAAAGTGATGGGGAGAATGGAACAAATTTGGAAAACACTCTGCAGGATATTATGCAGGAGAACTTCCCCAATCTAGCAAGGCAGGCTAGCATTCAGATTCAGGAAATACAGAGAATGCCACAAAGACACTCCTCGAGAACAGCAACTCCAAGACACGGAATTATCAGATTTACCAAAGTGGAAATGAAGGAAAAATTGTTAAGAGCAGCCAGAGAGAAAGGTCGGGTTACCCAAAAAGGGAAGCCCATCAGACTAACAGTGGATTTCTCAGCAGAAACTCTACAGGCCAGAAGAGAGTGGGGGCCAATATTCAACATTCTTAAAGAAAAGAATTGTCAACCCAGAATTTCATATCCAGCCAAACTAAGCTTCATAAGTGAAGGAGAAATAAAATACTTTACAGACAAGCAAATGCTGAGAGATTTTGTCACCACCAGGCCTGCCCTAAAAGAGCTCCTGAAGGAAGCACTACACATGGAAAGGAACAACTGGTACAGCCGCTGCAAAATCATGCCAAAATTTAAAGACCATCGAGACTAGGAAGAAACTGCATCAACTAACGAGCAAAATACCCAGCTAACATCATAATGACGGGATCAAATTCACACATAACAATATCAACTTTAAATGTAAATGGACTAAATGCTCCAATTAAAAGACACAGACTGGCAAATTGGATAAAGAGTCAAGACTCATCGTGTGCTGTATTCTGGAAACCCATCTCACATGCAGAGACACACATAGGCTTAAAATAAAAGGATGGAGGAAGATCTACAAAGAAAATGGAAAACAAAAAAAAAGGAAGGGGTTGAAATCCTAGTCTCTGATAAAACAGACTTTAAACTAACAAAGATCAAAAGAGAAAAAGAAGGCCATTACATAATGGTAAAGGGATCAATTCAACAAGAAGAGCTAACTATCCTAAATATATATGCACCCAATACAGGAGCTCCCAGATTCATAAAGCAAGTCCTGAGTGACCTACAAAGAGACTTAGAATCCCACACATTAATAATTGGAGACTTTAACACCCCACTGTCAACATTAGACAGATGAATGAGACAGAAAGTCAAAAAAGATACCCAGGAATTGAACTAAGCTCTGCACCAAGCAGACCTAATAGACATCTAGAGAACTCTCCACCCCAAATCAACAGAATAAACATTTTTTTCAGCACCACATCACACCTATTCCAAAATTGACCACATAGTTGGAAGTAAAGCTCTCCTCAGCAGATGTAAAAGAACAGAAATTAGAACAAACTATCTCTCAGACCACAGTGCAATCAAACTGAACTCAGGATTAAGAAACTCACTCAAAACCACTAAACTACATGGAAACTGAACAACCTGCTCCTGAGTGACTACTGGGTACATAACGAAATGAAGGCAGAAATAAAGATGTTCTTTGAAACCAATGAGAACAAAGACACAACATATCAGAATCTCTGGGACACATTCAAAGCAGTGTGTGGAGGGAAATTTATAGCACTAAATGCCCGCAGGAGAAAGCAGGAAAGATCCAAAATTGACAACCTAACATCACAATTACAAGAATGAGAAAAGCAAGAGCAAACACATTCAAAAGCTAACAGAAGCCAAGAAATAACAAAAATCAGAGCAGAACTGAAGGAAATAGAGACACAAAAACCCTTCAAAAAATTAATGAATCCAGGAGCTGGTTTTTTGAAAGGATCAACAAAATTGATAGACCGCTAGCAAGACTAATAAAGAAAAAAAGAGAGAAGAATCAAATAGATGCAAGAAAAAATGATAAAGAGTATATCACCACTGATCCCACAGAAATACAAACTACTGTCAGAGAATATTACAAACACCTCTCTATGCAAATAAACTAGAAAATCTAGAAGAAATGGATAAATTTCTCGACACCTACACTCTCCCAAGACTAACCCAGGAAGAAGTTGAATCTCTGAATAGACCAATAACAGGAACTGAAATTGTGGCAATAATCAATAGCTTAGCAACTAAAAAAGAGTCCAGGACCAGATGGATTCACAGCCGAATTCTACCAGAGGTACAAGGAGGAACTGGTACCATTCCTTCTGAAACTATTCCAATCAATAGAAAAAGAGGGAATCCTCCCTAAATAATTTTGTGAGGCCAGCATCATCCTGATACCAAAACCGGGCAGAGACACAACCAAAAAAGAGAATTTTAGACCAATATCCTTGATGAACATTGAAGCAAAAATCCTCAATAAATTACTGGCAAACTGAATCCAGCAGCACATCATAAAGCTTATCCACCATGATCAAGTGGGCTTCATCCCTGGGATGCAAGGCTGGTTCAATATATGCAAACCAATAAATGTAATCCAGCATATAAACACAACCAAAGACAAAAACCACATGATTATCTCAATAGATGCAGAAAAGGCCTTTGACAAAATTCAACAACCCTTCATGCTAAAAACTCTCAATAAATTAGGTATTGATGGGATGTATCTCAAAATAATAACAGCTATCTTTGACAAACCCACAGCCAATATCATAGTGAATGAGCAAAAACTGGAAGCATTCCCTTTGAAAACTGGCACAAGACAGGGATGCCCTCTCTCACCACTCCTATTCAACATAGTGTTGGAAGTTCTGGCCAGGGCAATTAGGCAGGAGAAGGAAATAAATGGTATTCAACTAGGAAAAGAGGAAGTCAAATTGTCCCTGTTTGCAGATGACATGATTGTATATCGAGAAAACCCATTATCTCAGCCCAAAATCTCCTTAAGCTGATAAGCAACTTCAGCAAAGTCTCAGAATACAAAATCAATGTACAAAAATCACAAGCATTCTTATACACCAACAACAGACAAACAGAGAGCCAAATCATGAGTGAACGCCCATTCACAATTGCTTCAAAGAGATTAAAATACCTAGGAATCCAACTTACAAGAGATGTGAAGGACCTCTTCAAGGAGAACTACAAACCACTGCTCAATGAAATTAAAGAGGATACAAACAAATGGGAGAATATTCCATGCTCATGGGTAGGAAGAATCAATATCATGAAAATGGCCATACTGCCAAAGGTAATTTATAGATTCAATGCCATCCCCATCAAGCTACCAATGACTTTCTTCACAGAATTGGAAAAAACTACTTTAAAGTTCATATGGAACCAAAAAAGAGCCCACATCAGCAAGTCAATCATAAGCCAAAAGAACAAAGCTGGAGGCATCACACTACCTGACTTCAAACTATACTACAAGGCTACAGTAACCAAAACAGCATGGTACTGGTAACAAAACAGAGATACAGATCAACGGTACAGAACAGAGCCCTTAGAAATAATGCCGCATATCTAAAACTACCTTACCTTTGACAAACCTGAGAAAAACAAGCAATGGGGAAAGGATACCCTATTTAATAAATGGTGCTGGGAAAACTGTCTGGCCATATGCAGAAAGCTGAAACTGGATCCCTTCCTTACACCTTATACAGAAATCAATTCAAGATGGATTAAAGACTTAAATGTTAGACCTAAAACTGTAAAAACCCTAGAAGAAAACCTAGGCATTTCCATTCGGGACATAGACATGGGCAAGGACTTCATGTCTAAAACACCAAAAGCAATGGCAACAAAAGCCAAAATAGACAAATGGGATCTGATTAAACTAAAGAGCTTCTGCACAGCAAAAGAAACTAACATCAGAGTGAACAGGCAACCCACAAAATGGGAGAAAATTTTTGCAACCTACTCATCTAACAAAGAGCTAATATCCAGAATCTACAATTAACTCAAACAAATTTACAAGAAAAAAACAAACAACCCCATCAAAAAGTCTGGAAAGGACATGAACAGACACTTCTCAAAAGAAGACATTTATGGAGCCAAAAAACACATGAAAAAATGCTTACCATCACTGGCCATCAGAGAAATGCAAATCAAAACCACAATGAGATATCATCTCACACCACTTAGAATGGCAATCATTAAAAAGTCAGGAAACAACAGGTGCTGGAGAGGATGTGGAGAAATAGGAACACTTTTACACTGTTGGTGGGAATGTAAACTAGTTCAACCATTGTGGAAGTCAGTGTGGCTATTCCTCAGGGATCTAGAACTAGAAATACCATTTGACCCAGCCATCCCATTACTGGGTATATACCCAAAGGATTATAAATCATGCTACTATAAAGACACATGCACACATATGTTTATTGTGGCACTATTCACAATAGCAAAGACTTGGAACCAACCCAAATGTCCAACAATGATAGACTGGATTAAGAAAATGTGGCACATATACGCCATGGAATACTATGCAGCCATAAAAAATGGTGAGTTCATGTCCTTTGTAGGGACATGGATGAAATTGGAAATCATCATTCTCAGTAAACTATCTCAAGAACAAAAAAACCAAATACCGCATATTCTCACTCATAGGTGGGAATTGAACAATGAGAACACATGGACAGAGGAAGGGGAACATCACACTCTGGGGACTGTTGTGGGGGTTGGGGGAAGGGGGAGGCATAGCATTGGGAGATATTCCTAATGCTAGATGATGAGTTAGTGGGTGCACTGCACCAGCATGTCACATGTATATATTTGTAACTAACCTGCACGTTGTGCACATGTACCCTAAAACTTAGAGCATAATAATAAAAAATAATAATTAATTCCCTAAAAAAAAAAGAATACATCACTATGTAAATCAGAATCTTTTTCTCACCTGAAGACCTATGCATATGTCACCTTCAGCTAACTAATGTTAATGACCTGTTAGCTAAGAAATGTCCTCTCAGACCCGAAAACAGAAGTTGGGTAGAAGCTATGTTACAAGCCAAGCACAAATTCCAGCAGTATGAGGAGAGAGAAGACACGGTGATGACAACATCAAATGATGAGAGGAGCAATGATCTCGTCATTTCCCTGCAACAAATGTTACAAGTTTTTAACACACTGTGAGCACTACCATACTTTTCCCTATAACCACAAACATACTTTGTGCTTTATATATACAAGATAGAAACTTCCATAGCACTGTGCTGTCACTGGTTCACCTTTACAAATGAGCCTGCATGTAAATGCTAGTGCTTTCTTGTGTTTAGGAATGTAAAGGACTGAAATGAATAATTAAGCATAAAATTAAGGGTCTCAGTAATATTACCTCAAATGAGAAGCATGCTGTAGTGGGCTTAGAAAAAAAGTATTTAAGTATTTGACATATTGCTTCTTGTGGCTGTAAGCTATCATTTTTTACACAAAGAGAAAAAAATAAAAATTTAAAAATGATTGCTTAAAATAGATCAGTAATGATAATTTAATTGAGTGAACATCTGCAAAGTAAAACTCTTGATTAGCATGTGACATAACTCACAGGCATTAGCAGTTCTATTTAATAGGTTTGGGAATTGGTCTAAGGATTTTTTCTGATAACCCCTATTTAAATTAAAAAGTCACTCAAAAATGTATTGGTTCAAAAAGTCTTACTAGTCACACCAACCTGCATGGAGATATATGTCTGTATCAGGGAAAAATTTTGATCCCTGGGATCATAAACTTCTATAAGAAAACAGGAGTTTTATTCATAGAACACAAAAAATGAGGGCCATGTGAGAACATGTGGAAAAAGGGTCTTTCTTCAAAATTAAAAGACACATACACATACACATAAAAAAGCAAAAGGCAACTACAGATTGAAGGAAAATATTTAAAATACATACATACACACAGGCACACAGACACCAAAAGGACTTGTATGCAGAATATGTAAGGAACTGAAATTTACAACTCAGTGATGACACAATCTGCAGGAGAGAGAATAATCGTCTCCCAAATATGTCTCAGTCCTAATTCCCAGAACCTGTGTACGTTAAACTCCTTGGCAATAGTAAATTTGTAAAAGTAATTAAGAATCTTGAGATGCGGAAGTGATCCTAGATTAATTATCCAGGTAGACTCAATATAATCACAAGGTCCTTATAAGAGGCGGCCAGTAGGGTGAGAGAGAAGAAGGTGGGAAGAGTGGTCAGAGCCTATGAATGGCAGCCACTTAGGAGATGGGAGTAAGGAAACAGCCAATCCCCCAAAACTTCTGGAAAGGAATGCAGTCCTGCCAACACCTTGATTTTTAGCAACTTAGACAATTCTGGCCAGAATTGTAAGACAACAATAGATTTGTATTGTTTTAAGCCACTATTTTTGACAACTGGTTACAGCACTAATAAGAAGCTAAAATAGCAAAAACTCTTTGGGAAGTTTCTTTAATAGTTATCTATAACTTTACCATACCATGCCCAGGAGGGAATCAGTCCAGTGCTGCATGTTTACCCAATAAAGAAAAGCGTATGTTTACACAAAGACTTACCAGATATTCATGACAATTTTATCTGTAATAGCTAAAAGTTGGAAAGAAGCCAAGACTGTCAATAAGTCAATGGACGTTCATCCTATGATGCAGCCACACAACAGAATAAAAGACATAAAAACTATTGGTACAAACAATGATATAAATGAGTTCCCAAATTGTGCTGAGAGAAGCCAGATTAAAAAAAAAGAAGAAGACATACTGTATGGTTCTATATAAAATTCTAGGAAATCTGTAATTGCAGAAGCAGAGCAATGGTTCCCTTGGCATGGGGGCAGAGAGAGGCAGGGATTGTAGAGGGCATGAGAAACTTCTGGGGGTTGTGGAAATATTTATCATCTGGGTGTGTGAATTGTGTCACGGGTAACTGCATGCCAAAACTGGATGCCAAAACTTTTCACATGGTACACTTCAAACTTGCAGTTTATTGTACTCCAATTAAACCTCCATAAAGTTGTTTTAAAAAGAAAACCTTACTAGGTTGGGAAAAAAATGAACAGTTACATTACTAATACAAATAGCCTTGAATGACAAAAAATACCCAGAGGCAATCACAACGCTAGTAAATGACCCCTGGAATCCAATGTGAGGAAGTCTTCCTGGGACTTCTCAACCTCCCTTCAGAAAACAACACTCTGCTGAGCCTTCTTAGGGAAGAGGGGACGCCCATGTTTTGGGACTCTTGTCCCCAGCGCCATCCTTTGTGGTGCACATATAAGTAGACATGGTATGGTGCCATTCCTTCCATGGGGCTTCAGGGTGCTTTCCCTCCATGCCCAGTCACTGTTGGCTAACAGCAGGTCCCACTCCTTTAACTCTAATTATGGTGGAGGTAGGATTGAAGGGATAATTTAAGAGCAAGTTACCCTAGTTGACAGAGGGTGACAGCCTGTCCCAAACACAGAGAACAAGAAGGATCTCAGAGAGAAAAGACCCACAGGTAGGTGGCCAACAGGTATAGGCATATGGGGAGGGGCCTGTGGTCAGTGTGAGGGCTTTCTAACTAGCATGCAGTATGCCAGGGCACCTTGCAACCATAAGAAGGTTGAATCCCTAGCTTGGGAGAAAAAATAACTATTAATTTGAATTTATAAATTCACAAGAGCTGCCAGATCTTTTAAGTTAAGCTATCCACCAGAGTGAGTCTTAAATCCTGTAGGTAATGTTGTTAAAAAATAACTTAGCTTGGGGCTGTGGCTCATGACTACAATCCAAGGCACTTGGGAAACTGTGGCAGGAGGATCATTTGAGACCAGTAGTTTGAGACTAGCCTGGACAATATAGAGATACCCTGTCTCTACAAAAAAAAATTAAAAGTTAGCTGAGTGTAGTGGCATACACCTCTGGTCCCAGCTATTTCGGAGGCTGAGGTGAGATAATCACTTGAGCCCATGAGTCAGAGGTTACAGTCAGCCTAGGTTGTGCCACTGCACTGCACTCTAGCCTGTGCAACAGAGTAAGACTGTCTCCAAAAACATATATATATATATATGTGTATATATGTATATATATATATATATATATGTGTATATATATATATATATGTGTGTATATATATATATGTGTATATATATATATGTGTGTGTGTATATATATATATATATATATATATATATATATATAATGATATATGCATTTGCACAAAAACCGGATAATCATAATAAAGAGGAGAAAACCCAGGATGATACTAAATAATATTGCTATGTATATGCATATTTCTCTCCCTTTTTTAAAAGCATATGTTTGGCAGTACGTGACATGTGCAAAAAGAACTTTTAAATTATTTTTTTCTGGTCACAGAGATGAACTGGCTCTCCCTTCCTGTGCACCTCCTTTCCTTCTCACTATTCCTACATGGATTTTTTTCAAAGCAGAATCTCAGACCATGCAGATGCTTATAAAAGAATGCTTTCCTGTTTCCTTTAAGAAGGCACAAATATGTGATCAAATAACAGATTGATTTGCTTTGTAACCACCCCTTGCCCCTGTTTTGAATCCAGATTCCCCCATCAAGAGTTACTCTGTTGAAGTTTTTCTCCAGGGCAAAGAGCTGTCCCAGGCGATTGCTGAGAGTTAGGGATGATTTATAAAGACTTTGCACACATAGCCTGCTCAGATTCAGATTCTCATCAATGAACTACATGAAACTTTCTCTGAGCAGACTTTCTCCCCAGGTCAAACTCACTTGAGATTATTACTAGAGTTACTTTAAGAGTTTGTATATATTTCCATTCTCAATCAACATACTTTCAATATTTGAATAAAGATTAATGAACAAAAAAAGTTCTAACGAAGTATTTACAACACAAATTGTTATGAAGTTTTACTTTATTTTTTGGTTCTGGAAAATATCAAGCCAGGATTGGAAAACTTAAAAATGAAACATTCTTTATCCAGGATTTTTGGGGGGCTCATTATCCAATACCCTATTTAAAAACATATCTGGGGATCTTTCTAAAATATGCTAAGTTACTTTAAAGAGAGAAAAAGGACAAGGATGCTGTAATATTTATTTTTTATACTTGAAAGCAATGGCTCACAATTCAGCTTTGGTTTTGTCCTTTGGGAAAAAATAAAGACAGTATAATTGTATGTTTTGTTTGTAAATCAAATTTTGAACCAAGTGAAATTATAAGTGTTGATGGGAAAACAACATATAAACATGTAATATGTATGACAACAGCAACAGAAAGAGAATTGGAAATGGAACTATATAGGAGCAAAGATTTGTGAGGTACTTAAAATAAGTGGTTAAGAAGTTTATCATAATCCACAGAGCAATCACTAAGAAACAGAGTAAAATGAAGGACAGAATAATTAAAATGACACACTAGAAAATATCTAAAGTTAAAAAAGGCAGTAATGAAGAAATAAGGTAACAAGAAAACTTAAGACAGAAAACAACAGCATGCCACACCTAAATCCTGTCTTACCAATAATCACACTATATGTAAATAGATTAGAAATTCCAATTAGAGTTTGCACCACTGCACTCTAGCCTTGGCGACAGAGCAAGACTCCATCTCAAAAAAAAAAAAGAAAACAACAACAAAAAGAAACAAACAAACAAAAAACCCTCCAATTAAAAGGTAGAGATTGGAAAAATGGAAGTACCAAAAAAAAGGGACATGATCTAACTATATGATATCCACAACAGAGATACAACTTAGAACAAATGGTGCAAAAGCTTGGAAGTAAAATGATGAAAAGATATTCCATGCAAACAATAGCTCAAAGACAGCTGGAGAAGTAACATCAGACAATGCAGACTTAGGACAAACAATTTTACTAAAAAAAAAAAAAATACAACACAGTTTTAATAGAAACATTTTACAGTAATAAAAAGGTCACTCTATCAAGAAGATGCAACAATTATAAACATAAATGAACGTAACCACAGAGCCCCAAAATATAAACAGTAAAAACTGTTATAACTGAAAGGGGACATAGCTGAGTGAACAACAGTAGCTGGCGACTTCAATGCTATACTTTTTGATAAATGGACAGAACAACTAGACAGAAGATTAATAAAGAAATATAACACTTGATTTAATCCATTTACACACCGTAAACCAGTAAAACTTGACAGACATCTGTAGAAAATTGACCCAATAATAAGAGAATATATATTATTTGTAAGTGCATGTGGAAAATTCTCCAGAACAGGCCATATGCTGGGTCATAAGTCAAGTCTCAATAAGCTTTCAAAGAAATGAAATTATACCGGTATTTCCCCAATCAACAATGAAATGAAATTAGAAATCCGTAACAGAAGAAAACTTCAGAAATTCACAAATGATGTGGAAATTAAACAATACACTCCTAAAAATTTATAGATCAAAAATGAAATAATGAGGGAAATTTAACAAGATACTTTGAGAAGAATGGAAATGAAATCACAATGTTCCAAATCTTATAGGATGCAGCAGACGCAATGCTTGGAGGGAAATTATGGCTACAAATGCCTCACTAAAAGAGCATGGTCAGAGCGGTGAAACAGTGCTAGCTTTGAAGATGAGTCAAGAAATGTAGTAGCCTCTAATAGCTGGAAAATGCAGGAAAAGATTCTCCACTAGAGCCTCCAGAAACAAACGCAGCCCTGCTACCACCTGGTTTTACCAAGAGGTTGGTAAAAACAGGCCTCAGTTTGTTGAAATTTGTTAGAGAAGCAATAGAAATCCAATGCATTAAGAAATTTTGGCTATTTTTTCCCTCTAATAGGGCTTCTGTACAATGACTTTCAAACATATATAAAAAACATAAAAATAAACTTTTAAACATTTCATTCACAACCTAAAGTCAATGAGAGGTATAGGCAGAGTTTACAGAGCTATGTGTGACAATTCAGCTATAAATAGTTGATGTGAGTTGAGACTGGAGAAAGTTCTATGGCAATCCTCTAATTGAACAGCTCTGGGCAATTTGCTGCCCATCTTCCTGGAGAGGTTTGCCCAGAAACTTGGGAAAACATTGATCTAGATGGCTTGATCCCTTCCCACAATGAAAAATCTTAAATTCTTGGGACTATGAGTTTGTTAGGGCTGCCATAATAAAATACCACAGACTGGGTGGTTTAAATAAGAGAAATTGATTTTCTTGCAATTCTGGAGGCTGGAAGTCTAATATCAGAGTCATTCAGCAAGGTTGGTTTCTCCTAAGGCCTGTCTCCTTTGCTGGCAGACACTGCCCTCCCCTTGTGTCCTCACATGGTTGTCTGTTGTGTGTCTGTGTACTAACTGCCTCTTATAAGAATGGCAGTCTCATTGGATTAGGACTGCATTTAGCCCTTCAAAGACCTATCTCCAAATATAATCACATTCTGAGGTCCTGGGGTTAGGTCTCCACCACATATATTTCAGGGGGACATGACTCAGCCTATGACACTGGCTTACTCATCTTTATCTACTCAGTTTTGTTTTGTTTTATTTTGTTTTAAATAAAAGGCAAGAGCAGTTTGTCAATGGAAGGTGTATCTTAACATGGTGAAGGGATGAAGAAAATCATAAGAAATAAGGATCAAAATCATTTTTTAAAGAATACATATCTGCATATGTATAAATTCATTTGTGTATCTCAGATTTTACTTATCTAATTCTACCTAGGGTTTCTCAAAAGAGCCAAAAAGCATAGGGTATGGTTCCTGCTATGCAGAGTGTACCTCTGGTACTCAAAGTAGCAAAGTGGGAGTTATATTGGCAAAAGGAGGCATAGCTTGCTAACCACAGGCACAGCTCAAGTTACCAAGCCTTCCACACGTGGGGACTCTGAAGGATGAGGAGTCAGAAATGCTCATTCACATTCTCAAAGAGCAACTGCCTTTTATTCTACAAGTCCAATTACCAGGGAAGGACAGCTGGTAAGAGAACGCCTTTTCTTTGAACAGTTAGGGGCTCGGCACATACATAATTAAGGCTAGCTCAGTGTTCTAACTATGTCAGTAATATGGCCTTATGAGTTGTCACTGTCAGTCAGTTGGACAAACTACATGAAAGATATCCAGAATTCAATTAGATATTCTTTCAACAGCTGTACCTGGGACTGTACCTGACCTGAGATGTATAATGAAAGAAGTTAGTAAGAATGGAGGATTCTTGTCAAGTTCAAAGATTATTGGATTTATGTAAAAAAATGAAAAATCCAATCACCTGCATGGGAATGTAAAGTACCTGGGAGGGGAAGTGTTTTCCTTAATGTCTCCTAACAACCAAATCATTTAGAGACATGTTTAAGAAAGGCAAGACCACTGAATACATTTTCTGTGTTACTTATTATTTTATTACTTGTACTCTTTAATTAAATTCAGCCTGTGAGAAAAATAATTCTATAAATAATCATTTAAATACATACCTGAATTATTAACACTTACAATTTAAGACAATAAGCATGATGTTGAAATATTAAGAAGTTTTGGTTCATCATTTTTATAAACTTCACTTATTGTGCTTAAGATGATGACTATTTAAAGGGGTTTCATTCATTAATTCAGACAACTGAACTACTCAACAAAGCCATAAAATATATTAGTTTTATAAGTGTGATTAAACAGTATAAAGGTGAAGTTTATGATAAATTTGTAAAGGGATTGAAACAATGTTATGACTTATGAACAGTGACTGTTAACGTTTACTAGATTTTTTGTTTTTGCAGACAGACTCACTCTGTCACCCAGGCTGGAGTGCAGTGGCATGATCTTGGGTTACTGCAACCTCTGCCTCCTGGGTTCAAGTGATCCTCATGCCTCAGCCTCCCAAGTAGCATGGATTACAGATGTGTACTACCAGATGCAGCTAATTTTTGTATTTTTAGTTGAGATGGGATTTCACCATGTTGCCCAGGCTGTCTTGAACCCCTGGGCTCAGGTGATCCATCTGCCTCAGCCTCCAAAAGTGCTGCAATTACAGGAATGAGCCACCACACCCAGCCAACATTTGCTAGATTTATCAGCGAAATAAACAGAAAAAGCTTAGGGAACAAAAAAGTTTTTGAATCTAACTTTAATAGCTTATAAATATTTAGAATTAAAGTGTAGTGGTGAACTCAGGACACAGGAAGTCCTACAGCAATATTAAGCAGCCACAGTACACCATGCCTGTGTGTGTAAGCTCATCAGAAAGTGGAGCATGAAAAAGGGCTAGGGACTCAATGGCACCAGCAGCAGAGTCTCTGCCCCGGAGAATTACACTCCTGGGATTCCAAGCTGGTACCCAAACACTTTCCCATAAGAAATAAGAGATGGTCAGGGACATTCTGAAATGAGAGAGCTCCTCAGGTGCGTAAGGGTTATGTGAATATGGGAGTGGGTATCTAACCTCTTGTTTTAATATTTCTATCTGGGGAAATGTGTTCTAACTATCAAAGTACTACAAAACAAATTTATCTTAGGTCTTGTGTTTATATTCTAATGTGGATACTAATGCATGATTTTGTGAATAAAAATCAGGTACCCTGAGATTTGGTGAAACAATGGGGGCCCAAAATGCTCAACCCATAAATAAGCAGGAATTCATATTTTTAAATATGAGGTTATAAATCCCCTGCCCAAACCCCCACAATCTCTCTTTTCTATTAGTTACTGTGAGTAAAGTATAGTTGCACTTAAATGCCGCTGGACTGTGAGCCCCTGCAGGTGAAATTACAAGTTAAAACATAGTCCTCATGGGTGAAGAAAGGTCAGAGCGTACCCTTAGCCTTTGGGCAACCATTGCTTTGAACATAATTAGAGAATGCAAGTATACAGGAAAGTGGTGCCAGCATATAGTTAGTTATATCATGGCATTTCATTAACAACATTTGATAACATTTAAAGATCACAGGGCACATACAAAATGATATGCCTTCTTCCTTTCCATTTTATATCCCCATCCTGGCTGCAGTATGTAGAAAATGAGGGGTGGAAAGAAGGCGATCTAATATATTGGCTCCATCTAGTCCCTGCTCTGTCACGTAACATGTATACATTCATTCAAGGAGATAAAAATTGCCCGAAGTCTCTCTGTCAATACACATGCCATGTTGGGCTGGTGTTCTGAATGTTGAGACTCCAGCAGTCAACAGAACAGGCCTAGAGCCTGGCATCCATGGAGGACACGTTGTAGGACCCAACATTGCTCAGCATTTTGCTGCCATCCCCAAGAGAGTGATGCACAGCTCTTCTCAGGCTCTGAGTTGCGATCATTCTCAGACCTGAGGGGATATTACCTGAAGGCGAGAAGAATGGGATGCAAAAACAGTGACCAGTGACCATGACCTAAGGAAGTGCCATTTACTAATTTAGTATTTTATTGTATAATTCCATGAACTTTTATCTTATAATACAATTTTATTCCTTATTCAAAAACACTGACCTTTTAAAGATCTCACATCTGGGCCACAGAACTTCTGTGAAGGCAAAGGAAGGAGCCTCTTAACCCTTCTTATTACCAGACATGTCATACTCAGGCAGTACACAGCATACAAGGCGCCGTCCAACTCTGAAAAAAAAAAAAAAAAAAAAAGACTGGGAAAGGAAGATGATTGTGTGTAAAATATGTGACACGGAGCACCACCACACAAATGGTTAGTTTCCATGTTTATCACCGGCATGGTGAATGGAGTTCAAAATGTATTCCAAAGCACTTTCTTTTTACTTCCTTCTATGGAAAATCAACTGTACTTGAAAATCATGGTGCATCCCATGGCTAAATAACTCCAAACCCAGGAGGTGGGACTGGGCCCTCTACTTCTCCTTGACATTTGTAACCCAGCTGGGACAAGAAAAGGACAAGGGAGTGGAATAAAAGGACTTCAAAGTTGCAAATTCTGCATCCTTACAGTCAACAGAGATTAAGCTGGAAGTGGCAGGCTTTCGCTCAGGATTGGGGTGGGGATTCAGGTTTTGATGTAGGGTTGGGGGAGGATTTGGAGGCTGACTGAAGACTAACTAGGGATCCAGAGCTACTCCCTCTGTATCAGAGTTGCATATTCTCTTCCAGGCTACCCAGTGAATTTCTTTCTAACTCCACGTGTTTTTTTTGTTTGTTTGTTTGTTTTTTTTTTTTAAAAAACAAAAACATGATAGGCATACAGTTAAATTTACATTTCTAGACCCTTCCTAGACCAACTATCCAACTCTGTGTACATATGTATTCTCATTGAGGAAGGGGACTTAGAAATAATAAGTTTAAATTGGCTTCTAGGGGTCAAGAACAGTGGCTTGCACTTGTAATCACAGCACTTTAGGAAGCCAAGGCAGGTAGATCACTTGAGCCCTGGAGTTTGAGACCAGCCTGGGCAACATGGCAAAACTCCATCTCTATTAAAAATACACAAATTAGCCAGGTGTGGTGGTGCACACCTGTAGTCCCAGCTACTTGGGAAGCTGAGGCAGGACAATCACTTGAGCCTGGAAGGCAGAGGTTGCAGTGAGCTGAGACTGCACCATTGCACTCTAGCCTGTGCAACAGAATGAGATTCTGTCTCAAAAAATAATAATAAAAGTAAAAAATAAACTGACTTCTAGGTACTAATGGAACAGAAATTAAAGAATGTGTGAGCAAAAACTCAGTTATATGTAAGAAAACCCAATTCCCCCCTGAGAAAGAGAAAGAGCTAGAGTCCTTTGAAAATTAACTGCCTGTTTTTCTGTGGCTAGTAAGCCTTATCACTCCTACTTTCCCAGCATGGTGAATATCTTGTTTCTCTAGCTGAGCAGCTGCAAGGTCACTAGACAGATAAACTCAAGTCACAAAACTTGTTTTTCGTTGAAAAGTAAGAAATCATGTAATACATCTCTCAATTAATTGAATAACTGCATTTGTTTCTTGCGTCTGTAATATGCTTCTCTCTGTACAGATCTCCCTCAGCCCCACAAAATACTTAAAAGGTAACTTAACTCTTTGTTCAGGGCTTAGTCCTTTGGATGTTAATCCGACTGGGCCAGTGCAACTAAATAATACATATCCTCCTCCTGAACCCCATCGGTCTCTCTGATTACTTACCAATACCATCACATTTCTGGGAGCTCATCCAGGATTGGAGATTTACTGTCTCCTTTGCCTGTGGGACTAGAGCCCCAGGGCCAGGGGAAACCCAGCATCCAAGGCATGCCATGAGGGAGCTTCACCCAGATGGAAACCAGCTCTCCCCTGATCCCAGTGCCCTGGCCACTAGTGTAATGGAACCAGGGATGGAGCTGCAGGATGATACCAGCACTTCATAAACCATGGTAAGGAGTAAGAGCCCAAGGCAGCAAAGCCCATCCCATAGGGACAAAGGGGAGCCTGATCACCTGTTGGGGACTGACAATTAATCAAAGCTAGAGCATCTGGGGACAGCAGGAATGGCCTGCCAACTTGGATGAACCTCATGTCCCCACTAACAAAATGAAAGTGGTTCATTGGAACTGAAAAAAAGGAGAAAATGGGCCGATAGAGTGGCAAGTGCAGCAAGGCAGAGCTTGCTGTCAGGGTGGCAAGAGTAGCTTGCTACTCCAACTGGGAGTGTGTGGGTGCATGTGAACCTGCCCAGGACACAAAAGAGGCTCATTTAGTCTGATGAGGAGTCCTGCGGTAGGAGTGGTGTGTGTATTTGTGTGAATGTGGGAGTCTAACTGCAGTCAACCAGGACAGAAGAGACTTGTTTCACCCAGTGAGGAGTCCTGGGGCAGGGGAGGTGTGTGAAAGTATGTTAAAGAGATGGTCTCAGGAGAGGCCAACATTGGCAATGATGTGGGGAGGCACAAGTCCTTTAGCACAGGCTGTGTGCTCTGAGGTGAGTGTGGGAAAATCAGACCTAGGACATTGCATACAGGTGATAGGACCAGATCTGCAGCCACAGCAGGCTCTAACAGGAGAATGCATGTTCCTGGCTAAGCAGCATCTGAAACTCCCATAATAGGACCCGGTCTGATGGACCAGAGAGTAAAAGTGACAGTGAAAGTGCGATGCAAGAGAGAAAATGGGAGAGCAAGTGTCAAAACCAACTCCTTTGGAGTGCATGATAAAGAATTTTGAAAAAGCGTTTAGAGATAATTATAGGATAAGACTGGATGTTCCAAAGTTAAGGATATACTGTGAATTAGACTAGCCTTCTTTCAATGTCAGATGGCTGGCTGAAGGCACTACAGAGAAATTGGTCGTGTTTTAAGGTGGTGACTAGGGTTGGAGGATAGCCAGGGCATTCAGACCTAGTCTTCATATAGACTCATGGCTAAATGAATGCAGCATTGCCTAGCAGCTTATTGTAGAATGCTCGCAGCTCACGTTGAGAGAAATCAGCTGCACTGGCAACTACAGAGTTAAAGGGAAAGTCACAGAGGCTTGTAGCACGCAGAGCCAAAAGTGAAAGTAAAAATCAGCTGCCCTGGAAGCTACGGAGACAAAAGAAAAGTCTCAAGAAAGAGAAAACCGGCTTTGCAAGAACTATAGGAGGGAACAGAGACCCCTCCTCCCTACATTCCAATCTACCCCCCTTTACCAAGGCTAACTGCCCCTAAGGAGCTAAATTCAAACAGATACATGCTCCTAGTCTCACTTGAGAAGGAGAAATCAGAGCTCGGGAAGTTGTGAAAGTTTCAAAAAGTCAGGCCATCTCAGTTCTGACCATGCCAATGTTATGCTCATGTCTCTTAAGAGGACAAGGGGACCCCCACTAGGACCCAGATGATGCAGTCCAGCTTCAACACCTACAAAGTGCCAAGAAGTACTTCTGCAAAGGCTAAATGATGGTAAAAGAAAAGGCAACCAATATAAAAAGCTCAGAGGTGCTCCAACATGGAGATAAAAGCATCAGCCAGTGTTATAAAAGATTTTTAACAGCTGGAACTAAGAAATAAAGTACAAGGAAGAAATTCTACAGCTCTTAAATGCCGTATGGGACCCAAAAGAGGTGGCAGTGATGCACTGAAAGGGGCACCAAAAAGCAAGAACACTAAAGGCCAAAGAAAATAGAAAGGCAGACAGGGCAAAGAAAGCTTCAATGACAACTCCACGTTCTAAAGAGAAAGACTTAGCTATGCCTCTCCTCCTGGAGATTCCCCTCCCAGAGATCCCAAGCTACACTCTAGATGAAAAGTTTTGGTTTGGTCAGGAAACAGGGAAATATATTAAAAGTGAACGGTGGCTGTTCTCTGATGGGAGGCTAGCTGCCCCAGAGACAATAGCCCCAGATTTGTAAAATAGTTCCACCAAAGAACACACATTAGAAGCATGATCCTAGAGACTTTGATAGGTTGACATTTCTATGTGTCACAGCTCTCTGCCATCATGCGTGCTGTCTGCAAACAACGTCTATCCTGTGCCTGAAATAATCCAAAACAAGGACCTACTTGGCCCCAGGAGTTCAGGAAACAGAAGCCAGGCCCTGTGAAAAACTGCTGATGGATTTCACAGAATTGCCCTGAAAGGGGGCTATCAGTACCTGTTGGTGTTCATTTGCACCTTTTCAGGATAAGTCGAGGCTTTCCTCACCTGGACAGTGAAGGCACTAGAAGTGACCAAGTTGTTGTTAAGAGACATTATTCCCAGATTTGGACTGCCTCTAACTATAAGATCAGAAAATGGACCAACATTTGTGGCTGAAATAGTTCAGAACTCAACTATTAAAAATAAAGTGGGAGAAGATGGCCGAATAGGAAGAACTCCAGTCTACAGCTCCCAGCATGAGCCATGCAGAAGACGGGTGATTTCTGCATTTCCATCTGAGGTAACGGGTTCATCCATTAGGGAGTGCCAGACAGTGGGTGCAGGTCAGTGGTGTGCCCACCCTGCGTGAGCCAAAGCATGGCGAGGCATTGCCACACTCCAGAAGTGCAAGGGGTGAGGGAGTTCCCTTTCCTAGTCAAAGAAAGGCATGACACATGGCACCTGGAAAATCGGATCACTTCCCAATGGAATATGACCCTTTTCTGATGGGCTTAAGAAAAGGTGCACCAGGAGATTATATCCTGCACCTGGCTCAGAGGGTCCTATGCCTACGAAGTCTTGCTGATTGGTAGCACAGCAGTCTGAGATCAAACTGCAAGGTGGCAGCGAGGCTAGGGGAGGGGTGGCTGCCATTGTCCAGGCTTGCTTAGGTAAACAAAGCAGCCAGGAAGCTCCAACTGGGTGGAGCCCACCACAGCTCAAGGAAGCCTGAGTGCCTCTGTAGGCTCCACCTCTGGGGGCAGGGCACAGACAAACAAAAAGACAGCAGTAACCTCTGCAGACTTAAATGTCCCTGTCTGACAGCTTTGAAAAGAGCAGCGGATCTCCAAGCACACAGCTGGAGATCTGAGAAAGGGCAGACTGCCTCCTCAAGTGGGTCCCTGACACCTGACCCTGAGCAGCCTAACTGGGAGGCACGCCCAGCAGGGGCAGACTGACATCTCACACGGCTGGGTACTCCAACACATCTGCAGCTGAGGGTCCTGTCTGTTAGAAGAAAAACTAACAAACAGAAAGGACATCCACCCCAAAAACCCATCTCTACATCATCATCAAAGACCAAAAGTAGATAAAACCACAAAGATGGGGAAAAACAGAACAGAAAAACTGGAAACTCTAAAAAGCAGAGCTCCTCTCCTCCTCCAAAGGAATGCAGTTCCTCACCAGCAATGGAACAAAGCTGGACAGAGAATGACTTTAATGAGCTGGGAGAAGAAGGCTTCAGATGATCAAATTACTCCAAGCTACGAGAGAAAATTCAAGCCAAAGGCAAAGAAGTTGAAAACTTTGAAAAAAATTTATAAGAATGTATAACTAGAACAACCAATACAGAGAAGTGCTTAAAGGAGCTGATGGAGATGAAAACCAAGGCTCGAGAACTACGTGAAGAATGAAGAAGCCCCAGGAGCCGATGCAATCAACTGGAAGAAAGAGTATCAGTGATGGAAGATCAAATGAATGAAATGAAGCAAGAAGGGAAGTTTAGAGAAAAAAGAATAAAAAGAAATGAGCAAAGCTTCCAAGAAATATGGGACTATGTGAAAAGACTAATTCTACGTCTGATTGGTGTATCTGAAAGAGATGAGGAGAATGGAACCACGTTGGAAAACACTCTGCAGTCTATTATCCAGAACTTCCACAATCTAGCAAGTCAGGCCAACATTAAGATTCAGGAAATACAGAGAATGCCACAAAGATACTCCTCGAGAACAGCAACTCCAAGACACGGAATTGTCAGATTCACCAAAGTTGAAATGAAGGAAAAAATGTTAAGGGCAGCCAGAGAGAAAGGTCGGGTTACCCAAAAAGGGAAGCCCATCAGACTAACATCAGATATCTTGGCAGAAAGTCTACAAGCCAGAAGAGAGTGGGGGCCAATATTCAACATTCTTAAAGAAAAGAATTTTCAACCCAGAATTTCATATCCAGCCAAACTAAGCTTCATAAGTGAAGGAGAAATAAAATACTTTACAGACAAGCAAATGTTGAGAGATTTTGTCACCACCAGGCCTGCCCTAAAAGAGCTCCTGAAGGAAGCACTACACATGGAAAGGAACAACTGGTACAGCCGCTGCAAAATCATGCCAAAATTTAAAGACCATCGAGACTAGGAAGAAACTGCATCAACTAACGAGCAAAATAACCAGCTAACATCATAATGATAGGATCAAATTCACCCATAACAATATTAACTTTAAATGTAAATGGACTAAATGCTCCAATTAAAAGACACAGACTAGCAAATGGGATAAAGAGTCAAGACCCATCAGTGTGCTGTATTCAGGAAATCCATCTCATGTGCAAAGTCACACATAGGCTCAACATAAAAGGATGGAGGAAGATCTACCAAGCAAATGGAAAACAAAAAATGGCAGAGGTTGCAATCCTAGTCTCTGATAAAACAGACTTTAAATCAACAAAGATCAAAAGAGACAAAGAAGGCCATTATATAATGGTAAAGGGATCAATTCAACAAGTAGAGCTAACTATCCTAAATATATATGCACCCAATACAGGAGATCCCAGATTCATAAAGCAAATCCTGAGTGACCTACAAAGAGACTTAGACACACACACATTAATAATGGGAGACGTTAACACCCCACTGTCAACATTAGACAGATGAACGAGACAGAAAGTCCACAAGGATACCCAGGAATTGAACTCAGCTCTGCACCAAGCAGACCTAATAGACATCTAGAGAACTCTCCACCCCAAATCAACAGAATATACATTTTTTTTCTGCACCGCACAACACCTATTCCAAAATTGAACACATACTTGGAAATAAAGCTCTCTTCAGCAAATGTAAAAGAACAGAAATTATAACAAACTATCACTCAGACCACAGTGCAATCAAACTAGAACTCAGGATTAAGAAACTCATGCAAAACCACTCAATACATGGAAACTGAACAACCTGCTCCTGAATGACTACTGGCGACATAACGAAATGAAGGCAGAAATAAAGATGTTCTTTGAAACCAACGAGAACAGACACACAACATACCAGAATCTCTGGGATGCATTCAAAGCAGTGTGTAGAGGGAAATTTATAGCACTAAATGCCCCCAAGAGAAAGCAGGAAAGATCCAAAATTGATACCCTAACATCTCAATTAAACGAACTAGAAAAGCAAGAGCAAACACATTCAAAAGCTAGCAGAGGGCAAGAAATAACAAAAATCGGAGCAAAACTGAAGGAAATAGAGACACAAAAACTCTTCAAAAAATTAATGAATCCAGGAGCTGGTTTTTTGAAAGGATCTAAAAAATTGATAGTCTGCTAGCAAGACTAATAAAGAAGAAAAGAGAGGAGAATCAAATAGACACAATAAAAAATGATAAAGGGGATATCACCACTGATCCCACAGAAATACAAACTACCATCAGAGAATACTACAAACACCTCTATGCAAATAAACTAGAAAATCTAGAAGAAATGGATAAATTCCTCGACACATACACTCTCCAAAGACTAAACCAGGAAGAAGTTGAATCTCTGAATAGACCAATCACATGAGCTGAAATTGTGGCAATAATCAATAGCTTACCAACCAAAAAGAGTCCAGGACCAGATGCATTCACAGCCAAATTCTACCAGAGGTACAAGGAGGAACTGGTACCATTCCTTCTGAAACTATTCCAATCAATAGAAAAAGAGGGAATCCTCGCTAACTCATTTTATGAGGCCAGCATCATCCTGACACCAAAGCCAGGCAGAGACACAACCAAAAAAGAGAATTTAAGACCAATATCCTTGATGAACATTGAAGCAAAAATCCTCAATAAAATACTGGCAAACCAAATACAGCAGAACATTAAAAAGCTTATCCACCATGAACAAGTGGGCTTCATCCCTGGGATGCAAGGCTGGTTCAATATATGCAAATCAATGAATGTAATCCAGCATATAAACAGAACCAAAGACAAAAACCACATGATTATCTCAACAGATGCAGAAAAGGCCTTTGACAAAATTCAACAATGCTTCATGCTAAAAACTCTCCATAAATTGGGTATTGATGGGAAGTATCTCAAAATAATAACAACTCTCTATGACAAACCCACAGCCAGTATCATAGTGAATGGGCAAAAACTGGAAGCATTCCCTTTGAAAACTGGCACAAGACAGGGATGCCCTCTCTCACCACTCCTATTCAACATAGTGTTGGAAGTTCTGGCAAGGGCAATTAGGCAGGAGAAGGAAATAAATGGTACTCAATTAGGAAAAGAGGAAGTCAAATTGTCCCTGTTTGCAGACGACATGATTGTATATCTAGAAAACCCATTATCTCAGCCCAAAATCTCCTTAAGCTGATAAGCAACTTCAGCAAAGTCTCAGAATACAAAATCAATGTACAAAAATCACAAGCATTCTTATACACCAACAACAGACAAACAGAGAGCCAAATCATGAGTGAACACCCATTCACAATTGCTTCAAAGAGAATAAAATACCTAGGAATCCAACTTACAAGGGATGTGAAGGACCTCTTCAAGGAGAACTACAAACCACTGCTCAATGAAATAAAAGAGGATACAAACAAATGGGAGAATATTCCATGCTCATGGGTAGGAAGAATCAATATCGTGAAAATGGCCATACTGCCCAAGGTAATTTACAGATTCAATGCCATCCCCACCAAGCTACCAATGACTTTCTTCACAGAATTGGAAAAAACTACTTTAAAGTTCATATGGAACCAAAAAAGAGCCCACATCACCAAGTCAATCCTAAGCCAATGAACAAAGCTGGAGGCATCACACTACCTGACTTCAAACTATACTACAAGGCTACAGTAACCAAAACAGCATGCTACTGGTACCAAAACAGAGATATAGATCAATGGAACAGAACAGAGCCCTCAGAAATAACACTGTATATCTACAACTATCTGATTTTTGACAAACCTGAAAAAAACAAGCAATGGGGAAAGGATTCCCTTTTTAATAAATGGTGCTGGGAAAACCGGCTAGCCCTATGTAGAAAGCTGAAACTGGATCCCTTCCTTACACCTTATACAAAAATCAATTCAAGATGGATTAAAGATTTAAACATTAGACTGAAAACCATAAAAACCCTAGAAGAAAACCTAGGCATTACCATTCAGGACATAGGCATGGGCAAGGACTTCATGTCTAAAACACCAAAAGCAATGGCAACAAAAGACAAAATTGACAAATGGGATCTAACTAAACTAAAGAGCTTCTGTACAGCAAAAGAAACTACCATCAGAGTGAACAGGCAACCTGCAAAATGGGAGAAAATTTTCGCAACCTACTCATCCGACAAAGGGCTAGTATCCAGAATCTACAATGAACTCAAACAAATTTACAAGAGAAAAACAAACAACCCCATCAAAAAGTGGGCAAAGGACATGAACAGACACTTCTCAAAAGAAGACATTTATGCAGCCAAAAAACACATGAAAAAATGTTCATCATCACTGGCCATCAGAGAAATGCAAATCAAAACCACAATGAGATACCATCTCACACCAGTTAGAATGGCAATCATTAAAAAGTCAGGAAACGATAGGTGCTGGAGAGGATGTGGAAAATAGGAACACTTTTACACTGTTGGTGGGACTGTAAACTAGTTAAACCATTGTGGAAGTCAGTGTGGCTATTCCTCAGGGATCTAGAACTAGAAATACCATTTGACCCAGCCATTCCATTACTGGGTATATACCCAAAGGATTATAAATCATGCTGCTATAAAGACACATGCACACATATGTTTATTGCGGCATTATTCACAATAGCAAAGACTTGGAACCAACCCAAATGTCCAACAATGATGGACTGGATTAAGAAAATGTGGCACATATACACCATGGAATACTATGCAGCCACAAAAAATGATGAGTTCATGTCCTTTGTAGGGACATGGATGAAATTGGAAATGATCATTCTCAGCAAACTATCACAAGGACAAAAAACCAAACACCGCATGTTCTCACTCATAGATGGGAATTGAACAATGAGAACACATGGACACAGGAAGGGGAACATCACACTCTGGGGACTGTTGTGGGAGTTGGGGGAGGGGGGAGGGATAGCATTGGGAGATATAACTAATGCTAGATGACGAGTTAGTGGGTGCAGCGCACCAGCATGGCACATGTATACATATGTAACTAACCGGCATATTGTGCACATGTACCCTAAAACTTAAAGTATAATAATAATAAATAAATAATAAAATTAAAAAAAAAAATAAAAAAAGATAAAAAATAAAAAATAAAAAATTTAAAAAAAAAAATAAAGTGGTAAAAACATACAGCCTACAGGCCACAGAGCTCAGGTAAAGTGGAGTGCATGAACCAGACACTCAAACAGCTGCTGAAGAAATTTTGTCAAAAGACTCGTCAAAAGTAGGATCAGATCTTGCCCATGGTCCTCCTCCAAGTCAGGTGCACCCCCATCAAACAAACTTGGTATTCGTCCTATGAGATTTTTTTCAGCCAGTCACCTGCCATCATAAATCAGATTAAAGGTAATCTCTGTAAACTAGGAGAACTAACTTTAAAAAGTCACATGCAGGCTTTAAATATGGCCATGGAAAAGATGCATGGATAAGTATTGAAAAGAATGTCTAAGGCTGGGCGCAATGGCTCACACCTGTAATGCCAACACTTTGGGGGGCCAAGGCAGTGCCCCTACCACTAGTGAATGCCTTCTCATCCCCTCTTTCAATCACTCTATCAAATGGTTCCTATTGGATACAAATTTTTTTTTTCTCCAGTGGGAAGATAGAACACAGGGAGCCACTCAGTTTGCTCCCAACACCCCTTTCCAGCCACTCACTGGAGTTACCTTAGCAAGTACTCTAGGATTATGGGAAAATGAAAACAACAAACTCACATACCTTTTTAACATACATAACCAGTTCTGTCTACCCAGCCAAGGCATATTCTTCTTATGTGGAATGTTGACCTATATCTGCCTCCCCACTAACTGGACAGGCACCAGCACCTTAATCTTTCTAAGTCCTAACATTAACATTGCCCCAGGAAATCAGACCTTATCAGTACCCCTCAAAGCTCAAGTCCATCAGCGCAGAGCCATACAACTAATACCCCTACTTACAGGGTTAGGAATGGCTACTGCTACAAGAACCGGAATAGCTAGTCTATCAACTTCATTATCCTACTACCACACATTCTCAAAGGATTTCTCAGACAGTTTGCAAGAAATAACGAAATCTATTCTTACTTTACAATCCCAAACAGACTCTTTGGCAGCAGTGACTCTCCAAAATTTCTGAGGCCTAGACCTCCTCACTGCTGAGAAAGGAGGGCTCTGCACCTTCTTAGGGGAAGAGTGTTGTTTTTGCACTAAGAGTTGGGGATAGTATGAGATGCTGACCAGCATTTACAGGAAAAGGATTCTGAAATCAGACAACGCCTTTCAAATTCTTATACCAACCTCTGGAGTTGGGCAACATGGCTTCTCCCCTTTCTAGGTTCTGTGGCAGCCATCTTACTGTTACTCACCCTTGGGCCCTGTATTTTTAACCTTCTTGTCAAATTTGTTTCCTCTAGAATCAAGGCCATCAAGCTACAGATGGTCTTACAAATGGAACCCCAAATGATTTCAACTAACAACTTCTACTGAGGACCCCTGGACCAACCCACTGGCACTTCACCTGGCCTGGAGAGTTCCCCTCTGAAGGACACCACAACTGCAGGGCCCATTCTTCACCCCTATCCAGCAGGAAGTAGCTAGAGCGGTCATCGGCCAAATTCCCAACAGCAATTGGGGTGTCCTGTTTAGAGGGGGGATTGAGAGGTGATAGCATGCTGGCAGTCCTCAGGGCCCTCGCTTGCTCTTGGCACCTCCTCTGCCTGGTCTCCCACTTTGGTGGCACTTGAGGAGCCCTTCAGCCTGCTGCTGCACTGTGGGAGCCCCTTTCTGGGCTGGCCAAGTCTGGAGCCCACTCCCTCAGCTTGCAGGGAAGTGTGCAGGGAGAGGCATGAGTGGGAACTGGGGCTGCCTGTGGCGCTTGCAGGCCAGCTGGAGTTCTGGGTGGGTGTGGGCTTGGCAGGCCCCACACTTGGAGAGGCCAGCCAGCCCTGCTGGCCCCGGGCAGTGAGGGGCTTAGCACCTGGGCCAGCGGCTGCGGAGGGTGTACTGGGTCCCCCAGCAGTGCCAGCCCACTGGCGCTGTGCTCGATTTCTCACTGTGTCTTAGTTGCCTTCCCATGGGGCCGGCCTTGGGACTGCAGCCAGCCATGCCTGAGACTTCCCCCGCCTCCATGCATTCCTGTGCAGCCCAAGCCTCCCTGATGAATGCCACCCCCTGCTCCACGGTGCCCAGTCCCATCGACCACCCAAGAGCTGAGGAGTGCAAGAGCATGGTGTGGGACTGGTGAAGCCAGCTGGGCTCCTTAGTCTGGTGGGGATGTGGAGAGTCTTTCTATCTAGCTCAACAACTCCAGACACACCACCTTAAGAGCTGTAACACTCACCGCGAAGGTCTGCAGCTTCACTCCTGAGCCAGCGAGACCACGAACCCACCAGAAGGAAGAAACTCTGAACACATCTGAACATCAGAAGGGACAAACTCCAGATGTGCCACCTTAAGAGCTGTAACACTCACCACGAGGGTCCGCGGCTTCATTCTTGAAGTCAGTGAGACCAAGAACCCACCAATTCTGGACACACAACCACCCTAGGACCCATATAGGAGAGGCCCATTTTGTGATGTCTACTCCCACTGCTCTTAAAGTTGCAGGTGTCACACCTTGGATGCACCATAGTTGGCTGAAACCAGTGGCAGCAGTGACTCCTGATGATGACCAGTGGATTAGCCAACAAGACCCAGATCACCCCACCCCAATAGTCCTACAGCAAAACCCAACCACCAGTAAGAAGGACAACTGCCCTGCTCTAACCACACCAGAGGGTGGTCAGTCTACGCATGGCTGAAGCTTGAGGATCCTGCAAGCTCTGCTCTAGTCACATCCCAGAAGCTAACTAGTCTACGTACAGATGAAGCTAAAAGGACCATCTCTGGATAAGTAAATGTAAATACAATTTATAAGTGTAATTATAATTCTGTCAATACTGATTGTTCTGTTGTTATTACTGCAAATGCTGCAAACGTCTATGCCCAGAGGAAGGTTTGTCATGCCCATGTGTAGCGTAAGAATATTTCTATTACATATACTAATGTTCTTACCATTTCTGCCTATACTAAAAAAGGAGAAATCTCTAGAAGGATGCCCACACTGTGTACATACTACCTGGGTAAGGAATATCACAGTTAAAACTGTACTGTACCATACCTACTATGAACGTACAGGAACAAAGTTAGGAACCTGCACATACAACCAAACCACCTATTCAGTCTGTGACCCAGAAAGTAATCAGCTATATGCATGGTATGACCCTAAGCACTTACCCTGTGAATTCTGGATTGGGGTACATATTAAATCAGAGAGATAAAAAGAAAGAGAGCATATAGCTCAAAACAAAGAAGGCCCTCCATCCTATAAAAGATCTACTTCCTTGCACTTTGATGCCTGCCATGCCAAATATGTTCATAATCATAAAAAGCCAGAAGCAGTCTGCAATGGTTTAACACAAGAGAGGCTTAGCAAAAGCAGCCCTAAACATCTGTACTGAGAACCACAAATAGGATGCCCAGACTGTAACATTCAGTGTTCTGTGCTGACACAGCTCCAACATTTATATTCAGGAACGACTACTCTGCTAAGTAGTATGTCAACCAAACCAAATTGTAAGACAAGGACATGCAATCCTTTAAATTTTACTGTCTTAAAGCCAGAGCTACCTTTTTGGTCTACAGGACAGACAGCACTATTACGAGTTGATAGACAAGCAGCAGGCCTTGGAGTTCCATTACTGATTGTCAAAAAGACTAGAAGGACTCAAATGCATCCAAACCTGCAATTCCAGGTTGATAAGTCATTCTATAAGCAGTTTGATCAGTCAGTGCCTGAGCTTCCCCCATCAACCAAAAACTTATTTGCTCAAAGTGAAAACAAAACTGACAGCTTAAGAATTTCGTCATGCTATGTATGTGGACGAACTAATATGGGGGACCAGTGGCCATAGGAGGCAAAATAATTAATGCCACAAGACAACTTCACTTCGCCTAACCTTGCCAGAGAACCAACAGCCTCAGCTAGTGTTTGGTTGTTAAAAACCTCCGTAATGGGAAAATACCATATTGCCCATTGGGGAAAGGCTTTCACAGAGGCAGTAGGAAAAACCAACCTGCCTAAGGCAACAGTATTATAATGAGACTAAAAACAAAACTGTATGAAGAAATGCCCAGAACAACTCCTACTTAGCAGATCCAAACCCTTTCTCTTGGTTCTCTACTCTAAGCCACTCTTGGCATCAGCTAGAGTCTCCAAATGCTTGGAAAGCACCCTCTGGCCTATCTTGGGTCTGTGGAGCATGGGCATATTGGCAACTGCTGGCTAAATGGACAGGGGCCTGTGTGTTAGAAACAATCAAGCAATCCCTCTTTCTAATTCCTCTAAAGCAAGGGGAACTCTTAGGGTATCCAGTTTATGATGAAAAATAATAGAAGAAACATAATCACAAAAATAGACACAAATATCAAAAAGATGTGGATAGAGAAGACTGGAAAGAGAATAAATGACTCCTGAAAAAAATATTAAATACTATGGGCCAGCTACCTGGTTGCAAGACGGGTCATGGGGTTACCGCAGCCCAATCTATATGCTGAACTGCATCATAAGTTTGCAGGCAGTCCTTGAAATTATAACCAATAAAACATCAAGGGCACTAAATTTGTTGGCAGTACAAGCAAGACAAATGAGAAATGCTATACATCAAAATAGATTAGCTTTAGATTATTAACTCTTAGCCCTAGAGGAAGGAGTATGTCGCAAATTTAATTTAACCAACTGTTGCCTAGAGATCAGTAATAATGGCCGAGCTGTCATGAAAATCACAGCTAGAATGCACAAGCTGGCCCATGTCCCTGTTCAGACTTGGTCCGGATGGTCCCCAGATTTCTTGTTTGGAGGATGGTTCTCAATCATGGGAGGATTCAAAACCCTCATTGGTGGGTTTTTGTTTATTCTTGTCATCTGCCTCATCCTCCCTTGCCTTTTACCCCTGCTTATTAGGAGTAATCAGTCCACTATAGAGGCAATAGTAACCTGACACACTACCAAGCAATTGATGGCATCAAACAAATATCAGTCATTGCCTGTAGAATAAGAAGCTCAGCTCCATGAAGAGGTGGCAAACAGTGGTGCTTTCAATTAACACCTTTGTTATAAAAAGCACCAAAGGGGGGAATGGAACAGGAATTAAAAGAAATTAAAGAATGTGTAAGCAGAAACTCACTTGTATGTAAGAAAATTCAGTTCCCCTTGAGAAAAAGAAAGAGCTGGAGTCCTTTAAAAATTAACTGTCTGTTTTTCTGTGGCTAGTGAGCCTTATCTCTCCCTTTCCCAGGCATTGTGAAGACCTTGTTGCTCTAGCTGAGCAACTGGAAGGTCACTAGACAGATAAACTCAAGTCATAAACCATGTTTATCCTTGAAAAGTAAGAAATGATGTAATGCATGTCTCAATTAATTGAATAACCATCTTTGTTTCTCGCTTCTGTAATGCTTCCCTCTGCACAGATCTCCCCCAGCCCCACAAAATGCTTAAAGGTAACTTAACTCTTTGTTCAGGCTTAACTCTTTGTTCATCCATTGATTAACATCACTGGATGTTAATCAGACTGGGCCAGTGTACCTAATAATTTATTATTTATTATTATTATTAATTATTATATTATTATATTATTTATTATTAATATAATTTATTATTTTTAGTGTAGCTAAATAATAAACTAAATGAATAATAACTAACTAACTAACTAAATAATTTATTATTTAGTGTACCTAAATAATAAATAACCTCCTGAACCCCATTGGTCTCTCTGATTCCTTATCAATCCTGCTACACTGTCACTGTTCAAAGATGAGTGTACATTGATGGCCACCTATGTCAGTTTTCTTGATGGGTTGACAGCACCAACAGTTTTGTTTGGTTTAAATGGGAAATCATGGTTGTTTCCATTAATGCTGTCAACCTAAGTGGTGTGCAGTGTTTCAGTTTCCTGAAACTCAACATGTTCAAATGCCTAAAATGGAACTTATCCCTATTCTGAGGCCTCACGGCTTCCTCTAATCTCAACTTCTGGACAAGTCACTGCTATTCACCTGCCTTCTCCCTCCCATCCCTCTATGCCTAGCTGTCAGCTGAACGGCCTCTGAATCAACCTCTTCTCTTCCTTTCATTCCAACCCCACAGGTCCTTGTAGTCAGTTGAAGGGTGGCTCCCAAAAATACATGTCCATGTCCTAATGCCCAGGGCCTGAGAATTGTACCATATTTGAAAAAAAGACCTTGCAGATGTGATTAAATGAAGGATCTGGAGATGGGCAGTCTGTATCATCCTGGTGGGCCCAACATCCAATGGCAGGGGTCCTTATTTAGAGGAGACAAAAGGAGAGAAGAGAAGGCCATGTGGAGCTGAGATAAAGTAATTTCCTGTTGTTTTAGGCCCCCCAGTTTGTAGGATACTCATGCAGTTCTTCTATCATTCACCTAGACAATAGCAACAGTGTTCAGTCTCCAGTGTCTAAGCCCCAACAGTCCACATCTTCAGAAGCACCCTTCTAGAAATCATGTGCTCACCAGGCTCTATGATGGGTACGAGATAAAATCTGAATTCCTTAGCCTGGCACAAGGCTCGCTGTCCTCTGGCCTTGGCAGGCATGTCGACCTATGCTCCACCTCTCACCAAGTCCTTTTGTCCTGAAATACCCTTAGCCCTTCCTCCTCCACCTCACTGACTCCCCAACCCTACTGATGGCTCATTTGGGATTCATGTGCTCTGCTGTGAAGCATGTCCAACTGGCCAACTTCCTTTTCCTGGCTCCCAAGGAAATCGAGTCATCTCTAGCAGATGAATGATGATAATGTAGAAGAACAGATCATGTCCAGCTCCCCCTGTACAAGTTACAGGACACCAGCCTGCAGTCCCCTGAAGAAGAGGGATGATGATGTATTCATTTGACTCAGTTGTCTCAGTATCTGGCAGTTGGTGGACTTGCTGTGAAGTCAGTCAGGTTCATGAATTGAAGGAAAACCTTGAACATCTCAACCTCTCCTCCAGAGCCCTCATAGATCCACCTTATGCTTTTCTTAAATTCTTTTTGAACTTAAAATTCTCTCCCCAAATTCTCCACAGCAGAAAGTGCCACCTGCCTTCAGCCATCTGAATGGAGCCACCTAAATGCTGGGAATATTAAGCCATTTATTTTAACTACATCTAGTGCTTTGCTAACTGTATTGCTAAATGACTTGAGGTGGGCAACTTTAAAGGCTTTTATCAGGCTGCTGTCAGCACAGCAAGGTCAGCATAACTGATTTAACAAGAGGAGGACTGAGATAAGGCTAGAGCTTCTGATGAGGCTCCCATGAGTGGAGGAATACCAGGTTCTTTGTCTCGAGTCAAATTAGAAAAAATGACATGGACATATGTGGAGCAGTTTTAAGAAGCTGAGAGTTTATGTGCCACATTTTCTTAATCCAGTCTATCACTGATGGACATTTGGGTTGGTTCCAAGTCTTTGCTATTGTGAATATACACCACGGAACACTATGTGGCCATAAAAAATGATGAGTTCATGTCCTTTGTAGGAACATGGATGAAGCTGAAAACCATCATTCTCAGCAAACTATTGCAAGGACAGGAAACCAAACACCGCATGTTCTCACTCATAGGTGGGAATTGAACAATGAGAACACTTGGACACAAGCAAGGGAACATCACACACTGGGGCCTGTTGTGGGGTGGGGTAGGGGGGAGGGATAGCATTAGGAGATATACCTAATGTGAATGACGAGTTAATGGGTGCAGCACACCAACATGGCACATGTATACATATGTAACAAACCTGCACGTTGTGCACATGTACCCTATAACTTAAAGTGTAATAAAAATAAATAAATAATAAATAAATAAATAAATAAATAATAAAAAATATAAAAGAAGCTGAGAGTTTACCAGGCAAGAAAAAATGGAAGAAGTCAAAAGGAAGACGCTCCCCCGTAAAGAGACAGTGAGAGGGGAGCTCCAAAGCTGAAAGAGGAGACCCTAAGTGGTGTGGAAACCAGCCAGGTATATAAAAAGGCTGGAGGAGGTAGTGTTTGATTTGGAAGGGTGCAGGGGATTGGTTTGATCAGGCAAGTCAATCACGTAGCCCTCGAAAAAACCGGCCCTCACACCCTAGCCTTTTAATATGCAAATGCAGGGTAGCATGATGTTCTACAGGAGTGGGGATATGTGGGGGCAAAGGCAAGAGGACAATGGTGGGAATCACTGCATTGGGTGGACCCAGTTTCTAATGGCCAGCATTTGCATATCAAAAGTTGCCTGTGGGTTCTAAGGGCCTGGACTTTCCTCATAGACAAGAAACATTTTTTGGAGCTGTTTTAAAAGAAATGGAAACTTTTACTCTCTATCTGCCCAAAATAATTTCTTAAAAATTTCTACCACAGTTCCAGAAAGGAACAAGTCATGGAGCCACAACTGGGAATAACTCACATATTTGCATTAAGAATGCAGAAGCAATACCCAGGAAAGGGCAACAATGAGAACACACAAAATCCAAGGTCGTTTTGATCCACATGAACAATGCTTCTCTCAGAAAGTACTTAAGGGCCAGTCTGTTACCAAATTTGTTTGACAAAGGAATCTAGGAAAATACACCAGGAGAAAAAAATCCAAAAACATGCTGGTGAAGTCTACCCTCTCACCAAAGCTACCTTTATCCAAGTACACCTGGGCCCCAGAACTGCACAATTTCACCCTCATGAGCACCAAAACCCTACAGCCACCACTGATCTCCCTTCAGTTAAGCAGCAGAACTGCACGTGGTAAAGGTTCTCAGCAAATATTGCTGTTAGATCAGAAAAAGGCCTGAGAGCCTAAAGCAGGAAATGACAGCTGGGATGACACACAAGTGGCTTTGAAATGTTTATAAATAAGGAGGTTTTTTGGAAGGTGTGGGTAGGGATGGCAAGGGGTTGAAGATTGGAAGATAAATCCTGGCTTCTCTTTTGGGGCTTTTGGGGTTAGCTGCCCGGTGTAGAATTCAGGAAAAGGGCAGATCTGACAGAGAACTAGAAGCCCCATTTAAAATACAATGCTTCAGAGTGGCCTCTGGGCCAAGTAGGCAGGAAGAGCCTGTGGTCACTGGGAAACATACATTTTAACTAAAAAGAGATGAGACCCAGCCAGGGAGGTCAAGAGGTCATCAGTGCAGAGGCGTGTGCCGAAACCATGAGCTCGGAAGAGGTCTCCGCAAGAGGAGAGTGCCCACAACAAAACCACAGAGAGGCCACACAGGCACCAGTAGGAAGAGAAAGTGATGAGGAAGCCGGAAGAGGAATTACCCGAGAAAGATTTCCAAGGAGGATTAGGAAGCAGCAAAGAACCTGGGACATTTAAGAAAAGAGTACCCTCTGCAACTAACATGCACATCACTGCTACCTACGTCAGAACAATTTTTGTAAGTGTTAAGGCCAAAAATCCAGCTCACAGTGAGGGAAGGGAAAACAGGGAGTGAGTTCCGCAAACAGAGCCCACTTTAGCAACAAGCCTGGATGAGAATGAAGGCAGAGAGACAAGCAAGTTTCAAAACACATCCTTAAAATCAGGACACTCACTAGTCCCAGCCAGCAGAAACAATAAGCATGGCAACGGGTACATGGCATTTATTACTCTATATTATAGTGTGATCATATAAAGATGTTAACTTCTTCAGGCTTCTTAACTTCTTCACAGAAGTCCTGTCCACAGAATGCAGCCTCTCAATCATTGATGAGTACAGCCTCTCAATCATTGTAGAGACTCTCAATTATTGATGAGATGAATTTAACCACTAGATGTCAGCCAGTGGGTCTTTTAGTATCTACAATTGTACCTGTACCTGTGAGGGCTGGCACAAGTATGAACAAAGGGTACCAAGACTACCAGTAATTGTAAGTAATAAAGTGCCCAGGAGTAAAAGTTAGAGGTGCTGGATTTTCACTGGGCTTTTCCAACTATTAATAGCTCCCCAGGTTGGCCTGACTCAATTCTAAATCTCAAATTTGATCACAATTTCAGTTGAAAAGCTTGACATGTAAGAATACCACATCAAAAGCTGATGAATAGTCAGCAAAATGCCAGTACTAAACGCAGGGGTGCAAATCACAAAAAGTAAGCTAGTCTGCTTACAGGTATTGTAATCATAAAAACCACCATTAATTTAGCACCAACCTAAATAGTAGTCATACAAAAAGAAAAAGCAGATATAAGTATCTACTTACCCAAAGAAATGCTTTATGTTAAGATAAACAAGGCAAATAAAGAGATGCAGAAAGAAAATAATGCACTTAAGTACTATATAGAAATCAGCAAAATGTTTAGTATTTAATAAAATACATGATTAGTTGAGGCTAGAACAGAAATGTGTGTAACACTTTGCTGCACTAAAAGTTTCTACAATAATCAAATCATCTTCTTTTTAAAAAGGAAAGGTTAAAAGGTTTCCAAGCTACTGCAATTGATGTAAATAAGGGAGAGAACACTGTGTATGAACAGGTAACCTCCAGGGCTCTAATGGCAGGGATACAACTGGGTCCAAGAGAAAATACATGAGATGTGGGCAGCACTTCCGGAAGTCATTTCATCGCATCACTCAGTTCAAGCTCCGACCTCCAGTTTCCTAAGACCTTAGTAGCCTTAGAGTAAAAAGGGATGACACAGACCCAGTAGGCAGAAGTCTACTGAGAGATGCAGTGAGAGCCCAGTCACAGGAGCCCCTCGGGATCAGCTATAAGGCTACTTAGGAACATTATCTGTCATGTCTCATCAGCATATGACATAACACACAGGTTCCAGTGGCTACTCTTTGAAGAATTTTAGAAACTTTTATTCCTTTTTTAGGCACGATGCCAACAAAATATCAGCTTCCAATTAAGACATCAAAAGACAATGTTTTTGACATCTGTCTCCTAATCCTGTAGACATCTGTCTATAAATCTGCACTATGACAGAAAGACAAGGAACTGAAAAATGAGCACCATAAAATAGTACTCTTTATTTATAATATTTTCTGCTATAAGACACTTCTACAAGAAATATATTGCCACCATAATGTTCAAGAGAGCTGAAGGTTCTGGAACTGATTCTTTTATATCTCTAACATGAATCTTCTAAAGATGCATGTTTACATTCTTGTCTCTTAAACAGAATTAACTGATTATTACTTAATATTACTTTTGGGGCTGTTTTTAGTGGCTCATACTTAAGACTTCATTTTCCCTGTCCTATTTAACTTTTCAGGTATAAAGAAGAGTCAATAGTAGCATAGGAAACATCTATATACCCTATACCTGCATGCAACACACCTGAAACTATACAGATGCCATACTCTTCATTCCTCTAGCTCTCTGCATGTTTCTCCGAAGAATGATACTCTCTTACACAGCCTTAATACCACTGCCAAACCCAGGCAAATCAGCAATATTTCATTGTAACCTCTAAACACTCAGCACACATTGCAGCTGTCCAATTGTGACAAAAATCTCTTTTATAGATATTTTTCCCCAATCTAAGGTCCAATGAATTTTAGCCTCTTTTAAGGTGGAAAAACCAGTTCCTACTTTTTCCCCATGATAGTCAACATATTCAAGGATCCAGGCAAGGTAGCTGGTGGAAAATCCTACATTCGGGATTTATCTTGCTGTTTCCACATGATGCCACCTTCCATATTCCTCTACCCCTTTGAAACTCCTAGAGGTCCAAATGGATTCAGGTTAACCATTTCTGAGGTCACTTCAGAAAGCACACATGACATGACATGCTGCTTTCTGGATGGCAAAGCTACATCAGTTGGGCCACAGGGTCAATTGTGGCCCCCAGAGCTGCCCGCTCTGAAGGCCCCTGTTTGCCTCTGTTATCAGTCAGTGACTTGTGGCATGGCACTGCGGGCACCTTCATCTCCTGCATGATTACTCTATGGTTTTGGCTTCCACTGACAATGCTTGTAGAAACCACTTACAGTCGGGATCCCAAAATGGTGAACTGGCTAATTCTGTCCATACTTATTAACTGGCATTCCTCTGTCAAAGAGTTCACCCCCAGCCACGCTTTTTCTCTCTTTTCTTTTGAGAATCATAATACAGAGTCTCCTTTTAAAAAAATAGAGTATTATCCTCTCTTCTGGTCATTCTTTTGATTACAAATGGTTCATATTGTGCCAGTGGGACCCCCCACTGCATCCTGGCATGAGAAGGTGCTCATGCTCATGTAGTATTTTACTGGCCCTGGACCCTACAATCAGCCACATCTCCCCAAGGCCTGTGTTCCTTTCATTGGGCACGATGATTCCAAATGAATGATTTAATCTATTTTAAGCCCTCATGAGTATACCTGTATCACTTTGTGTGAAGTAGCCTAACAAATTGTGCAGAATGTAGGACCCCATTGACAAATATGCATCTTAGACTGAAACATTAAGTTTACTTTTCAAAAGCAGACAAAGCATAGGCAACTGCATTTGCTCTTGTTAACTCTGTGCTTTCTCAGGCATCGTGTGCCGAAGCCGTGAGTGTCCTTCGATCTCATGAGCAAACACCAAAGAGATTGTGGCATGTGTTCTCATACAGGGAGAAACAGAGCTGCATGGCTGCTGTATCCCACTGCATAGAACAGTGGAACCCATGCACATGAAACCTATTAGGTTCCTGTGAGTGCCCTCTCTTCAAAGGGTGCACAGCATGGCTCATCTCTTTCCCCGGCTGCCTACTCTTCCTGCCTTAGGGTTCTGGCCATCTACATACACAGGCAATTTGCCTAGTACTTTTAACTTGTCTCACAGGCCCTGTACTTCTCACTAAAAAGTTCCATGCACCACCATAAGAGAGGAGTCTGCTCACCAGCTTTCCTGGGGGCAACTCTCCTCTGCAGGGCTGAGGATAGCGTGAAGGTATTGAACCTATATAGACCTAATAGAAACATCTCTCTAAAAAGGTGAGGAAGGGGTGCAGCACTATTCTTGACAGAGGCGGCTGACCTGTGTCCAACCAAAGCACTATGCATAATTTCTAGATTAGAGGAAATACAGGGGACAGAAGAACAAGTAAGGTGGTATGATGTGGAAAAAAACAAATCCAGAAATTTGGATGGTGTCACGATAACCATCCTAGACTCTTCCAAAAGTCACTGGGTAAAACACCAGGATGTGGTGAGATTTTCAGTTTAAAATAGGCTAAAAGGATCTTACCAATGGGAGCTCTGTTGATCTCAGCCTGACAGAGATTAGTCTAGTATGTCTCTCTCTCTCTCTGTCTCTTTTTTTTTTTTGGAGACAGACTCCAGCATTGTATCCCAGGCTGGGGTGCACAATCTCAGCTCACTAAAACCTCTGCCTCCCAGACTCAAGTGATTCTCGTGCCTCAGCCGCCCAAGTAGCCGGGATTACAGGCGTGCGCCACCACGCCCAGATAATTTTTGTATTTTTAATAGAGACAGAGTTTCACCATGTTGGCCAGGCTGGTCTCGAACTCCTGGCCTCAGGTGATCCACCCAACTTGGCCTCCCAAAGTGTTGAGATTACAGGCTGCCCAGACCTAGTCTCAAATTTCCTGATGAAACATTGGATAGAGATTTCTAATCTCTACCTGCCAGACACTGCTCAAAAGAGATGTGAAGAGGAGCTACACAGATGGTCCATTTATACAAACCCAAGGGGAAAACAAACTCTTCCTTCTTGTGCTCTTGCACAGGAAAAAAATGCATGTATCAGGATTATTGTTTTCAAATCTCTTTTCACCTCCACAATTTAATGAAATCATTAGCAACATATTTTTTTCTTTTTTAATACAATCTTTGCTTGATTAAAAAAAATCATTCTCTTCTGTGCTTTAGAAATGATGCCTATGGCTTTGCCATTTCTCCTGGTCTAGAATATCTATTTCTCTTCTTGACTCCCATCTATCCTTGACAGTATGCTACCCACAACATGATTTCAGTTCAAAATTCTGCTCTGTCACTAACACATTCTTATTGTGTAAATCACCAGCAATTGTTCACAGATTTTACCAATCATGTTTCAGATTCCAGCAAGACTCTAAGATCCTTAAAGGAAGAGACTAATTTTGAAGGCTTTGTAACACCCAGCAGAGTATTTTCTAAATAGATTAAGGATGAGTGAATGCATTCCTCTACAGTTGTGCTGTCCAGTCTACATTTTGTGTCTCTATGTTACATTTTGGCAACTAGCCATTGGGGGCTACTTAAAATTAAGTAAATAACACAAGAAATTCGGGTCCTAAGTAGCACGAGCCACATTTTAGGAGCCCAGTTTCCACCTGTGGCTCCCACTAGGTGCAGTACAATTATAGAACATTTCCATCCTGGCAGAAAGTTTTGCTAGATAGACAGTGCTGGGCTCAAGAGCAGACAGGAGTACAGTTCTCAGGGACCATGTAGTTCTCAGGGACATGTGCATGGCAGCTCACACAAGTGGGAAGGAGGATGGTGCTTATTTTGGCTTTTGTCTGAAGGCTTCAGATAAGCTTCAATGTATGAACTATGACCATTTGCTCTCACCTTCATAGACATACTGGACAGTCTATTGGGAGTCAAACAGAAAACTTTGACCACCTGTGTCATCTGCAGTGTTTTATAAATGGGCACCATTGATCACAAAAGGGCACATCATTCGGCCCAGCTCCCAGAAGTCAGAGAGAAGAGTCAAGGGCCCCGTCAAGTGCCATAAGCAATGCCATGTAACTGCCTGTCAGGCATGGTTGTGAAGAGGTGACCATACTCTTCCCATGTGTGGGCACCTTACCACATGGTCAGCTGCACCCGGGTCCTTAGCTGCTACTCACTGCTGGCATCACAGCAAAGGACACAAGGGAGACAGGGGATAAAGGAGGATCAGGAAAGGTTGTCATCAACCTGCCAGACACTGCTGAAAAGGGATGTAAAGAGGAAACACACAGATGGTCCAGCTATGAAAATCCAAAAAGAAAACAAAGTTTGCCTTTTTGTGCTCTTACACAGCAGAAACATGTGTTAGGATTACAGTGTCTTCAGAAGAATGCTCTTTAAGCACCAATAAGGCCATTTTAAACCTCAAATATCTGCAACACAAAACTAAGGCTGCCCCCACCAGCATTTCAACACTATTAAAGGGAGCTCTTACTATATTAAATGCTGCATTTATTAATCACTGAAATTCCCTTATAGCTGATGGTATGATCATTATTTTCAAGTTTAACATATTCCAGGATAAGAGTTTTGTGCTTTCAACCTCTAGACTGTCCATCAATCACTTTTTAAACATCTCATCAGAAGATCTGACCAGTCGCCTGAGCATCTATGTAAGGAGTGCTTTCAGTTCAAAATCCTGCTCTGTCACTAACAAATCCTTATAGTGTAAATCACCAGCAATTATTCTCAGATTTCTTAAGAGGTTTAATTTACCTTGCTCCTTTACCATGCTTTAAGTCTCCATCTACTCCTGAAAAATGACAGCAAATAGTATACAAATTATAGCAGTTTTTTTAAAAAAGAAATAGAATCAGAGTAAAGAATGAATAATCACAAAGATAAAAAGGACCAAAGAAATTCTAACATGTAAAGGACCAAAGAAATTTTAACACACAGGTTTTCAAGGAGAAAAGCAGAAATCTGGCTCAAACAACGATGCTTTGCTGCCGCATGACTAAATAAGAGTATCTTATTTTATTGTGCTTCACAGATTGTTTTTTACAAATTGAAGGTTTTTGGCAACCCTGCGTCAAGAAAGTTTATCAGCACCAGTTTCCTTTTTTTTCATGAGACAGAGTCTCGCTCTGTCCCAAGCTGGAGTACAGTGGCATGATCTCGGCTCACTGCAAACTCCACCTCCCAGGTTGAAGTGATTCCCCCGTGTCAGCCTCCCGATTAGCTGGGACTACAGACGTGCACCATCACACCTGGCTAATTTTTGTATATTTAGTAGAGACGGGGTTTCACCATGTCAGCCAGGCTGGTCTTGAACTCCCGACCTTAGATGATGCGCCCACCTCAGATTCCCAAAGTGCTGAGATTACAGGCATGAGCCATCCCCCCACCCTTGCTCACCACCATTTTTCTAATACCATGTCTCACATCATGTCTCTGTGTCATATTTTTGTAATTCTTCCAATATGTCAAATTGTTTCATTATTACGTCTGTTAATGTCAATCTGTGCTGAGTGATCTTTGAGGTTACTGCTGTCATTGTTTTCAGCACCATGAAATGTGCCCATGTATGTCAGACAACTTAATATAAATGTTGTGTGTGTTCAGATTGCTCAACAGACCCCCATATCTCTGCCTCTCCTCAGGCCTCCGTAGTCCCTAAATCATGGTATATTGAAATCAAGCCAATTAATAACCCTATGGAGGCCTCTAAGAGTTCAAATGAAGAGTTACACATATCGTGCTTTAAATCAAAGCTAGAAAGTTTAAGCTTGGTGAGGAAGACATGTCAGAAGCTGATAGGCTGAAAGCTAGGCCTCTTGCACCCAGTTAGCCAAGTTGTGAATGCAATGGATAAGTTCTTCAAGGAAATTAAATGTGCTACCCCAGTGAACACATGAATGAAAAGAGAGTGAAACCTCCTTATTTGCTGACATAGAGGAAGTTTTAATGATCTGAGTAGAAGACCAAACCAGCACAACATTCCCTTAAGCCAAAGCCTAATCTAGAGCAAGGCTCTAACTCTCTTCACTTCTATGAGGACTGAGGGATGTGAGAAAGCTGCAGAAGAAAAATCTGAATCTAGCAGAAGTTCATGACGTTTAAGGAAACAAGCCATCTTCATAACATAAAAATGCAGGGTGAAGCAGCAAGTGCTGATGGAAAGGCCGCAGCAAGTTATCCAGGAGAGCTAGCTAAGATCACCAATGAAAGTGGCTACACTAAACAGATTTTCAATGTAGACAAAACAGCCTTCTATTGGAAGAAAATGCCACCCATGACTTTCAGAGCTAGAGAGAAGTCAATGCCTGGCTTGAAAGCTTCAAAAGACAGGCAGAATTTTGTGTTAGGGCTTAATGCAGATGGTGACTTTAAGTCAATGCTAACGCTCATTTACAATTCTGAAAATCCTAGTGCCCTTAAAAATGTTGCTAAATCTTCTCTCCCTGGGCTTTGTGAATGCAACAGCAAAGCTTGGATGACAGTATATCTGTTTACAGTACTGTTTACCAAATATCTTAAGCCCACTATTAACAATTACTGCTCTGAAACACAAATTTCTTTCAAAATATTTCTGCCTTCTGACAGTGTGCCTGGTCACCCAAGAGCTCTGATGGAGATGTACAAGGAGATTCATATTGTTTTTAGACCTGCTAACACAGTGTCTATTCTGCAGCCCATGGATTCAGGAGTAAATTCAACTTTCAAGTCTTATTACTTAAGATATGAGTTTCTTAAGGCTACAGCTGCCATAGATAGTGATTCCCCTGATTCATCTAGGAAAAGTAAATGGAAAACATTCTGGAAAGGATTTAGCACTCCAGATGTCATTCACAACCTTCATGATCCATGGGAAAAGACGACAATATCAACATTAACAGGAGTTTCTAAAAAGTTGATTCCAATCCTCATGGATGACTTTGAGGGATTCAAGACTTCAGTGCAGGAAGTAACTGCAGACGTGTTGGAAATAGCAAGAGAACTAGAATTAGACGTGAAACCTGGAGATTTGACTAAATTGCTGCAATCTCAGGATAAAACCTGAACTGATGACACATTGCTTCTTAGGGATGAGAAAAGAAAGTGGTTTCTGGAGATAAAAATCTACTCTTGGTGAAGATGTCCTTGAACACTGTTGAAGTGACAACAAAAGATTCACTATATTAACATAAACTTAGTTGATAAAGAAGCAGCAGCAGCAGCTGCTTCTTTGAGAGCAGCTTCTTTGAGAGGACTAATTCCAATTCTGTTTGTTTGTTTGTTTGTTTGTTTGTTTAAAACAGAGTCTCACTCTGTGGTCCAGGCTGGAGTGCAGTGGTGCAATCTTGGCTCGCTGCAACCTCAGCCTCCCAGATTGAAGTGATTCTCCTGCCTCAGCCTCCTTAGTAGCTGAGACTACAAGCACAGGTCACCATGCCTGGCTATGTATTTGTTTTTTGTTTTTTTTTTTTTTTTTGTATTTTTTAGTAGAGATAGGGTTTCACTATGTTGGTCAGAATGGTCTCGAACTCCTGGCCTCAAGTGATCCACCTGCCTCTGCCTCCCAAAGTGCTGGGATTACAGGCGTGAGACACTACATCTGGCCAAAAGAGAAGGTTTTTGTAAAAGGAAGAGTCAATTGATATGGCAAACTTCGCTGCTGTTTTATTTTTTAAAATTGCCACAGCCACCCTAATCTTCAGCAACCACTACTCTGGTCAACAGTCAATGTGAAGACAGCACCTTTCACCAGCAAGATTTACAACTCACAGAGGATGAGATGATCCCTTGCATTTCATTTGTTCTAGCAATAAGCATTTTTAAAGTATGTACATTTTTTGGACATAATACTATTGTACACTTAATAGAGTACAGCATAGTATAAACCAAACCTTACGTGTATCATGAAACCAAAAAATTCGTGTGACTGACTTTATTGCAATGTTTGCTTTACTGTGATGGTCTGGAACTGAATCCACGATATTTCTCAGGTATGCTTGTGTCCAGTTTATTTAAAGATTCCAAATAAAACCATACTATTTTTATTTGAAAGGCAGACCTAGAAAAAAAGAAAAGGATATTTTTATACCTGCATGCCTAGAAATCTGCTGTATTTAAGTTGTGCGGCAAGCTGGACAAAACTATAATGATCTGCAGAATTTTGCAATTTAAGTCTTAGCCCTTCTCGATTATTCTAGAAACCGAAACAGCTGTAGTGGACAACCAATCACTTACTACAATAACTTAAGGTTGGCATGGTTCAGGTCCACTAGAAAACAGAATCAAACACAGCTAAGTCTACAATTACATGCTGCTTCTCCAACATACAATTTACTCCAAATCTCTTCGGACCCTTAACAGGAACACATGTGTCTTGTGCTTGGTATATTCCAGAAACCTTTTGAGTTTTCGGAAACAACAGATTATTTATTGATTATGCTCTAGTGAATGGCCAATCATGGGCCCTTAGATAAAGGCTCACCTGTGTCCCAAGTCCTCGCACTGGCCTCCACCCTCAGCCATCTCCTTTGCAAATGTAGAAGAGAATGTACATTTCACCTAGCAAGGTTAAAACCCAAAGGCACAGTGTCAGCCCCCAGGGGAGACAGGGCAAAGAAAGAATGTGAACCTACCACCAGAGTTGCTTTGACTTTCACAGCAAGACCCAATAAATATGATGGAAGGAGGGTAGGTTGTGATTACCATCTCATTCCAACTAGGATCTCTGCACATTCTGGGGTTAAAAAATAACCACCTATGGAAACATGTGGAATGATCCTTCACTTTGCTCCACCTTCCTCAGAAATGTGCCAAAACTCTTAGAAACCCCACTTGGAACGAATGACTTGATAACATCAAGGAGTAAGAACAGACTGAGGCTGAAAAACTTGTGGGCTACAATTTTAAACCTCAGATGTATTTCATGGGGTCACATGACAGCATGCACAAATTCTTCTGAAAATCCATCTAGGGCATGTGTTAATATTATGTAAGTCTATTTTTGTCATCAGCTATATGGATGTTTCAGTGTCTAAAGAAACAGCCTATGTGAAGTTAATAAAGAATGATAGTGTGAAACACTCATACTGTAGTCTGTGGGATTTTGACCACATGGTGGACATGACTGTCAACTGTCTCAAGCAGCCCACAATCCCATCGGTACTGGGCTTGGTGATCACCACAGAGACCCTACCTCTGTGACCATTTACAGTCTCCTGGGCCCCAGACAGTGAGGCAGGCACTTACAGTCCCAAGTGCTATTATTTGGTAAGGTGGAAGCTATGGGAGCTTAATACTATGGGAATAGAATTCAAAGAATAAAACCCTGTTTTTAACTCAAGACAGAATTATGCTGAGCTATGGGAGTCCTGAGAAGCTATGGGAGTTCTGCAAGAAGGCACAGAACATGTCTTCATTCAACTATATAAAGGTAAACTACAAGTGACTTATTAAAATCCTGCAATCTCAATTTATAAAGACATGGTACATTACGGTCAATAAGAACTGCAAATGTTCTTATTACTCTTTGCAATCTACATTATTGTTTTACGATGTTTTAAGAATTTCAAAATAAGCTTATTTCCCTTTGATTTTTTAAAAGAATTTTAAATAAAATTGTATTAGACTCCAAGAAAACACATTTTACACGTACCACGTTTTACACACACCACAATTCCTAATTCTGAATATTCTTAACACCCACCCTCTGGCTGGCCCTCCCAGCACAGCCATTATCAACAGACATCATGGGTTGCTCCACAAAGACTTAGATCCACGCTGTCCAAGCCAGTAGCCATGCAACAAGTGAGGCTACAGAGTGCTTGAAATGAGGCTAGTTCAAACTGAGATGTATTGCATGTATAAAATACACACAGGTTTTGAGGACCTAGTATCAAAATTAATGTCAAACACTTCGATTATTTTCTTATATTGACTTTGTATTAATTAACATTTTTAACAAATTAGGTTATATAACATACATCATCCGAATCAATGTCATCTATATCTTTTTACTTATTAAAAGTTGCTCCCAGAAAATTTTATCTGGCCCAAATCTATTCTATGAGACAAAGCTGCTCTGGACACATGACTGTCTTCTGTTTTTAAAGAAACTAGGACCATCTTTTGTGCTCCTAATTTCAGTTATTTACCAACTGAATCTTTCCTGTCCAGCAGCTGAGATATTGTTTAATTAACTTGTCATCTTCTTCTTTCAAAATCTTGTTCCAGTTTATAACTAATCTCAGTCCGCTTTTCTCCTTTTCTGAATGGCATTTGAGAGCCAGAGTTATTAGTATTAACTAAATCATAACTGACTGTTTCCTTAGTCAAGAGAAATCAAATCCCACGGGTGTTTTTTTGTTTTTTTTTTCTTTTTAGGGAAAAAAAAAAAAAAAAGGACCTAACAGCATCACACATGTCAAAAGCATGGGAAGGTGCCCTGGTTTTCTTCCTGGTCGACATTAACTGTAAACTTTGCATTTACTTCCTCATTCTCCTCTGATTGAACAAATGTCTCCTGTAATGTCAACAATTCTTCATGCAACTATTTGTTTTCAATTTTACTTCCCCAAGTATGCAAGTATTGGTGCTACATCGACAAACAGAACTTCCTAGGAAAATACATTCAAAATTCCCAAAAAACAGACCTACTGCAAAATACCTCATTATAAATTGATGATACATTGTTATGCAGACAACAGATACACTGAAGTGAGGTACTAAAGAATGAGAGCAGGCATAATCTGGTAGATTAAAGTGGTACACTTTGGAATGCTGTATTTTGTATTCATACATTTTGTGAGAAAAAATGGGATAAGGAAACGTATATTGCCAAGGTAATTTTGCAAAGCCTTACCAACTCAAAGAAGAGGTAGGGCCGGAAAGGAGGAAATGGATAGAAAATGAGGGAGGGGAATAAAAAGAGCTACAGCTTATTTTTCCAAATAGCACTAATTGTTGGTTATCAGAGGACTAGATCAGAGGATTGGGTAACAATGTGAGGTCCACGCTTGTAATGCCATTTAAGTCACATTCATCACTTCAGGGCATGGCTATGTGCAAATTCAGAATGAGAATTAGGAATCAAGCTCATTTAGAAGCTTAATAAATTTAATTTTAATGAGACATCTTGTTTGGCCTTAAAATTCATGAGACTCGCAGAACAGGTTATCTGGACCTTCCATTAGAGGGTAAGAAATATATTTGACAATTTAACTTTTTGACCACCAGAGTAGGAAAAATCTTGTCTACAAACTATACTTATGTATCTCAGAAGCTTTATGAAATTGACTCATTTCAAATTTAGTAGCGCATACACCATTGGCTCCAATTACAGACCTCTGTAGGGAGTATTTTTTCTTTGGAATTCCTCAATTTATATCTCTGTGCTCATAAAATGAAGAGACTGGTTTTCGTGTGCCTTTTTAAAAGAAAACAATTCTAGTGAGCTACCCAGAAATATGATGAGCAGGAACAAGGTCACATTCACAATTTAAGATGAGTTCATCATCATTTATATTTAGAACTGGATCAATCCAGAATCATTTCTAAGCTTGGCCTCTTACTAGCTGTGTGACCTAGGGCGAGTAGCTTTACCTCTCTGAGCTGCAGGATTTTTTCTTTTTTTTAATTGGTGAAATGCAAATACTTTCTCCTAATGTGCAGAGTTTTGAAATGAAGGAATGATATACATAAACAAGCAGGTCAGCAGTCTACACAGAGTATGCAGGAAGGTTTACAGATCTGTGAAGCCTCCTGGTGAATATGAGATTACAACATATGTTTCACAGTGTTAATTCTGTTGAGGCTTTGGGTAAAGCTCAGAATAGTTTTGTCTTGAGTTAAAAACAGGGTTTTATTCTTTGAATTCTACCCGAATTCCTCTTGGCTGGTGAAGTTCACATGTGCTATGTCTGGGTTTGTTAATGTCTCAGATCCATACAGCAGGTTCTCAAACGCTCATGCACTTGTGTTAAAATGCAGATTCTCACTGGGCAGGGGGAAGGTGGAACCACTGCTGCTACATTCAAAAGTGGCTCCCAGGTGATGTCTCTGGTGCTGGTCACCCTTAGCAGCCAGGCCACTTGGCAGATCTTCTGTGCCTCTACATTGTTGACAGCACGGGTAATTTCTTTTGGTTGCATAGGACATTCCTGTGCACTGCAGGAAGTTTAGTACTACTCCTGGTCAGGACCCCACTAAATGCCAGTGACCCCATCCCTTCATGCCAGCTGTGACATCCAAAATGTCTCCCGACATCTCCATTAGAGGATGCTCTCAGGCCGGCAAAACCCTGCCTAGTGGACAACCACTACCTTGTAGGATGCTACCATCAAGATGCGCCCTCAGCAACAACCAGGCTATTTTGCAGACAGCAAAACTGAGGCGGTGTTGGGGATTCACTCAGGATGGTGGCAGAAATATTACTGGGAAATATTAGGGAAAGTTATAGGGAATAGTCACAAACCTTTTTGGAAGGCGGAAAGGTTCCATAGCTTGTAATAACTGAACAGACTGAAGGCAGCCGGTTCTCATCTTACAGCATTAGTCATAAGGTAAATACTAGGGATAATAGAGGCTTCCCAGTTAAGTCTGTTTACCCTACCTCCATTAATTAACCTTTGAGCCAGATGGCCTTCTTAGGGGGAGGTCGACTAGGGAGATTGCCCCCTAATGGTATTTACCTTAGACCTCGGTGCTTGAGCTGTAATCATTCCTAGAACTACTCTCTTAACCATGTCAATTATCCACAAGTGTGTTTACTCAGTTTGTGTTGTTAATTGTATACGAAATAAATGCCTGGAGTGCCAGCTGCTCAGGGCCGCCGCAGTGACAAACCTCTCTTGGTGTGCAGGCGGTCGGACACTCAGCTGGACAGGCAAAGCAGAATACCTTTCTGTCAGTGTACGTTTCATTCATACATCGTTTGGGTCAGGGTCTCCGGCCAGATACCCGCAGCTAATGCCCTCAAGTGTGAGGTGCAACACCTCAAGGCTGGGCACCGCTCAAGGTCGCAAGCCTGGGTAAGAGAAGAGAGGACTGAGGTCCGGCCCCACCGCGCTCTGTGTAGAGGACGCAAAGCCCAGCGCGGGCCCGGTGGTCCCAAGGCACCGCGCCTACGTGCCCAGGTCCCACACATAGGGCGACCGGAATCAGGTGGTGGGGCCGCACAGACTCCGCGACCACTCGCCACCATCGGCCCAGCCCGCTGGCGTTGCTGGACGCAGCTCCACTTTGGGGCCGGCTCCCGTGAGCACTGGAGCCCGCGGGTCCCTGCTGGAACGCTGCACAGTCGCGGCAACCCAGCCATGACGTACCACCCGCCGACAGTTGCCACGCCTGCCCAGGACCGCCCTCACGGAGGCGGTGGCCACAGACTACCCATCCAGAAGAAGTCCTTCCATGTCAAAGATGAGGTGGGTGAAGGGCTGCGGCTGGGGCAAGGGCGGGGACACAGCCCTGTTGCCGCCTTCTGGGTATGGGTGAGGCCGAGAAACAAATGCGCGCGCACTCGCCCTCCCCGCGCACGCGCACTCAGGGCCTCTTCGCGCCTTCCTGGCCGGTCGGCTTATGAGCATCTGGCGGCCCCTCTGCCTGCTTCGAGCCTGGGCGACCTGGGCGGCGTATCGCCGCTTCGCGCACGCGCACGCGCACCTTGGGCGTTAGCCGCAGTAGCAGCCGCAGACCCGGGATGTGGTGCGAACGGGCGCGATGCTTTTACCGCTGTTCCTTCTCATTCACACCGGAATCGGGCCAAGCTACTCAGCCAGCGACCGCGCAGAGCCGAGGCCCTCGCCTGGGGGCAGATTGACTGCTCGAATTTGGATCAAGGGTGTGAAGGAGGATGGAGGGACCATGCAAGGGGCTGTCGACTGGGGAGAGGGGGTTGAAGATGCGCAGGACGCATCACTGCGAGCCATAAGGTTGCAGACAAATGGCATTCGTCACGGAATTCCCTGGGTGGTTCGCCCGAGCCTGGAACGCCAGCCCCTGGACCGTGGGTGGGTTTCTGCCATCCTTGCCTGCCCGCCTCCCCGTTGTCCTGGACTGCGACCGGAACGGCGGCCACGCATGCGCAGTGTGCGGAGAGGGTCCACAACCTCTGTCGCAGGGCAAAGCCAAGTTGAGCAAGGAGGATGTTGAAATAATACTAATCGTCAACATGTCTGGCTGGTTATCCCTTCTTAGGTATTTGTATTTTGGGATACTCTGAGTTTTCTTCCTTTTAAACTTTTCAAATGTAACCTAACAGCTTTTATTTCTCTCTGTTAGCCATCGTCGGAAAAATATTTTTTTTGTCCCTGTTTATATTTCGTGTTCCTTTATATGTGAATGGTATATTCACATTTAAGGACAAGGATTGGACCTTTTGCGAAGAGGAAATAAGAGAACTTTAAGACTTTAGAAACGTGGCCTGGCGCGGTGGCTCATGCCTGTAATCTCAGTATTTTGGGAAGCTGAGGCTGGCGCATCACTTGAAGTCGGGAGTTCAAGAGCAGCCTGGTTAACATGGTGAAACCCCGTGTCGACTAAAAATACAAAAATTAGCCGGATATGATGGCACGGTCCTGTAATCCCCGCTACTCAGAGGCTGAGGCAGGAGAGTCGCTTCAACTTGGGAGTCAGAGGTTGCAGTGAGCTGAGATTGTGCCATTGCACTCCAGCCTGGGCGACACAGCAAGACTCCGCCTCAGAAAAAAAAAAAAAAAAAAAAAAAAACAGCAAAAACGTCAGTGGCTCACATCTGTAATCCCAGTACTTAGAGAGGTGGAGGTGGGGGTTGGGAGGTAGCTTGAGCCCAGAAGTTTAAGACATGCCTGGGCAGTATAGCGAGACCCCATTATCCACAAGCGAGGAAAAAGACAAAAAACAGGTATAACGACATTAGGGTATATTTCTAGTTTAGTGCCTACATGGTGGACGGGAGTATGCTTGGATTCAGCAAGAACACTTACCACCTATGATAGACAAAGTGCCCCTGTGTCTGTTTCTTCCTGGGTAAAAATGGAGGTGATACAGGAGGTGAGGCAGGTCAAGCCCTTGGTACTAATGCATAGTATATAGTCAATAAAATTATGTGTTTTTAGAGTTGATATTATAAGAGAGCTTCCCCCTTTAATGCAATCTTGATTTCCCTTTGAGGACTCTTGATTACAGAGAAGGCAATTTATGAGCAAATTCGGAAGGGACTTGTGACTCAAATGCAGTCATTCATGGTTTCTGTATTAGTTTGCTATAGCTGCCATAGTAATGTACCACAAACTAAGTGACCTAAACAGCAGACATACATTGTCTCACAGATTTGGAGGCCAGAAGTCCCAGATCAAGATGTCAGCAGGCTTAGTTCCTTTTGCGGGCTGTGAGGAAAGGACTTATTCCAGGCCTCTCTCCTCACCTTGATCGTGGCTTTCCTTTCCCTGTAACTTGTCCTCTCATCTTCCCTCTGTTTGTATCTCTGTATCCAAATTTTCTCCTTTTAACAGAACACCAGTCTTACTGGACTGAGGACCACCTTAATGACTACATTTTAATTTTATTTCCTTTGACAAGAACCTGTTTCCAAATAAGGTCACATTTGAAGTAGTGGGGAAGAGGACTCCAACATATCTTTTTGTGGAACACAATTCCACAATAGATGCATTCCACACACATTGCTGTGGTATCTACAGTAAGTGTGACAGTATTTCCCACCTGGAGTCTTAAGAATTCTGCCTCCCAGTTTCTTTCCATTCTCTGGAAACAAAAGGATGCACACATATCATAATTACAATTATTTTTTGGTATCATAACCATGTCACATTTCTGTTTAGTCATTAAGTTCAAAAAGTATTTTTCAAAGAGGAAAAAGGCCCCAGTGCCATTTGATGAAATGACAAAGCCTCACAGCAGTTGTGGAAGAGACATATTGAGAAACCTTATGTACTTCAGCTCTCCACAGATGTGAAAACATGGTTCACATCATTTTTAAATAAATCTTACATTCTATGCTTTCTAGTAACATGCCCTTGCATAACATGGAAGACTCCTCTGCTTAAAAAAGCAAATTATGTGAATGTTTCTCTGTCACAAGCTGGATTGGAAAAGAATAATATTTTGTTCTAATGATGTGGTATGTACACATACAAAAAGTTGGTTTTTAGCTTTTCATAATTCTCCAACAGCCAAAGATGCACAGCTTTTATGCGGATGGGGATTCTGCATTTCCTTCCATGAATTATAGTTTATTTTTGTACAATTGTGTTTTCCCCATGGGACAATAATTTGCTTTTCCTGACAACTGTAAGATACAATAGAAATAATCCAGTAAACTACAGTATGGTGGCATCAAAAGCACATTAACAACTGATGGAACAAATAAATAGATTGTCTTCTTTCACACAAGATACAAACTTACACATGCCATTCATTGTGTGTGTTTTTATACCATCCTGTATGAAGTCTTTAGTTTATTTCAAATTTCTTAGTTTGCGCTTCTGGTTCTTGTGTCTCTGTGCTTTTGTTATCTGTTGTATTTGGTTTCCACTTTGCTATATCTGTTTTCTGTGAGCCTCTTTTTCCCCATTCTTCACTTTACTTTTCTGAGTTACACATCTTCCCCAGCATAGATGAAATGTGGTAAGTTGGACTAGAGACCATCTTTTTCAGTGGCTGTCCACTGTCCACTTTTCTTGATGATGCTGAAAGACCAGAAAGCTCTGACTTCTGTCTGATGAGGCCTCAATTAGAGCTCCTCATTGCAGATTTACCTGCCATCTTCCCCTGTATAGTTGTCTTGGCAATGCTAACCTAAGGAGTTTTTTGCTTCAGCGGCACTAAATTTTCTCACCTTTTCCCGTTGCTGGTTTCCTCCAAGCCCAGCGAGCTCTGGAAGGGAGCCTGACATAGATGGCTGAATTCGCCACTCCTGGCTTTGTACTCTAGTATATATCTGGTACTTTTGTCGGGTGGGTCATTATTTTTGAATGCCTTCACCATCAGACTGCAATCTGACTCTGAGCAAGAGGACCAGTTTGCTTCTCCGGAATGGTGGACAACAGATAGGATCTGAACTGGCAGCGTCAGCATCCCCTGGGAGCTGGCTAGAAATGCAGAATCCCAGCCACTACCCCCAGAGCAACCGATTCAGCGTCTGCCTTTCAACAAGGGCATCCAATGTTCTGGACCACTGACCCCCTCCTGGGGTATACCAGCTACTTCATTGTGGGGAGGGGGCTTATGAGAAGCTCTACTTAGGATTACTATTTTAATATAAAGAAGTAGCAAATATGTTAAGCTTTACAAACATTTATTTTATTTTATTTTTTGAGATAGGGTCTTGCTGTGTTATCCAGGCTGGAGTGCAGTGGTGTGTGATCTTGGCTTGCTGCAAACCCCTCCTCTTTCATTCAAGGGATCCTCCCACCTCAACCTCTGGAGCAGCTGCTACCACAGGTGCCTGCCACTATGCCCAGCTAATTTTTGTATATTTGTTAGTAGAGGCTATGTTAGCCAGGCTGGTCTCGAACTCCTAACCTCAAGCGATCCACCCACCTCGGCCCCCAAAATGCTGGAATTACAGGTGCGAGCCACCGCACTCAGCCCTGACATTTAATATTTGTGTGAACACTGGTCAATGTTCTTGTGTCCTGGTCTTTCCTGCAGGTATTCTTGCAGAGAGGAGGGAAGACATCATTGCTGTCAACCATTTTATTTGATTTCAGCATAGTGCAATGTACATATTAAGGTAAAGTGTATTTACAGCTTATATTATTTAACTTTTAAAATAACTCTCAAAAAATGGACGGACGTATTAAATACATACCTATGAAAATAACAAAATGTAGCTTCCAATTAATAAAAAGAAAGTAGAAATTCCAGCATCAGCTTTATAGTCTTCATTAATGATTAAAAATCATGTTTTATAATATCCATAATGTTAATGCCTAAGTAGACATACACTACTCTAAAATAGCACATATGAAGGTAGGATGTGCGCTTCAGAAATGTGGGGAAGTGAGGCATGTGGTCAGACCCTAACATGCATTTGAATGTCCTCTGTCCTCCCAGGATTCTCACTCACTAGACGTGACTGGCCATCTGAGAGAGGGGCTCAGGCTTCATCACACCCCACCCTTTATCATCGTATTGTTCCAGGATTTAGGGTTCCTGACTTCAAACAATTCCCTCCTCGCTTGCCACTCTCTCCCTTTCTCCTTCCTTCCCTTCCTTTCCTCCTTTCTTCCTCATTTTCTGTCCTCTTAGACTCCCTCCCTTTCTCCTTCCCTCCCTTTCTTTCCCCCTCTCTTCCTTTGTCTTTCCCCTGTCTTCCTTTTTCTCTTCCTTCTTTCCTGTCCTCCTCCTTGACTCCCTTCTTCTCTTCTTGCTGCCTTTCCTTTCCCCTTCACTGTTTCTCTGCCTTCCTTGATGCTCTCCTTTACTCTCCCTCTCTCCTTTCTTCTGTTCCTCCTCCTCTCTTTCCATCTTCCTCCTAACCTCCTCCTCAACTCTCTCCCTGTCTCCTTCCTTCCTTTCCTTTCCTTCTTCTCTTTTTCCCTGTCTTCCTTCCTGACCTCCTCCTCAACTCCCTTTCTCTCTTCTTCCCTCCCTTCATTTCCTCCTTCTCTCTTTCCCTATTGTCCTTCCTTTCCTCCTTGACTCCCTCCATCTCTGCTTCCTTCACTTCCTTCTGTCCTTCTCTCTTTTCCTGTCTTCCTGTCCTCCTCCTAAACTGCCTCCTCCTCTTCTGCCCTCCCTCCCTCTTTTCCTTTTTTCTTTCCCTCCTGATGTTTCCTCTGGCATAGCCCCCTCCCTCCAGGACCTGCGAGGGGTCCGTGTGCCCATAATGGATACAACTGGGGATGCCAGCATCTTGGGCCTCTACAGTGTCTTGCACCACATTCACCAGGAGGGGTGCCCACTGGCCCTGCCCACTGAAGCTTCTCTCCTTGAGTGGAATCACAGCTGGAGCTCACCATGCAGAGTGCTGAGTGCCATCTCTAATGTGCACCTTGCATCATCACTGCTTCTTAATAAAACACATGCTCACCTGCAAGGCTCTTAGTCCTGTCACATTTTGTGCAAGTTGCTTGTTGCTCTGTTCACTTTTCAGAAGTGTTTATAAAGGCCATGTGCTGAGAGTCTGAGATGAAACAGTGATTAGCTGTTCATGGTAAAAACTGGCTTGTTTCATAACAACAATTGTAATAGCCACCAGCTGTCATATAATTAGGATATACTCACAACTTTATAAATGATCTCTTATTTCATTGGCTCAGCAACTTTGCAAGGTAGACAGTGGAGTGCTTCTTCTTACAGAAATAAAGAAATGGAGCTTGAGGGAAGCCAGGTACCTTGCCACAAGTCGTATAACTAAAAACAATCAGGATGGAGAGTTGAACCTCCATTGGTCTTCCTTTCTCAAAAAAAGAGCCAAAAGGCAAAATCTATTATTATGTTTTCTATGCCTTTTCAAAATTTCTTAAATGGTAAGTAATTAATACCACATGTGAATAGATAATATCAAAATCAAATACAAATATGACTGTCCAATTAAAGGGGGGGAAACAATAAGGAGAAGGAAGCTTCAAAAAATAAACAAGAAACATTAGTTTTCTGCAATTCTGATATCAGTGGAGCATGTCGGTGATAACATGGTCCTGCTAGTCATTTCTAGAATCGAAAGTTTTTAGCTTTATTTTACTTCCATTCAACTCCTGTGCTTCCTGGTGCAAGCTAACATCTGGAGAGAACAGAAAGTTGGTTGCATAGCCACTTCCCTCAGCTTCCCCATAATCACATTAACCTGGAAAATGTGCTGAATAGGTCCTTGCTTCCTCAATCCACAAGCCATGTGTTCACTTGAAACTCCCATTTCTGTGGTCAGTGATGGTCTTCCCATTTTTTTTTAAACACAATTCCCATACTTACTCAACAGAGAACATCACACATGCTCTTAAAAAAGAAAGTAGTATCTCGCTCAAACGCACATTAGAAATGCCAGACGGCTGTTAGGCATAGGATCCATTGTGATTTAAATTCTGCCTCACCCACTGACTTTCTTGAAGCAATCATTCAGTAAGGCTGTGGGACTTTTCCAAGTCACTGTGACACAAAACACATTTGAAAAGCAGAATAAATTTACAAGGTAAAATTCAGAGAATGAGATTCTTAGGTACTTCCAATAGTTAAGATTTTTAAAAACTTGAAACAGGATGTGTGTATATATGTATACACATAAATAAAGTATATAATCTATATAAATAACATTGCTGTGTGTGATTTTTAAAAACTTAAGAGGAAATGCCTTTATATATAACTTACATATGTTTAATTTGTATATATTCACAAATTTACATATTTTATTAAAAATAATGCAAGTGCATGTAATTAAGAAAGTTAAGAAGAAAGATGATTATAGTAGGTTCTCACTTAACATTGTTGGTAGGCTTTTTGAAACTGTGACTTCAAGCAAAGTTGTGCACAACAAAACCAATTTTTCTCTCTTCAACTTTATAACAAAATATTGTTGAATGAAACAACCTGCTGTATATTGGTCTTCTTAAAGTTGCAATTTCTAAGAATCGGCCAGGTGTGGAAGCTCACACCTGTAATCCCATCACTTTGGGAGGCCAAGGCAGGTGGATTGCTTAAGTTCAGGAGTTCAAGACCAGCCTAGGTAACATGATGAAACCCCATCTCTACCAAAAAGTACAAAAATTAGCCAGGTGTGATGGCATGCACCTGTAGTCCCAGCTGCTTTCCAGGATGAGGTGTGAGGATCACTTAACCCTGGGAGGTCAAGGCTGCAATGAGCTCTGGTCATGACCAGTCTGGGAGCCATAGAGAGACCCTATCTCAAAAGAAAAAAATTCTGAGAATCTATTGATGCTAAGTGAGGACTTATTGTATTTATGAGTTAAATATATTTATTACTTTTTTACACACACATATAGATACATGCATGTGTGGATTTTTTTTTTTTTTTTTTTTTTTTTTTTTTTTTTTTTAGCTGGCTCTTGCTTCTTTGGAAGTATGTGTGGTTTTAACAAACTTAAGATGAAAGGTCTTTATATATAATATATGTATGTATTTTGTTTTACCTGTTTAATTTTGTTCTTTTGTGGGCACATTTTAATTGAATATGTTTATTTGATTGTTGTTGTATCAACATAAAATGATAACATTTGGAAAGCATCTATTTCAAGTCATTTTCCTAGGGCCATTGAAACCACTCTGAGAGAATCTTAGAGGCAATCAATTTCGATGACTCCATCCTTCTGGAGTAAACTTGGATACCAGTTAAAGAAAGGTAATTTACCAGGACTTGGGTTTTGGTTTAATAATAAAGCTATAGCTTGAAACACGGAAATGCAATATAGCAAGGAAAAGGCTGTGATTAAACCTGTTCCTGAAGAATGGGAAGGGAATGATAATTAAAAACCACAAATAGGCCAGGTGTGGTGGTTCACGCCTGTAATCCTAATACTTTGGGAGGCTGAGGTGGGTGGATTGCCTGAGCTCTGGAGTTCGAGACCAGCCTGGGCAACATTGTGAAACCCTGTCTCTACTAAAAACACAAAAATAGCCCAGCATGGTGGCATTTGCTTATAGTTACAGTTACTTGGAAAACTGAGGCAGAAGAATTGCTTGAACCCAGGAGGTGGAGGTTGCAGTGAGCCGAGATTGTGCCATTGCACTCCAGCCTGGGCAAGAGAGTGAGACTCTGTCTCAAGAAAAAAAAAAAAAAAATACAAGGACGGTCCCCAAATGACAGATATGAGAGCACATTTGGTTTTTTAATGTTTCTAGACTTTATGAAAGTGACAAATGGCTTGGAAGAAAATAGTTGAGCCCATTGTGAATGTATATAGAGCTCACCGCAGATTATTTTTTGCAGTTGTGGATGATGCAATAAGGAGACTATAAGCTGGATTCTGGGGCTCCAGGCCTGTTCCTTCTGCATGGCTAAGAGGAGAACCCTTCGGTGAGCACCTTGTTGCTCTCATCCCACTTGCCTGATGTGCATTGAGATGCTTGTTCCTTGATTCAGGGCCCTAATTATCAAGCCTAGGAATTTGCTCATGCAATTGCTGCATGCCCAGTCTTTGAGAATGAGTCTTTGCTTGTTAATCTCTGATTGCATGTGCCCTTCTTCAGTGGGACTACAGGATTTTCTACCAACAGTCTCTCTAATGAGCTCTTTCTAGGTAGAGGCCTAAGCACAAAGAATGCCCAGTGTTAGCTGGTGGATTCCTGTGCAATGCTTCTGATGGTTGACAGAGTTATTAGGAATGTCAAACATCAGGTAGGTTCAACCCTGAACAATTTCATTAATTATCTACGCAGATTCATATACCAAAGTCTGTGTTTTTCATGATCTTAAAGTACCATGGTTTTCATAGCTCTGTAAAGTAAGATCTTTTCACTTCTGCCCTCTCAAAATTGCCAAAAGGAAGCATCTATTTCTTTTTGCCAGGCAACATGCACTGGGACATTATACTAATCAGTAAAGGGTTATTGATTAGAGGGGCCTAGGATTTATACTTCTGCCTGCCTTACTGGTGAGAAATCTGTTGTCACAAGTGATTAAGCACTTTTTGGAGGTCACACAGCTAGTAGGTGCTAGAATCAGAATGCCATGTCTGTCTGACTCCAACGTCCCTGAACCGCATATTAAGATAAAGTATTCTGGGGAATATTTATGGTAACAGGATATTCATTTGACAGCATGGTCAAATGATATGCAAACAAAAATGGCATCCTGTAAGAATTTTTCATGTAGATAGCCAGGAACCCTATGGATCTCTGGCCTCAAGCAAGAAGAGAAGTGGGACTTATGAAGAGGTTTCTGTGGCACTGTATCCTTACCTCTTCCCTAGTGGGTTTAGGTTTTCTTTTTCCTTGTTCCGTAAATGAAATACACACAAGTGACATGGCATGCCTGTCTCTTGGCCTCAGTCCAGTATGGAGGATTCAGCGACACCCCTCAGAGAGGTTGCTATTTAATTGTGCATCTGTTGGAGGCATAAGGGGCTGGCACCTGACCCCTGCCTGATGTGCTAAAGGGACTTCTGAGCTCATGGGCTAGGGGGGATGTGTTCATTTAGCTTTCACTTCCAGAGTCCTTCAAACTAATATGCATGCCTAGATAACTTTAATGACTGGATGAGACCAGCAGGAGGAAAACTTCCTGCCATTTGGACTATTGGCCTACAAAATCTGCTGGGATGAGGAGGAGACCCTATCAGAGAGGCACCAGTGGAAAATCAGTTGGAGGGACAGAAGATACCACCAGTCTCTCAGGAGTTGCAGTTGGGGGCGATCCAGCTCGCTGGCTTCCAGGAACTTAAGAAAATGCCTTTTAGGATGGCCTAAAATGTTTTCATGTCAGTACCAATGACGTAAGAACTTTCTGTTCCTTTTTGCCTTCCTTTCCTGCTACTCTTCAGGTGGGGAGATGTGTAACCACAGCAGGGCGAATGAGGGAGGAGGACAGTTGAGAAAGCCAGTCACTTCCCTGTGTGTGCCCTCCATTTCAAGACCACAAAAAGCATGCCTTAGCTGGGGGTAGGGTAGGGAAGAAAAGTAGTCTTACCTTGGAATTAAAACGGCCAAGATTTAGTATTGCATTCGACATTTAATTTTGTCACCTAAGGGAGCTGACAAGCTCCATAAATTACCCCAGCTACCCAAGATTAATAACTTTATACTGAAAGGAAGTAAATACATACATATATATGTGTGTGTGTGTGTGTGTGTGTGTGTATACACACACTTTAAGTCAGGGTCTTGCTGTGTCACCCGGTTTAGAGTGCACTGGCACAATCATGGCTCCCTGAAGCATCAAACTCCTGGGCTCAAGTGATTTTCCCACTTCAGCCTCCCGAGTAGTTGGGACCATAGGCATGTGCCACCATTTTTAGCTAAATATTTTGAGAGATGGTTTCTCGCTATGTTGGCTAGGCTGGTCTTAAACCCCTGGCCTCGAGCAATCCTTCCACCTTGGCCTCCCAAAGAGCTGAGTTTACAAATGTGAACCACCATGCCCAGAAACAACAGAGACTTTATTTTGATTGGTATACTTGAGCTGGTTCAGGGACATCTGATGGATATAGAAAGAGACAAAAGATTTTTTGTATAGTACATTAATTAATTCTGTTAACACAAAGCACATAAAATCAGAATGTTCTTCATCATAGTTTTGCCCTTTCCATTGATTGATTGATTGACTGATTGCTACCCGAGCTTCAGTATTGAGACATGCTATCTCTCTGTTCAGTGATGCTGCCGGTACTGAGATACGCTGTCTCTCTATTCAGTGATGCTGCCATTGGTGTTTGTTGGACAATATTTCATTGAACCTAATTTGGAGGAAAAGATGTTTAGCTGTAGATACAATGAAGGGAATGTCAGCTCTTTCCAGCCTCATGTACTCCTGCTGCCGCGTCATGGGCAGCAGGGGTATTGCCTGTGTTGGCTGAGTTCATCGGTTTTCTCCTTACTGTTGCCTTTGATTTTGTCCTTTGGCATAGGTTCCTCTCTCCACTCCAAAAACATATTCCAGAACTGAATTCCTGCAAAATTCTTTTAATTCTAAATGACCTCAAGTGAAACATTCCCCTTTCCTTTCCTAACAAACTTCTCATGAAAGTGATACTAGCTTTCTCTAGTCCTTCTCATGAAATTGATAACTGTCATTCTCTAGTCCTTCTCATTAAAGTGGTAACTAGCTTTCTCTATTTCTTCTCCTCTGGTTACTTTCATATTCATTGGATCTCATGCATGGTACAGGTATTCAGACCCAGGTCTTTGATTTCAAAACTAACTGGCAATGGAACAGCAGGAAATGTCAAATATGTCCCCACTTGTTAAAAAGTCATTTCTTGACAACTATTAGGCATCTGAGATTAGTTATCAATCTACTGTCAATGATTGAGTGCATCTAACAGGTTCAAAATACTGACTTTAAGAACTCATAGAAACAATAGTACAATGGCGGTTACCAGGGGCAGAGAGTGCAGGTGGAAGGATGGGGAGATGTTGGTTAAGGGGTACAAGGTTTAAATTAGACAGCAGAAATACGTTCAGGAGATCCATTTTACAACATGGTGACTGAAGTTAATAGTAATTCATTGTATACTTGAAATGTGGTAAGGGAACAGAGCTTTAATGTTCTTAATCACAAAAACTGAGAAGTATATAAGGTGCTGGATATGTTAATTGATTTGATGTAATCATTCTACATTGTATGCACATAAAGCACAGTCTTGGGATTATAATTACTAGAGAGTGTTCCTCATACTCTACAGCAGTGGTCCCCAGTCTTTGGGACCAGTTTTGTCAAAGACAAGTTCTCCCTGGACCTGGGGTGAGGGTTTATGGTTTTGGAATGATTTAAATGCATTACATTTATTGTGCACTTTATTTCTATTATTATATTACAATACATAATAAAATGTTATACAACTCACCAAAATGTAGCTGAGGTTCTTTTCCTACAACCACAGATGGTGCCATCTGGGGGTGATGGGAGACCACGATAGATCATCAGGCATTAGCTTCTCATAAAGAGCACACAGCCTAGATCCCTCACATGTGCAGTTCATAATACGAGTCATGCTCCTGTGAGAATCTCATGCTGCCACTGACCTGACAGGAGGTGGAGCTCAAGTGATAATGAGAGTGATGGGTAGTGGCTGTAAATATAGATGATGCTTCACTCCTTCACCCACTGCTCACCTCCTGCTGTGCAGCTAGGTTCTTAACAGGCCACGGACCAGTACCATTCCACGGCCCTGGGGCCAGGGATCCCTGCTCCACAGAGTCAGCATTCGGGGGGATACAGCCTTCACTCTCGCATTCTCCAAAGCTCGCAGGCAAAAATTGGACATTGACTGTCCCAAGGTTACTTCTGCCTGTAAAACTAGGTGTCAATTTAATGAATGTTACTACCATTGTCGGGGGAGTGGTAGTCAAACATTAGGTAATTTATAAAAATCGTCACCTGAGAGAGCTGACAAGCTCCATAAATTCTCCCAGCTACCCAAGATTAATAACGTTATACTGAAAGGAAGTAATTATGAATTTGCCTCCAAATCACTTTTTTAAAATCCACACTCCAAAAATTGACTAACTGTCCTCATAAGTCAGACACCACTTATCAGCTTGGTCGCAGCATGGAAAACTCAGAGCTGCCTCTCCTTGATGGCATGCTTCTAAATGCGATAATTAATCGTGCTGTCTTAAGGAAGGCAATTTTTTTTTTTTTTTTGAAACGGAGTCTCGCTCTGTTGCCCAGCCTGGAGTACAGTGGCGTGATCTGGGCTCACTGCAAGCTCCGCCTCCTGGGTTCACGCCATTCTCCTGCCTCAGCCTCCCGAGTAGCTGGGACTACAGGCACCTGCCACCTCGCCCGGCTAATCTTTTTTTTTTTTTGTATTTTTAGTAGAGACGGGGTTTCACCATGTTAGTCAGGATGGTCTTGATCCCCTGACCTCGTGATCCGCCCACCTTGGCCTCCCAAAGTGCTGGGATTACAGGTATAAGCCACGGCGCCGGCAGGAAGGCAATGTTTAATGCCCATTAAGCAAACGCTTGTTATTTTGGTAGGCAGGGCCTCTTTGTCTGCTCACCAAAAAAGATGGATGCTATTCAATAGTAAAGTAACAAATTAATGCTTAATCACTTATGATTTTTAAAGTTCTGCACACATTTATGGATTCAATAAAGTATCATTTTTCAATGGAATTGTTAGAACCCCAAATCTCAGTGTCACACAACATACCCTTGTAAAAAACCTGCACATGTACCCACTTAATCTAAAATTTAAAAAGAAAAAAAAATTATTGCTTTGTAGCCTAAAATGTTAAAAATACAAATACCAGTCTGCCAACTATCAGATCCTGGAGACATCAAATCAAAACTTGTTTGTTAAAGGTGTCATTATGAACACCTGGGTTAATAAAGGAAGTACAGGACAAGACACATAAAGGGTGAAGAATAACAGATACTGTTTTAGAGCCTCCCATGAAGGTAACTGTAAGGTGTCAGGAGAAACACCCTCAGAGCATCGGAAGTGACTCTGCAAAGGACTCCTGGGGTTTGCTCGTCCAGGTCTCACAGTGAACTGGCCTGTCACAGCGCATGTGCATGCCAACATCACCTACAGGCAGTGGGTTTCAGGTTGTTTACTGACTTAGCTCTGGCCTTCAAAACTTGGCAGCAGTTTCAGGAGTCTCCTGTTTGAGGCTGAGATGAAGCTTATTTGTTCTATGGGTTGATGTTGTAGGTATGCCTTTGAAAAGCAAACAAAGAAAAAAACAGTGATAAAGCTGGGTGTGGTGGCTCATGCCTATAATCCCAGCACTTTGAGAGGCTGAGGTGGGTGGATCCCTTGAGCCTAGGAGTTGGAGACCAGCCTGGGCAATATGATGAAAACAAATATATATATATATAAATTAGCCAAATGTGATGGCAGCTACTTGGGAGGCTGTTAGCCAAGTGTAGTCCCAGCTACTTGGGAGGCTAAGGCAGAAGGATTGATTGAGCCTGGTAGGGAGAGGTGGCAGTGAGCTGAGATTGCATCACTGTACTCTAGCTTGGTCAACAGAGACAAACAAACCCAAAACAACCAGTGATGATTCTTTTTGTCATACCTTTATTCTATTTTCTAAGGGTCCCCTGATATTGGCTTTATCTGTCTATCTTAGAGCAGGCACTTATTAATTCATCCTGCAGTGGTTAGCAAAAACAGTTAGGGTCTAGCAGAAAAGGAGAGAGGTAAAACTATTACATATATGCATGCTGTAGGGGTGGGCTCAGTACAGATAATGTGTCCTCATGTGCAGAGTGCTGTCTTCCTCTTGAGTGAGTTCTATTCCCCTGGCCTCGGCTGGCAGATACTCCTTATCATGGGGTGGTTGTAACTTGCAGCAAGGCTTCCTGGAGAGCTTTTGGGGCTGGGTACCTAACTACAAGCAGAAACCTTGGATTCTAGCATTCCCACTGACCTTTCACCAGTCTAGTCCTTGTGTCTGTAGTGTCTTTTCATAAACACAAGCTATTATTGGAGAGATTGGTAGAATATTGGATAGGAAAGTACTGTGAACAACAGTAAGTGCACATGGATTGCATAAGGTCCCTGGGGTTGATTTATGGATGCTGCTTTGAGAAATGATAGAAATGAGGATATTTATGACAGTTCTCAGATATGACAAGACAGTGAGCTCCCAATCAGCTTGGTCTTCCATTTCGCTACTTCCCTAGACTCTCGGGGGCATAATTTAGGGACCTCCATCAGTTCTTACAGAAGGGATCTTACATCAGTTCCTCCATCAGTTCTGCTTGCAATGAGCTGAATAGTCCCCCCAAAATCATGTGATTTCCATGACCTCAGAATGTGACCTTTTTTGGAAATAGGGTTATGGCAGATGTAATTAGCAAAGTTAAGATGAGGTCATACGGGAGTAGGGTAGGCCCCCATCCAATATGACTAGTGTCTTTATCAAAAAAGAGGACACTTGTGGAAACAGGATGTGAAGATGCACAGCATAAATGCCCTATTTTCACAAAGGCAAAAATTCGGGTGATAGATCTATGAGCCAAGGAGTGCTAGCAATCAAATACATGCTTTATATATCCTTGATTGTTTTCACATTTGCAGTTTTTATCCAGGTTGATATTCATAAGATATACTTTTGCACAGGTAATCATCTCCAGTTCTGTATTAATCTTAAACCCTAAGACTATTTATAATTCCCCAGGAGAAAGCTTCAGAACTCATTGTACAATTTAAGCAATAAATCTGCAAATGCTTAGTAAGACCTCCCTCTGTCTGCTGCTAGACACAAACTTGTGGACAACAGAAATAAAAAGAAAATGTGGCTTCCCTTGGGAGAATTACACAGTGGATTTAGGGAGACAAGATGTGAATGGCCTCCAAACTAAGATGCAGAAGGGCAAAATTACTTGCCCAAGATCACGCAAGTAATGACTCACAGAACTGGAATTTAAGTCCCACTGTGCCTGATCTACAGCTAAGGTTTTTACTGTTTCCTAAGGCACACAGAGTTGGTTACAGTGGATATTGATCATATCACCAATGTAATCTTGCAAATGAAGACATTTCCATTTGTAGAGCATAAGAATGAGAATAATCAAATGATTCCGAATGCCTTCCATTCTTTTTGAGATATCAGATTACCAGTTAACTCTTTCAATATTGCAATACCTTTAGCATAAATGGAAGACTAACAATTCTACCACCCTGAACAAACCAAAAAGTGGCCTGAGTAACTAACTGTGCAAAACACAAATCAAATTCATTGGCCAGTTTGAAACTATCCCCAAGCCACAAGGACGCAGCAGAAGAAAATTCTGCAGTTGAAATTCTTCTTCCTTATTAGGTCAACATTATTATGTTTAGCTGATTTAGGGAATTTGCTTCATCACAAATTCAAATCTGGTTCTATTTTAGGCATCAATGACATTTTATAGTTAGGCTCAACCACCAAAAATTCTAGCAATTTCTATTATGGTTTTGAAATAAGCCATAATAAACTGGTCTGCTTACCAAATGACTGAGTTTTCACCATGCAAAATGAAGAAACTATTGACTGGAATTTTTTTTTTTTTTTTTTTTTTTTTTGAGACGGAGTCTCGCTCTGTCGCCCAGGCTGGAGTGCAGTGGCGCGATCTCGGCTCACTGCAAGCTCCGCCTCCCGGGTTCACGCCATTCTCCTGCCTCAGCCTCCCGAGTAGCTGGGACTACAGGCGCCCGCTACCACGCCCGGCTAATTTTTTGTATTTTTAGTAGAGACGGGGTTTCACCGTGTTAGCCAGGATGGTCTCGATCTCCTGACCTCGTGATCTGCCCGCCTCGGCCTCCCAAAGTGCTGGGTTGACTGGAATTTTTAAAAAATTATTTTACTCTGCCAGTTAAAATTTTACTTCTTCAAGACAGGAGCTTCTGTGAATCAGGAATGTTACTGATTTGGTCTGATAATTCCAGTGGTTCTTTATGTATAGAGGTATGACACCAGATTAAACTTATAGTATTTCCACAGTGTTGGGTAATACATGCTGAATATTGATACACATTCCAAATATCTCATCTGAAGCCCTGATAGCTAGGTGTTTTCTGGACTTCAGTTATGCATATTTTAGGGAGATAATATATGCCTTTACCTTACCTTCCAAGACATTCTCAGCAGGGAAGGACAACACTCAATAATCAAACATATTAATATTTCTGCAGAAAAAATATACGAATATTCCTGTCAGTGGGATGCAGGAAGACCACAAGTGGTATAATAAAGTACTTTTTTGTTGCAATGCACTGATAAATTAAATTGTGTAATGACAGACCATCAATACCCTGGACATTTCCTATTTCTAATGTCAGAAAGAGTCAATTCAAAATAAGTTAAATACCTTTACACATAATTGCAACATACATCTGTGACCTTTGGATTCTTGGATTTTTTTAATAACAGGATGCATGAGGGATGTGATTGGTCTCTCATTTTTTTAAGAAGAGGTTGCATCTCAGGGATGTCATTGGTCTCTCTGAGTTGACCATGTATTGATGGCTACAGAATAAGTATGATAAAGGAACCACTTCTTTAAGGACAAAACGGCAATGTGAAAAATGACCCTTTAAAAGACTTCTCCCATTGCCATATGCCCTGTGAACCTGGATTTCTCTCAGAGCATTTTCTCTCTAGATGAAAAAATTCTTTTACCTGCTCATTCTTGAGGCCTACAATAAACACATTACACATTCTAACCCTATCATCTAGGTGAGGGGTTGGCAAACATTTTCTATATAGGACTACTTAGTTAATATTTTCAGCCTTGTGGAGGATACAGTCAGCTCTGCAATTGTAGTTCAAAATTAGATGTATAAAGGAATGGGCATGGTGTATTTCAATAAATCTTTATTTACAAATACAGGTGGTAGGCTGGGTTTGTCCATGACCATACTTATGTGACCCCTGTTGCAAGGTTTTTTTTTTTTACTGTCATTCACAATTCCATTATTATTATTATTATGCTTATCTATGCTTATCAGTATACAGCAAACATGGAGTTAAAGAACATGCACATCTGCTCTTGATGGAATACAAAATTCCTTGGCCATAAGGTTATGTTATATACATTTCATATTGAGGAAAAGAGCAGTACCTAAAACATTTCATTTTTAATGAAGTCTCAAGGAGTGAGGACACTCCAGAAACTATATTGTTTTATGGTTTTCTGTTAGCCCAGATTGTCTGCTACTGGTTACTTGTTATTAGATTACTCAAAAAATGTTTCTCAGGAAATTCTTATTGGCATGGTGATGAATAGATAAATTGAATTAACATTTCCATCATCATGGATGTTGGCTTTTTCCAATCATTGACAAATTTACTTTGTGTTTGCCTGGAGCATTGACACAACCAGACCGTCAATCTGAGCTTGCAAACATCTCTTCCATTGGCTTTTGTTAGGTGTTATGAATGGAACAAGATGGTTCAGTCTGGGTTTTGATGCTCACTACAACAAAATGGGCATTACAAAAATCATTTGATTTTCAGGGTGTTTTGTGTCTCAGAATTATGGACAATGGATAGCAGACCCCAATGCCATTTTTAGATCGCAATCATTTTTAGCCTTGTACAACTGGAACTTCATTTGGAAGGGGCATGCAAATGATAAAAAAAAATGGCCAAGCAAATGATGGTTATGAAGATTATAGAGACTCAAGGGGATAAATATGCATACTTATTTTTGAACACACAAATCAGAATGGAGGTTCCTCATAGTAAAGCAGGATTACACTCTTGATCTTCTTCGATCTTCTTTGACTATGGTTTGCATTATATATTTTATAGAAAAGACATACTTGCATATAAGTTGTGAGAGTAACAGAAGAACCACCATAAATAGTTACTAGGTATGATTGTTTGAGTCTGCTGGGTACCATTTCCCTCAACCCCTAAATTTGCCTGTGCTTGTGGCCACTACCACTTTAAGGAGTATTTGATAAGTGGTCTAACACAACATTCCTAAACCTTGGCACTATTGACACTTGGGAGAAGACCATTCTTTGTTGATTGAGGGTGGGCACTGGGCTACATAATTCTTTTTGGTGGGGGCTGCCCTGTGCATTGTAAGATATTTACCAGAATTTCTGCCCTCTGCCTACTGGATACCATTAGCATCCCCCTATTGCAATAACCAAACCTGTTTCTACATATTACTTGCTATTCCTAGTGGGGTAAAGTTGCTACTGGGTGAGAACCTATCTAATATTAATTTGCAAAATGGCCTCGGAACATGGGCCTTTAGATTTTCCATTGTGCTGTTTCATTCTGTAAGTATAGGCTCTTAGTGGCAGTACCACTGTGATAGGCATTGTGACTTAATCCCTTCAGATGTGTTCTTTGTCTTCATTTCTCACTGGGGGGTTGGTAAGCACTGAGTATCAAGTATGGGTCAAAGAGCTTTCATGCTGATACCTTAAAATATAACTTCTGGGCTGGGTGCAGTGGCTCATGCCTGTAATCCCAGCACTTTGGAAAGTCAAAGTGCACAGATCACTTGAGGCCAGTAGTTTCAGACCAGCATGATCAACATGATGAAACCCTGTCTCTACTAATAGTGCAAAAGTTAGCCAGGTGTCATGGTACGTGCCTGTAATCCCAGCTACTCAGGAGGCTGAGACAGGAGAATCGCTTGAACTTGGGAGGCAGAGGTTGCAGTGAGCTGAGATCATGCCACTGGGCAAACGAAAGGGAAAATAAACATCTTTCTTATGTCACAAAAAGAGTCATCCAATTGTTCAAACGCACATCCATGCAAACTTGGTCTCACCTGATGATGTCATGGTGAATGGACAGAAGGGGCAACCCTGCCCAGTGGTTTTGTCATTCCTGCAGTTGGAGGTTAAGGATCAATATTGACAGCACACTATTCCATTTCAACAAGAATCTAACATGAAAAGCAATGCTGGAAGATTGATTACAGCTGCAAATACCATCTCTGGGGGGAAAAACATTTTTCTGGGACTCTGATTGAATCTCAGAAATTGTTGCTAGAAGCCTAACTTCAATAAAGCAAAATCCACATTTACAGAAATCTATATGGATAGTAATTTTTCTCTAATGTGATGTTCTCTTCTGAATATTTTTTACCAAGTGGTATTATGCTTTATATTTCAAAGCATAAACAATATATTTATACATTAATAAATTGTTCAAGACCATATAGTTGTTTTGTCTAAATGTCAACAAGTTAAAAGAAAAGACTTATTAAGTAGGTTCAAAGCTATATTCCTGGTTTTCTTCTGAGACCATTTTCTATTCATGTCTAGGACTCTGTATCAGAGGTCAAAAAAAAAACCTATTTCTTAAAAGCTTAGATAGTAAATAAATATTTCCAGCTTTGAGGGGCAAATAGTATCTGTCACAACTATTCAATTCTGATATTGCAGCACAAAAGCATTAAGGGAGTGGAGGCAGCTGTGTTCCGATACACTTTGTATTACAGACACTGAAATATGAGTCTTACCTACTTTTCACATATCCTAAAATAATATCCCTTTTTCAACCATTTAAGCATGTGAACCTTCTATGAAAACAGGTGTCAGGACAGATTTTTCTTGTGGGCCATTGTTTGTACATACCCAGCCCTATTCAGAAAATATCTACTGAATGTTTGTTATGGTCAACAAATGAGATATGGTCTCTGCCCTCTTGATCCTTAGAGCTGTGGAAAGGACAGCTGTCACATGAATACATCAGGAAATAAATGAATCTATTATGCAAGTAGTAATAATTGCTATCTGGGGAAAAAGAGGTGCTATGATAGTCAACAGTGGGGGAGCGTGCTTCATATAGGGTAATGATGGAGGGCTTCCTTGCGGCAGTGGTGTAAGCCAAGACATGAGGATGGGTAGGAGTTAGGCAGAGAGTGGGCAGAAGAAAAGTGGGGAGAGAAATCCCCTAGAACAGCAGTCCTCAACCTTTTTGGCACAAGGGAACATTTTTGTGGAAGACAATTTTTTCCAAGGGTGGAGATGGTTTGGGGATGATTCAAGTGTGTCACATGTATTGTGCACTTTATTTATATTATTATTACATTGTAATATATAATGAAGTAATTATACAACTCACCATAATGTAGAATCAGTGGGAGCCCGGAGCTTGTTCTCCTGCGACTAGACAGGCCCATCTGGAGGTGATTGGAGTGACAGGTCATCAGGCAGTAGGTTCTCATAAGGAATGTGCAACCTAGATCCCCTGCATGCGCAGTTCACAATAGGGTTTGTGCTTCTATTAGAATCTAATGTTACCACTGATCTGACAGGAGGCAGAGCTCATGCAATAATGTGTGTGATGGGGAGCAGCTGTGAATACAGATGAAGCTTGGCTTACCTGCCATTCACCTCTGGCTGCACAGTCTGGTTCCTAAGAGGCCTGGGGGTTGAGAACCCTGCTCTAGTAAAGAAAGAGCTCATGAGGCTGGGCACAGTGGCTCACACCTATAATCCCAACATTTTGTCAGGCTGAGGATCCATTTAATCCAGGAGTTTGAGACCAGCCTGGACATCATAGTGGGAACCTATCTCTACAAATACTACAAAAATTAGTCAGCTGTGGTGCTGCAGCTGTAGTCCCAGCTACCTGGGAGGCTGAGGGGGAGGATTACTTGAGCCTGGGAATTCAAGGCTGCAGTGAACCATGATCACCCCACTGTCTGGGCAGCAGAGTGAGACCCTGCATCCAAAAAAATTTTTTTTTTAAAAAAGATCATGTCATTAAGTGTGTCAACATATGATTACCCGGTGTGTGATTATTGATCTTTTGAATGAATTCACAGGAAGAGCCTGATGCTGTTGATTTGACTCTGCTAAGAGCCCGTCAGTTGCTGAACCTGCACATGGTCATCTCAATAAGTTAAGATCTTCCTGGCCAGGCGCGATGGCTCATGCCTGTAATCCCAGCACTTTGGGAGGCTGGGGTGGGTGGATCATGAGGTCAGGAGTTCGAGATGAGCCTGACCAAAATAGTGAAACCCCATCTCTACTAAAAATACAAAAAAATAGCCAGGCATGGTGGCAGGCACCTGTAATCCCAGATACTCAGGAGGCTAAGGCAGGAGAATCACTCGAACTGGGGATGTGGAGGATGCATTGAGCTGAGATCGTGATCAAGCCATTGCACTCCAGCCCAGGCAACAGTGTGAGAATCCATCTCAAAAAAGAATCTTCCTAAGGACAATGGCGCAAGATCGTCTTCAGCTGTTCATAGCATGAGTATGGGAGATGTGTGTGTTTGTATCTTCACTCTGATACTCACATGTTTGACTCACTCAGACCATGTCGTCTAAGTCAAATAGTGGTATGCAGTGACCTTCATAATGGTGGTCAGGACACTCTGATATTGCAGGGATGACATGAACATGGTGCTATTGCCACTATCTTTCATTCAGAAAGAACTTTCCATCAAAGGGTCAAAGGGGAGCATCTGTGGGGCAAATATATTTTTATAGAGAAAGACTGTGCTGGGCCACTGGGGGCAGCCTGCATAATCTGATGAGAATAAAGAAGTGGCCTGTTATGTGGCAAGTCTAGAGGAATATAGGGGTGGGGTCTTATGAATGATTTAATGCATCCTTTGGACACTTGAGGTGGCTTTAGTTGAATCAGCAAAGATACAGAACAATGGCATAGTGGGAAAGCTCACAGTACACTTGCTCTCAACTGGTCTGCTGCTGTAATACCGGAGGGGCAGAATGGGGCCCCTATCTGCAGGAGGAGCTCCTCTGCCTTGTGGAGGTGAAGGATGAGGGCATAACCAGGTCTCTCCCGACAGGAAGAACTCTTCACCCTAGTGGAGTGAGGGCTAATTGCATACCCAGGTTTCTCCCTGCAGGAAAAGCACTTCCCCCTTGTAGAGGTGAAGCCTGAGGGTGTAACCAGGTCTCTCCCTTCAGGAATAGCCCCTCCTCCTGGGGGAGGTGAAGGCTGAGAGCCTACCTAGGTCCCTGCAAGAAGAGCTCCTCTCCCTGGCGGAGGTGAAAGCTGAGGGCATAAGCAGGCTTATCCTTGCAGGAGGAGCTCCTCCCCTTGGTGGAGGTGTGGGCACACCCAGGTCCCTCCCTGCAGGAGGAGCTTCTTCCACTGATGGAGGTGAGGGTTGAGGGCATACCCAGGTCCCTCCCAGCAGGAAGAGCTCCTCCCGCTGGTGAAGGTGAGGGCTGAGGAGCAGAGCATGGTCCGTCCTTGCAGGAAGAGCTCTTTTCATTGGTGGGAGATGAGTGTGCATGGTGAAAGTCTTTGCAGTGGATGAAGGAAACATAGTTTTAAAAACCTCTGCAGGGAAGAATCCCTGTTATTTCATACCCATTCTTGGACATACCTGCACCCTATGGCACTGTACTATCAAGACACCAAGGGGCACAATATTGACCATTCAGAGCATTTTATAGTCCCCCATAGTAGCTGGCTTAGAGTAATGGGCAGGAAGATGTTTTCAGATGTAGTTGGTTCAAATCAGTATGAAAAGACTCCCAAAGTCAGAAACCTCAAGGCTGGGGATTCCATCCCACATGCTGGCATTATATTCCTAGGGTGCTTTTTCACCACTGTATGCCTTAGTTTCTTCCTTTGTAAAATGTGACTCAAGGGGCCAGTCATGGTGGCTCACGCCTGTAATCCCGGCACTTTGGGAGGCCAAGGCAGCTGGATCACCTGAAGTCAGGGGTTTGGGACCAGCCTGGCTAACACAGTGAAACCTTGTTTCTACTGAAAGTACAAAAGTTAGCCATGTGTGGTGGCATGTGCCTATAATCCCAGCTACTGGGGAGGCTGAGGGAGGAGACTTTCTTGAACAGGGAGGTGGAGATTGGAGTGAGCCAATATCAGACAAATGCACTCCAGCCTGGGCACCAGGGCAAGACTCTGTCTCAAAAAATATAAATAAATAAAAATAAATGGAAAAAAATGGATGAATGGCAGTTTCAGAGAGTGCTTATAAAAAGTAAGAGAAGACCTCTGTTTTAGGAAAAATGTGGTGAAAACCTGGATAATCCTGTGAGCCAGGGAGACTGGAGCTGAAAGCGGGCTTGCAGGGTGATTTAATGATTTTCAGAACGCAGCTTCAGGGGTTACAGATAGTAGTAGTTATGTGTCAGGGTAGACTTTGCCCTTCAGAGAGAATTTGGTAAAGTTTGGAGACATTTTTGGTCATCAGAACTTTGGAGTGGGGTGCATGTAGTGGGTGGAGGCCAGGCGTGCCGCTAACCATCCCACGGTGCACCCACAGTTCCTCACAAATCCGAAATGGCGACAAACCCTGCTCACTGCAACAAGAGGCTTTAACTTAATCTTCTGTTTCTTCCTAGAATAGTCAGTTGTCTTTTACTTTGAGGGATATGAGTCAGAATAAGAATTAAAGAGAACAAAAGGACAATGACATTTTAGGATTTTTGTTTCTATTAAATTTAAACCCCATAACAGAAGATTCTCTGTCTGGAAGCAATATCCGTGGAGGCTTAAAGCCTCAGCTTCTACTCATGCCTAACGCTGAGCAGCTTAACAAATTCTTTTTCCCTTGTCATTCCTGTAATTTGTTCTTTAAAAGGATTATGTGTTCCTTTTTTCTGATTCAGAAACAAACTTTTTCAGCATTTTAAAGAATAATTTATTTTCTAAAGCCATTGTTAATACACAGGCTGGCTTGAATTTCTGACCTCACTTTCAAGGTTTTTAGCATCAGCTAAGTAGGGTTTTATTATGATTTATTCCTCTGGAAACTGTACATTTTGCAGAGAAATGCTTTAAGTACCTTTTTTTTTTTTTTTTTTTTTTTTGGTCCTTGTAATCTACAGGAAAGATTGGCATTCTCTAGACCCAGATAGAAAGGCTCTGAAAAAATTGGCAGACACAGTAGCTAATTAAAAATATGCAGCTGAAAGGTTTATGATTAATTCATGATAAACTAATACAGCATTCATTATCCTTTCTTAATGTTCTGAGGTAAAGTGGGAGTGTTGCAGTGGCCGTTAAAATATTTGTTCTAAATATCTAACAACAGTGTCCACTCTATCTTTACCAGCATAAAGCCATCTTCGTGGAGGTATTTTAATATGCTTCACAATTCAGAATTCTGGGTTCTTGCATAGAGAGTATTAAACTCTTTCCCTCCCCTAAATGGATGAAGACTTTGGGGATTGTCAGAAAAACGCTTATATTGTCTGTAGTTTTCCTGATTTGTGCCCCTCCAAAAAAAAAGAAGGCTTACTGATAGGAAAATATAATTTTATTATGAATTTAGAAAAGAGAATTTCCTTTGTATGACATGCCATTTTATTTGAAAGAGCCTATCAGAAGTCTTTTGGCTTAATTTTGCTTAGGCATATACCAGAATAGTGCGTATATTTTTTTTATTCCTTTGATGGTGAAAAATTTTTTAAAGTGCACTGTAATGCTTAATAAGGCTATGTTAGGGTTGCGAATGTAGATGATAAGAAGCACATTTTAGTATCAAGTTATTAATCCCAACCACAAAAATTATTACTGCCTGTTGTGTATCAGAAAAAATAAAGGAGAAAAAGTTAAGCGGTAAATGGGTAGGGGAGATGGAGCAATTTGGAACTTATAGCCTTAACCATGTGTTGATTGATTATAGGGTTCCTGGAATCATGTATGATGATGAAAAAAAATACAAACTCTGCCAAAATATCTAAAGTGGTTTATTCTGAATTGATATGAGTAACTATGGCATAGGGAAACAGTCTCAAGAGGTCTTGAGAGAGTGCACTCAAGTTGGTTGGATTATAGAATTGCAAGTAAAATTGGTTCAGCCCCAAAACGAGGGATATCTCAAAGTAGAGGCTTCCAAATTATAGGCAGGTTTAGGGATTCTTTGGTGGGCAATTGATTGAAAGAATTAAGTTTCGTCTAAAGACTTGGAGTCAGTGGAAAGGAATGGTTTAAATAAGGAGCCCTGCGACCTGTCATGTGATGCCATACTAGAGTCAGCTGGGAAAGGAAGCCACATTATGCCAGATTAATTAAAAACAAAAACAAAACAAAACAAAAAACAACAAAAACACGTTTAATGAAATTTCGTGGTTGGCAAGGTATGATTCAGGGACACTACACAGGTGTTGTTGTGTCCTTACAGGATTATATCAAGAGGTAGTGAGGGCTGAACTCTGACCTTTTTTTCTTGCTCAACGTCCTTACTAAGGGGCCTAGGGATTCATACCTTGCAAATAATGAGATTTCATTAAATGTATTGTTTTTAACTTTTTTAATTTCCCCGAATAAGGAGGGGTAGTTTTGGGAATGGACTGTTGTCATCCCTCCTTTAATGTCAAACTGTAAACTAAAATCCTCCCATAGTTGGCTTGGCCTACCCAGAAATGAGCAAGAGAACTTAGCTTGTGACATCAGAAGCAAGATGGAACCAGTTATGTTAGATTTCTCTCACTGTTGTAATTTTGCAAAGGAATTTTTTCAAATTCCTATTGCTTCATTATGTGATACAGTCATGGATCACTTAATGATGGGGATGCATTCTGAGAAATGTACCAACAGTTGATTTTTGTCATTGTGTGAACATCATACAGTGTACTCACACAAACCTACTATATATGTAGGCTGTATGGCATTACCTATTGCTCCTACACTAAACAACTGGACAGAATGTGCCTGTATTGAATATTGCAAGGAGCTGTAACACAATGATAATTATTTGTGTATCTAAACGTGTCTAAAAACAGGAGGTACTGTAAAAATATGGAATTATAATCTTATAGGACTACCATTGTATATATGATTCATCATTGCCAGAAACATCACCACGTAGTACATGACTGTATTTATAAAATAAGTATGGAGGCTGCAGTGTTGCTTTTCCATGTTGCTTCTTTATGTAGTATTTAGCACATGGGAGATTTTTGTCAAGAAGTGCAATTAGAACTTGTCTTTGGTAATACCTGTACCACCCTCCAAACTTCTCACCTTCTACTTTCTTTTACCCAAAACAGAGTTCACATGACAACATAATCACTGCTGAATACAATCTCTAGAGTTGTCTCAGGATTTATAAACATAGTGATGGATTTCACACTTCCCATTCTTCATGGTTTGTGGAATCAGAATTATCACAGGTGCTGTGGCTCTGTGGACTTTTAAATTAGAGCAAGAGCAACAAAGCCTGTCTTGCTTTTTCTTGGCAAGCACACCTTGTCTTCAGAATTGAGAATAACTTTGTTCTATGTTTTAAATTATAGTGTGTAAAAATGCTTAAGGAATAAAACATTGCATTTATAAGAAGACGTCTTACACAGACACTCCAGTCAACACTTAATTTGCTACCTTTACCTCCATTCTAGTGAAAGCACTTAGAATGTTTGACTTAATGTGCAGTGCTTGGCAAACTGCTCCTATTGGAACCCCGAGGTTCCTCAGGCTGCTCCTGGGAACTTCTTCAGCCACTGGGGGGAATTGTCAGAGATTTAGTTTCACCCTCTTCTATAAGAACAGCACTGATTTTCATTCTATTAGACATTCTTATGCACAGAAGTTCCTGTGACTAAAAACAATTACAACCACTACTTTATCTACCTGTTCTGTTTTATAACAGCAGGCAACAATGAAGCTGAAAGATGTTAAGCTGTTTATGTAAAGACTAGATAAGGTCTGTGTATACCCTCTGCTGCATCTTGGCCATGATTTCTTTAGTTGAATTCCTGCATAGGGGAGGAAAAAGTAATTTTCCTCTACCCTTTCTGAGTTCTTATATAGTACAGACCCTTGTAACAAAAGGCAGATAAACGAGAAAACAAGTAGAAGTTTATTGACATGGATACTTCCTGTTTATCTGCGAAATACCCAAGGAAAATTGACTAAATTTCAAATCTCCCCTCCTTGTTCCTTCCCTCCGTCCCTCCCTTCCTTCCTCCTTCCCTCCCTTCCCTCCCTCCATCATCAATTACTTATGATGTCCTTCCTCACTGTGAGATCATGGATAATCATGATAGTTTTTCTGAGCTGCTTCATGGGCTCACATGGCCCTAGGCTGGGTGCTGCTCAGTAGCAGGGCTTCTGTTGCCTGTTGTTGTAAAGGCACTGGTGGGCTTGGGCATGTGTAGTACCCAGACTCCATGGACAAGGGAAAAAGAAATATAAGATGTGGGGCTGTCTGAGTAAAATAGACTCTTGGGCAATTGCAAGATCATCCATGCTAGCAAAGGAAAGCTCTTAGCAGGAGTAGCTCTTTTCTAGTTTAATTACTTTGAATTACGTAAGAGGCTTTCCCTATCTACACACCAATGTCCTTATTTTTTAGTGAAGAAGAGAAAGAACAGGAATGTAATTATTGCAATTATTATTCATCATGTTTTGTTGTTCCCCCCAAGCTAAAAGTGACAATTCTGTGCTGTGGTTCTTTGGGGATCTTACATGTGAGAGTGCAACCACAGAAAATGGTATCAGTTGGACATGAAGGCTTTCTGCCCATACTGACCAGCAGCTTGCTTGGGAGCAGAGATCTTCAGCTTGAGGAGCAAATAGTGGGCACTCATTCACTGACTTTATTCAGGGACCGATTCAACTGTGACTGGAGGGGTTGGCTGATGTAAAACTCTACGTTGGAAATTATTTGGTTTATTTTCTCATATATGTGTGTGTGTGTATATATATATATAGTTATTGTTGTTCTTGAGACAGGCTCTTTCTCAGTTGCAAGAGTATGGCACTCCCAATTGGAGTTCAGTGATGGACGGCATCATAGCAATCTCTTCCTCCTGGGCTCAAGTGGTCCTCCCGCTTCAGTGTCCTGAGTAGCCAGGATCATAGGCACACACCACCACCATACTTGGCTAATTAAAAAAAAAAAAAAACGTAGAGACAAGATCTTGCTATATTGCCCAGTCTGGTCTAGAGCTCCCAGGTTCAAGCAATCTTCCTGCCTCAGCCTCAAAATGTGCTGGGATTACAGGTGTGAGCCACCATTCTCAGTGGAAATCATTTTTCCTCTGGATTTCACAGTCATTGCATAATTGTCTTGTACCACTCAGGGGAACTGCCAAAGCCGGAACTTGATTGTATGTAACCCATCCACTCACTGCACTCTCTATACAGTTAGGATTTTGTCTTGGTGCTCTGTATCCTAAGGTTCCATGAAAATTAGCTTTGCTCTGGGTTAATTTTTCTTCACTGTTTTTGGCCCCCAGGTCTGTTCAATATTGAAGTTCACGCCTTTCAAGTCTAAACCTATGTCTTGCTTTATTGCTTTGGCAATCTCTCTCTCTCTCTCTCTCTTTCTCTCTCTCTCTCCCCCTCCCTCCCTCCCTCTCTCTCTTTCTCTCTCTGTCTCTTCCTCTGGAATATCTAATAGCTAAGATTGGGCCCCTGGTTATGATATCCTAATTTTCATGTCTTTTTTCTCCTGTTATCATTCACCTTGCCTTTTTGTTCTAATGTTCTTTGAGATGTCCTCACCTTAATCTTTCCAGCATTCTGCTGAATTATTTCATTTATCATGTTCTGTGTTTTCAAAAGTTCTATTTTGTTCTCTAAATGTATTGTTCTCATACCATCCTTTTATTATTTATTTGCTTATTTATCCATTAGTCTTTTCTTTCTTTTTTTTTTTTTTTTTTTTGGTTCTTTGATTGCTGGCCATATATGACCAGCCATATGATATTGCTGATAATCATATTTTATCTATAAAAATGACTATTTCTAATGATTCATCCTATTAGTTTGATAAAGAGATGTTGTCCCACTTGTCAACAATGAAAACCCTTCCTTTTCATTCCAAACCAATAAAGAACAGTGTGATCCAAGGGTCTTAAATAAGAGGTATGCATGTATCTGTATGAATAAAATTTGAATCCTAATTCAAGGAAGTATGAACCTAAAAGCTATGCTGAAAGATTTTGTTGTGAATTTAATTATTATTTGATATGTCATCTAGACCAAATGTTATCAGAGAAAAAAAAAACAGTTGCTTAGTTTAGATTTGGCAAACAAAATTGATATTCTTTTTCTATACTTTATTTTAATAGCTTGAAATTTTCATTAAAAATTCCACTTTGGGCTGGGGGCAGTGGGCAATGGCTCAGGCCTGTAATTCCGGCACTTTGGGAGGCCGAGGAGGGTAGATTACTTGAGTTCAGCAGTTGGAGACCAGCTTAGGGAACATGGTGAAACCCCATTTCTAACAAAAATGAAAAAAAAAAAAAATCAGCTGGGTGCAGTGGCACACTCCTCTAGTCTCAGCTCCTCAGGAGGCTGAAATGGGAGGATCCTTTGAGCCTGGGAGGAGAGGAAGGTGCAGTGAGCTGCCATTGCATCACTGTACTTCAGCCTGGGCAGCAGAGTGAGACCTTGTCTCAAAACAAAAAGAAAAAAAAAAAGAAAAAAAAATTACCTTTCTTCCCTCATGCAAAGGAAACACATTTTAAAGAGTTGCTGATTGATTTTTCTGCATTGTCCAGTTGAACTGAGTTGAGTTTTTATTCAAGTGACAACTAGCACACTGTCCTCAAATCTCTTTTGCATTGCAGACATGACTTTGATTACATTGTCTTCAAGCATTTCCATGATATGTGCAAGTTACAGGGATTAACAATGTACCTGGAACTGGAGGATTGGATAATGGTGGTTAACTTTTAACAATTCACTCAAGAAATTCTTAGTTATGAGCACTTTTAGGCAGGGATGAAGTTTAGTTTTTCATATTGATTGAATTTATAAATATTAATGTTTTTCTAAATAATGTCATAAAATGATCTTTTAGTGATGAAATAACCAAGTCTCAATAGTAAGTTTTCACCATATAGTATAATGTAGTAATAGGGAAATTCAGAGTTCAAAGTATTTTAATGTTGTAAACCAGTTTTGAGCTTTAATGAGAGAAGAATCATTATGCACAAATGAATTTGCATGTCTATTTTATGGTGTTTCTGTAAAATCATTTATAATTATAAACTGGTCAGGAACTTAACAAATAACTGAAGAATTATGCTATACCTTAACAGAAAGAATCAGCTACTATTCACTTACTTTTAGCAGTCTCAAGGGTATACATATCTGTTTAATATCATGACTTCTCCCCAAACAGATGCATGTAAATATTTTCCCTGTTGTACTTTGCTCTAGGAGATGAGGGGGCAAAAGAATGGTTTCCCAGGCTTCTGGTTTGTAGGACAACAGATAAAACAAGCAGTCAGTTGGATATTATTGGAATCTTCGACAGAGAGCCTGAAATGCTCATTTCTCTATTATGGTAAAATCCAACATTTGCTTCACACATGGTGATACAAAGCAGTAGCATTTTCCATAGTATTTGCAATACAGTGAAAGTATAAGTTAATGAAACTTGGGCATTAGCTCTTTCTCTCCAAGAGAGAATGAGTGTTCCTTTAACCCTTTTTAATTTTTTTTTACAAGTGGTTTTGTTTATTTTTTTAATTTTTATTTATTTATTTTTTTGAGATGGAGTCTCACTCGGTTGCCCGGGCTGGAGTGCAGTGGCGTGATCTCATCTCACTGCAAGCTCTGCCTCCCGGGTTCATGCCATTCTCTTGCCTCAGCCTCCTGAGTGGCTGGGACTACAGGCGCCCACCACCACGCCCAGCTAATTTTTTGTATTTTTAGTAGAGACAGGGTTTCACTGTGTTAGCCAGGACGGTCTCCATCTCCTGATATTGTGATTCATCCGCCTCAGCCTCCCAAAGCTTTATTTCAATGAAAATAAGATACGCTTATTGGGAAAAAAATAAAAAAATCAGAAAAGCATAGAAAAGAAGCATATGATAGTGCTACCATCTATACTCACTATGGAAACAGTTTATAAATATCATTCCAGACTTTTCTATGTGTAATATATAGAAATGTCAGGTTACTATTCATTAAGTTTTATAATTTTGTTTTTAAGTTTTTTATGTTGATATAATTATAAACTCACAAGTAATTATAAAAACAGTACAGACAGGTCTCTCCTACCCTTTACCCTGTCTTTTCCAGTGATAACAAAAACTGCTGTTTTTCAGCAGACGCTTTTTCCTGTATTTCTAGACTTGCAGAAAAATTCCTGAATAGATTCAAATAATTTTTCTCCACCTTCTTCCTTCCTCTCTTCCTTTCTTCTTTCTTTCCTACCTACCTTCCTCCTTCCTTATATTTTTCCTTTTCTTTCTGTAATTTCCCAACACTGCTATAACACGTTATAGTGAACTGAGTGGGTTAAAACAATGTAAAACAATATAACCTTACCCTTCTGGAAGTCATAAGCACAAAGTGGGTTTCACTGCCTTAAAATCACGGTGAGGCCCGGGCTGCCTTCTTTTCTGGAGGCTTTAGGGGTTGAATTCTTCTTCTTGCCTTCTCCTGCTTCTAGAGGGTTTCTACATTCCAGGCTGCTGGGCCCTTCCTCCATCTTCAAAGCTGGCAGCATAGTGTCTTCCAGTCTCTCCCCACCTCCTTCTTAGAGGGGCCTTTGTGATGACAGTGGGCCCACCTGGCTAATCCAGGAAGTTCTTCCCATCTCAAGATCCTTCATGGCACTTGCCAAGTGCCCTTTGCCATGTAAGGTAAAGTGTGAGGTGCCAGGGATTAGGTTATGGGTGCCTCAGGGCCTGACCATTACTTAGCCCACAACACGTCCCTTTCTTCTTTCTGTTTTGAGGCTGGACCATCCAGCCAATAGATTCTCGACCTTTTTTACATGTAGGGGTGGTGCCAAGCCTTGCATAGCAGGTCAGATTAAGTTGTAGTTCGATCAATGTTTGTAGATGGAATTAAAAACTGAATTGCAATATAAAGATTAATACTACAGATTTTAAAAAATATTTATTTTCATATTATGTATTTTATATATAATTTTATATATCAATGCATATATATGTGTTTATATAAATATATTTATATTTATATATTGATACTATTGTTTTATTTTAAATAATTATTAAATATATTATATTTAATTAAAATATGTGTAATTAAAAATAAAAAATTCAAATATAATTTGAAAATGAATTAGAATACAAAAATGAATACAGATTTTTAAAAAAATATTTATTTTCATGTTATTTATTATATATATTATTTTATTTTATTTTTCTTCTTTATTTCTTCCAAAAGTATGGGATACATGTGCAGAACGTGCAGGTTAGTTACATAGGTATATGTATGCCATGGTGGTTTGCCGCACCTATTGACCTGTCCTCTAAGATCCCCCACCTCTCCCCAACTCCCCAACAGGCCCTGGTATGTGGTATTCTCTCCCTGTGTCCATGTGTTCTCAATTTCAACTCCCACATATAAGTGAGAACATGCGGTGTTTGGTTTTCTCTCGTGATAGTTTGCCCCCCTGAATGATGGTTTCCAGCTTCATCCATGTCCCTGAAAAGGACATGAACTCATCCTTTTTTATGGCTGTGTAGTATTCCATGGTGTGTATGTGCCACATTTTCTTAATCCAGTCCATCACTGATGGGCATTTTAGTTGGTTCCAAGTCTTTGCTATTGCGAACAGTGCCACAATAAACAAACGTGTGCACGTGTCTTTATAGTAGCATGATTTATAATCCTGTGGGTATATACCCAGTAATAGGATTGCTGGGTCAGATGGTATTTCTGGTTCTAGATCCTTGAGGAATTGCCACACTGTCTTGCACAATGGCTGAACTAATTTACATTTATTTATATTTATTATAAGTGAATAATTGTTTATATATTTAATATACTATATATTTTATAGTTATAACAATCTATACATAAATATATATTTATACTAGGAGTTATATGTTAAAATATATATTATATAAATAATAAAACTTTTAATACTTTTTAATATTTAAATAATAACTTTTTAGGTAAGACATGCAAATGAATTTCTAAACCAAATATCCCCAGCATGAGATCTTCTAGTTACACATAGAAAAGCATTTACTTTCCAGCAAAATTATTTTTTTAATTGAGAAATATAAAGTATATACATATATGGTATACAACATGACATTTTGCATTGTATATGTATCTATATACACACACACATATACACACACACATGCACATTATGGAATGGCTTAATGAAGCTAATTAACATGTGCATTACTTGACATACTTTTTTTTGGGGTAGAACACTTATTAATCTACTGTTTAGTAATTTTCAAATATCCATTGTGTTGTTATTCACTACAGTCACCATGTTGTAGGAAAGATGTCTTGAACTCTGGCTCCTAAGTGAAACTTTCTATCCTTAGACCAACATCTCCCCAATGAAAAACACTTACCTTAATGTTCACTCCATTATATTCATTTTCTATTGCTCCATAGCACACAGTGGCTGACAACAACACCTGTGTATCATCTCTCTGGGTTCAGAAGTTTAAGCAAGGGTAGACTTTACCCTGCTCAGGGGATCGCCAGGATAAAATTAAGGTGCCAGCTACTTTGTGTTCTCCCCGAGCCTCCCGATGCTATTCCAAATTCAGTGCGTGTTGGTGGAATTCAGTTCTTCGTGGTTCTGGGACTGAGGTTCCCACATTCTTGCTGCTGAAAGTCCTTGGCCATTAGTGATTTCTAGGTCTATGGACCTCACAGGAAGTTTACATAATCACCATCAGCTTCTTTGTGGACACCAGTTGATGTCCAGCATCTCTCTCCAACTTCTGGCCATCTTAGAATTCTGCCTACTACTCCCACTGAATTTTTCTGGGTTGGCTGGGCCTTCCCCTCTTGTAGAAAGTTGTTCTGCAGGGAAACCACCCTCTTTCTTTTTCCAACCAGTCTTTCTCATGTTCCACAATGTGAGTATATCTGTGAGATGCTCCAGTTTCCTGCGACATCTATCATTTTGCTAAGATTTCCATCAGGCATCAAACTCTCTACAGGTGGGCTTTGAGGAGAAGGCTGACCTATTCTTGTGCCCCGGCCGGCACTGCCTATCTTTCTTTATTTTTTAATCTCAGGTCTAGAGTCATCCCTGCCCTGCCCAAAATGGGGAAAAGGGCATCTCTTCATAGAGATCAGAGCTACATATAAAAGCCAAACTGGGTCCGAATCTAAACATCTGCATTTCCTTCCTCTTCCCCTTCCTTTAGGGGCTTTCTGCTGCGGATCAGGGGAGCAGATACGTGTCAATGTATTCCTTCCCTTTGTAGCCTGTCCATTTGTGCCAGCCAGAATTATTAAGCAATGCCTAAGAGAAGAAATGCAATATGGGCTGCTGTCCAGGCATAAGCAAGTGATATATGGCTACTGGACAATGTGAATTGAGAAGGGGATATGGTTATAAATGATTACTTAGGAAAGAATACTGGGTCAGGCATGGTGGCTGATGCCTGTAATTCCAGCACTTTGGGAGGCTGAGGTGGGTGGATGGCTTGAGCTTAGGAGTTCAACACCAGCCATGGGCAAAATGGTGAAACCACATGTCTACTAAAAAAGCAAAAATTAGTCAGGCATCATGGCGTGCACCTGTAATCCCCAGCTACTGAGAAGACTGAGGTCCAAGAATCGCTTCAACCTGGGGGGGCATAGGTGGCAGTGAGCCAAGGTTGTACCACTGCAGTCCAGCCTGGGCAACAGCAAGACTCTGTCTCAAAAAATAAAAGAAAAAAAATATTTCTGTCTGAAGAGTCTACGGGAGCCAAAAGGCTTCTGTTTATAAAGAGGATTTTATACAGTGTGCACCTTTGACTTTGTGCCTTCTTGCCCCAGGAGTTACTCATTTTAAATAGACAGCTCATCTACAGATCCTGCAGATAATCCCTCTGGTATAACCAGAATGTGTAGTTATTTATACATATATGTACCATAATTTTTTCCTTTCGAGGTAATTGATGATGAATTATACTAAACAAACAGTTTTCTGGCTGACAAGTACTGTACTTTAGTGAATTTGTTTGATTAAATTGTAATAATGAAATTGAATTTGATGCTTGCTTTGTAAATGTCTACAAATGCAGTTCCTGTTGAAAATGAGGAAATCTGAAGTGCTTTCTAATGGACATCCCACTTCCTTAATGTTTCTTTTGTGTGTGTAAGGGAGAAAGTCTAACGTCTGTTCTTTCTCTCATAAGTTCTTATTTGTGACACTCTCCTGAAAACAAAAGTCAGATTCACAAGAGAAAAACCATGAGAAGTTTATTGACATATACTCTACCCATCACACAGGAGAGGCCTCAGTTCAAAAACACTTCTCTCTCAAGGCAGTGGCTTAGAGGCCTTGCTCAAATAGGATTTTAACAAAGAACCATAAATCCTATGTACTGACAAGACAAAGAGGAGAATATATGCAGGCTACCAAAAGGGAGAAAGATGTAGGAAGTTAAATTTCTAGGAGGAGTAAAATCTGCCTCGAGCTGCTGTGGTGCTGTCTCTGAGCTAATAGGTGAGAGTTGTAAAGGGTACTGTCTTTCAGTGGGAAAGGCAGGCAGGAGAGCAGGAAGGTGGCAAAGGCAGACAGGTGGGCAGGAAGACCTTGTCTTTGTAAATTGCTGTCTTGCTGTGAGGAAAGCAGATGGAGGGGCAGCGTGTCCACTGCCTTTTAACCTTCTTCTTTTCAGCAATTCTCATTATTTTAAAGAAGAATATTCTTGTTTCCTTCAAGTGTAAAAATTGTATCCATCTCTGAGCTCAGGAAACAAACAATTTACAACCACCCTCCCAGGCCGCTCCTGGCTTTTTTGGGTGTCCCAATTTGCTTTTTGCTTCCTCTCACCCATCCCAGCATATCTACTTCAAAGACTGTTAATCAAGGCTGGGGTGGTGGCTCACTCCCTGGTGATTTGGGAGGCCAGGGAAGGAGGACTGCTTGAGGCCAGGAGTTTGAGACCAGTCTGGACAACATAGCAAGACCCTATCTCTAAAAGAAAAGTTAAAAAATTAACCAGGCATGCTGATACCTGGGTGGAGTCCCATCTACTCAGGAGGCTGAAGGTGGGAGGATTGGTTGAGGCTGGGAGGTTGAGACTACATTGAGTTATGATCGTACCATTACATTCAAGCCTGGGCCACAGAGCAAAAACCTGTCTCAAAACATAAAAATATAAAAGATTATATGAATTGTCATCATCATGATTTATAGAAAATGCAAAGCCTGCCTGGTGCATGGTAGGAACACAATAAACACTATTTACATGTTTCCCCCCCTTGAACATGTTCCCTTTTTCTCCTGACTCACATTATTTTTTGACTGATTGCAGGGGGGCACCCAGTACAAAACTGGCAACTCTGGCAGCTTTCTCTATGTATTTGCTTTCTTAACTTTTCCATAAAACCATTCTTCTAAAGCCTGCACATGCTCACAGTGGCCTTATTGTCTCTGATTAATCACATCTGTCTAGAAAGAATGATTTGCTGTCTTAATACTTTAATAAAAATCTGAGTCAGTACACTCCTCTTCCGTTTTTTTTTTTTTTTTTTTTTTTTGAGACTGAGTTTCGTTCTTGTCATCCAGGCTGGAGTGCAATGGCGCGATCCTGGCTCACTGCAACCTCCGCTTTCCAGGTTCAAGTGATTCTGCCTCAGCCTCCCAAGCAGCTGGGATTACAGGGGCTTACCACCACACCTGGCTAATTTTTGTGTTTGTAGTAGAGACAAGGTTTCAAAATGTTGTCCAGGTTGGTCTCAAACCCCTTACATAAAGTGATCCACCCGCCTCCACCTCCCAAAGTGCTGGGAATACAGGTGTGAGGCACCATGCCCAGTTTCCTGTTTTATTTTTGTAAATGTCTTGTCTTCCCTTGTGGAATGAAAGGAATTTATACATCTATGGGAAATAATGAGGAGAACAAGATATTTAATATTTTTCCATAGGTTTTTGGGAAACAGGTGGTGTTTGGCTACATGAGTAAGTTCATTAGCGGTGATTAGTGAGATTTTGGTGCTCCTGTCACCTGAGCAGTGTACACTGAACTCTATTTGTAGTCTTTTATCCCTCACTCCCTTCCCACCTTTCCCCCCTGAATCCCCAAAGTCCATTGTATCATTCTTATGCCTTTGCATCCTCATAGCGTAGCTTCTACTCATGAGTGAGAATACACGATGTTTGGTTTTCCATTTCTGAGTTACTTCACTTAGAGTAATAGTCTCCAATCCAATCCAGGTTGCTGCAAATACCATTAGTTCATTCCTTCTTATGGCTGAGTAGTATTCTGTCATATATATACATGACAATTTCTTTATCCACTCATTGATTGATGGGCATTTGGGCTGGTTCCACATTTTTGCAACTGCAAATTGTGCTGCTGTAAACATGCATTTGCAAGTATCTTTTTTGTATAATGACTTCTTTAGCTCTGGGTAGATACCCAGGAGTGAGAGAACAAGGTATATTGGAGGCTGATAAACCAGGGTTCCATTTATTGCTCTTGCTCTGGTATTTGATTTCTTCAAATCCTGTATAAATGTGGGAACCTTCTAAGCCTCACTTCTTGTGCAGTGGGAAGAAGAACACTACCGTTTAATGTGCGGTGAGAAAGGAGTGATGCAGTTGTGTATTTGGGGCTCCTGATGAATGATGGCCCCAGTGGGGACTGGCCTGGATTGGAATCTTTCTTGTTATGCCTGGAGCCCCTTTACCTACTCCCAACTGTTCTCTACCCTGAAAGAAGCCCAGGGTGAATGGCATCCATATGCTGTTTTGCCTTTTATGTTGTCATGTTGTCGTGGTTGTTTTTGGCCAAGGAAAGTCGACACATAAAGGGAAAGGAGAACCAGGCTGGGGTTTTCATCTCCTCTGTTCCCTCCTGCAGGGTTGCCCAGGATTGCATCCTGCACTCCTCAAAGGTCATCACAAGCTCTGGGATCACTCCTTCCCCTTTGGGCCTCGGTGTGGTACCAGTCTCAGGGGTGAACTGCCTTCCTCCTCTTTCTGCCCACACTGATGTTAGCTGTCTTTTCAGTAAATTCTCCTCTCATTCTCCTATATTGTATGTGTTTCCTCTTTTTTGCTGGGACCATGTTACCAATGCTAGATCCTGCTTGGCATTCCCAGGCAAATGACAGCTTATTCACATATCACAATGCTGTCCACAGCAGAGGAACCACAAGGCTAATTAGGAGCTCATGTGCATAGCAAACATATTGGGATTGCTCCTTCAAGCTGGTCAGAGACCTTTTCCTTAGTAACAGAGTCATCAGAGGCGTTATCTGCCTTGCAACCTAACAGTGATGCAACTGATGTCTTAAGAGATGGGGCAGACATGCACCTTTAACCCCTTTTTCAACATGATGGTAAATAAGTGACATGTGGCTTCCAATACACAATAGCAGGATGCTACACCCACGGCTGCGATTCTTTAGTATTTAGGGGATCTCCCAGGAAAGAAAAGTTTATTTTACATAAAAATAAAACTTCAACAGGGCTGCAACTCCATTGGTCCAAAAGTCTCCTTTGCTTGGTGTCAAAAACAAAACAAAACAAAACAAATGCAGACTTAGTAAGGAGGAACTTTTATTCAAAAGGCTTAATGTAAGAGAGAAAACACTCTGACTATAAGGTCTGCAAGCCTCTTAAAGACTAGAGGGAACACATGTTTTTGTTTTACAGACAGTAGTAAACAAGGCTAGAAAATGTCACAGGCACTGATGTGGAATTAAGTGTGGCCTCATTAGATAGTAGGTGAGAGAATATTTGCCCTGAGGGCAGGTTCCCAGGAGGAAGTGCCTGCTCACTCAGACTGAGGATGGGCCCATGTTCAGGGTTCTAAGGGAAAGAGAGAAACTGATCCAACATTTGACTAGGAAGAACAAGTGGCTCAGCTAACTTGCAACTGTTTATAAGACAAAGAATGAGGATTTAGAGGGTCTGTCTCTGTCCTATTAGACAAGGGACATCCATGAGTCTTTTCTCAGTCATATGGGGAAGGGGGTTCTTTGCAATAAGCCATTTTCCAGAACACAAGGTGTGGGAGGATGTTAAGGAGTATTCAGTAGCACTTGATAAAGCACAATAAGGAAGACTTTATTCAGGACCATCACGACAGGTGCAGGGACCACAGCAATGGGGACTTGCAGTGGGGGAGAAAGATTGGGCTCAGATCTGAATACAGCATTGGAAAGTGGGGATTCATATCCATGGAGTAGGGTGCCCATCAGTGGATGGAAAACTACTAAGAGGAAACACCAAGGGCCAGCAGGATTCCTGCTAAACTGACCTAACAAGATTCTAGCAGAAGGCCAACCAGGTGACCACATGTCTCCTGGGGGTGGTGGAGGCTGAGGAGCCTGATCAGATACTGAGGTTGAACAGATGGGAGGGTAGGGGGGTGGTAGATTGTTCTTGTTAAATTGACTTAATAGGCTTCTTGCTCAAACTGGATTTTACAAACAAGCACACAGATGGGCCTGGGAGAAGGTTGAAGATCCACAGAAGTTAGACGGCTATGATTTAAGAGGTTTTGAGCATTTGCATCACATACCACATTCTCTGGGCACTAAAGAGAAGGTAACAAGGCTTTAGCTTTTAGAGGCCTCCACATGATCAACACCTTTCCTCCCGAGTAGGTCAGCTCCCTATGGCCATGCACCCACCAGCAACCTCTCTATTGACACTTTTTGCCTTTTTATTAGAATTGCTCGGGCTAATGAGAGCCACTTCTAGTCCCAATAGTACGAACATCTCATCCAACCTCTTACTGCTTCGAGGGTTTATTTTGACTCTGGTTTGGTTTTCCTAAGGAATCCCACTGAAAGACAGAAGAGAGAATAATACTTTTCTAATCAAATTTCTACACCAGGTGTTTGTAGAGCAAAGCTGCTGCTTCACCAGGCTAGGGTCCCTTCCCTAGGGCCCTGTGAGACTTTCATGGGCCATGAGGGCTAAACATATTAAATATATTTTAATATAAATATATATTATATAAAAACATAAAACATATTAACATTTGTATTTTACAACTATATTGGTGCAAATACCAATATGGCCTTAAACCCTAATGTTCATTTTCTTTTCTTTTGGTTATAAAACAAATTAAAACATTTTGTTTTAATTTGACTGATGGGTAATAATCTGGCCTTTCCCCACTCTCGGATCATGGAGGTTGGGGCTATTTTATATTTTATTCCTGTCTGCATTTCTCAGCCTCTCTCTTGAACTAAGAAGGCAGTTGATGAATCTTGGCAGAACTGGAACTTTTATTCCCCACTTGTTTGACATCAATCTGGAAATGTAGTAAACATTCCCTACATTGTTGAATTGAATCACATTAGAAAGCACATATTAGTGCATTGCATTTTTAATTGCCAAGGAAAATTTTATTTTAACGTCACATTAATATGTTCTAAGGAACATTTATACTTGATGCAATCAGATTCCTGAGATAAGCCAAATACACTTCCTGTTTTTGTTTTTTTCCTCTACTCTTCATTGTATGCCTTTCAAGGAAATCTGAAAAGTTGGCTTTCTTTTTTGAATTGTTAGTCACATAGATATGTAGACTGCAATTTTGCTTCTCCTGCAGGATTGCTGACCTTGTAAAATGATGCCTATGTATGCATCACTAATCTATGTGCTTAACTTTTAACAACTATGTAATGCTAGGAATATAGACATCGCCTGCCAACAGGTGGAGGTTGAGGAATCCTGTAGAGGATGACCTGATGTCATGCGTGATCAGATATTGAAGGTGATGATTCTTGCAAAAACTGGATTTTACAAAGAAGTGCACAGATAATCTTAGATCAAGATTCAGGAGACTGGGTTATATTTGGTCAAGCAAAGAATTTTGTCAAGGGATTTCTTAACCTTTGCTGTGTTGCAAGATCAAAGGGTTTGGCTGAAAGGCGACAATGTCAGTGGCATTTCAATTTAGCAACCTCTTTTTCTGTTTTGTCATGGTTGCTGAGCTCAAAGGGAGAAAATATTCAAGGAGCCCACCAAGAAAATGCTCACTTAGGCTGGAATAGTAAGAGATATGTTGTGGGTATAGGATCAACGATTGCTGAAAAGCTTACTTGAGTGTCTCTCAGGCTGACACCACTTGCCACTTAGCAGTATAATGCAACCTGGCTCTGCACTTAGCAAACCTGGCTCCAAGGGCTTTCCAAAAGATAAAACCACAATAGCCATTGCTGTCTTCTAATTATCCTATTAGCCTTGTTCAAATCATCTTTTATTTATTTTATTTTATTTTTTTAATAAAAGCAAGCTTTATTTTGCTGTCTGATGAGATAATATGCTGGCTTGAGAGTTTGGAATAAAAAATGTTATGAATATTTGTTATTAAGGAAAGTTTCTAAGCACATAGTTATTAAGAAAAACACACATTATTAAGCAAATTTTCCAAGCAAAAGTCTTAGAATAGACATAATAATGTGAAATAACGAATGGTGACTTTAGTATTTGCCATTGTCATTGTTCCATGAAATATGTTTTTAAAGAAATTTTATTTGATAGTGACAAGAATACTAAAAATGAGATCTATACTCTTAAAATTTTAAGTGTACAATATAGTATTATTGACTGCTGGAACAATGTTTGACTGCAGTTCTCTGGAGCTAATCCACCTTGCTTACCTGAAGGTTTATGCCTGCTGATTCATAACTCCTCATTTTCCCTTCCCCCCACCCCTGGAAACCAACACTTTACATTTTGGTCTTATGAATTTAACTACTTTAGATACCTCCTATAAATGGAATCATACAGAATTTGTCTTTCTGTAACTGGCTCATTTCACTTAACATAAGGTTCTCAAGGTTCTTCATGCTGTTACATATTATAGAATTTCCTTCCTTTTAAGGCTGCATAATATTCCAACATATGTATATAGCATGTTTTTTAAAAAATCCATTTATCTGTTGATAGGTGCTTAGGTTGCTTCCATATCTTGGCTATGGTGAATAGCTTGCAGTGAGCAGAGCAATGCAGATTTCAATGCTTTGAGATCCCAATTTTAGTACTGTTAGATATATTTCCAGGGGTGGGATTGCTAGATCACAAGGTAGTTCCATTTTTTAATTTGTTGAGGAACTTCCATAATGTTTTTCATAACAGCAGCAACTTTTTGCATTTTGCCAACAGGGTGCAAAGAAATTCTCTGCACGTCCTCACTAACACTTGTCTTTTGTTTTTTTAAGACCAGCTGTTCTGACAGGTGTGGGATGATATCTCATTGTGTGTGACTTTGATTTGCATTTCCCTGATGATTAGTGATGTTGGGCATCTTTTCATGTGCTTCTTGGCCATTTGTATGTCTTCTTCAGAGAAATGTCTACTGAAGTCCTTTGTCCATTTTTTAACTGGGTCTTGTGTATGTTTGTTATTGAGTGTGGGAGTTAATTATATACTTTGGATATATAGTTATCAGTATATGGTTTGCAAATATTTTCCCCCATTTCATAGGTTGCCTTTCCACTCCATTGATTATTTCTTTTCCTGCATAGAAGCTTTTCAGTTTGATACAATACCACTTGTCTATTTTTACTTCTATTGCCTGAAGCCAATTCACATTCTTAAAATTATTTTTTGATGAACAGAAATAGTTGCTTCATTTTACCTTTTACTCTTTATATCTTAATTTGAGTAATTTCTCTTGACCTGTCTTCAAGGTCTCTGATGCTTTTCTTTGCTCACAACATGAATTTCTTACTTCTGATGTTAAATCTACTTTGTTCTATATCTAGCATTTCTGTTTGTTGCTTCTTTTGTATTTTCATCTTGTCCCTGAAATTCCCCATGTCTTAACACATGCTGTTTGCCTTTCCTGCTAGATTATTTTATGGATCCTTAAATGCATTTTGTATGGATATCTTAAAGGCTGTACATGAGAATTCTAACATTTGTGTGTCTCATGCTATTTTACATGTCATAAATGTAAACATAAATATGCATGCATTATAGACATTGATTGTAAAAAATATTGGAGACAGAGTCAGTCATATATTCCCCTAGAAAACACCACATGCTTCTTCTGTGTGGCCCCTTGATAAACTGCCATGTCAGTATGGGTATCATTTCTTCACTTTTAATTAGGTTATGCTCACCCTGTTGGCTTCAGGTGCTTTGAGAGGGGATCCACAATTTCCCTTTAGTGGAGCTTAGGATCTGAGCATTGGTGAGACTCTAAGTCATGCTGTTTGCAGCCTGGCTGCTCACCTGTTGGGCTTTTGAAGAGAAGAGTCCTCTTTGTTTTCTATCCTATGCTGGATGTGGTCATTCCAAATTTCCACCCTGGCTGGGGGACAGGGACAAATGTGTGACTCCCATGGTGAAGGCTAGGAGTGCCTTGGAGGGGTGCATCTGAGCTTTCCTGCACCACTTCCCTCCGAACTATTTTGCACTGCCTGGTGTAGGATTCCCCACGGGGCTTTATGAAGACTGTGTGAGTGCTTTGAAGGGTTGGCTGCAGATGGGCTCTCTGGCTGGGCCTCATAAGGATGCTGATCTGTCATGCAAGCCTGCCCACATGTAGTTGTTAAAAATGCCTTTCAACATCAGCTGAATTACTCCTCATCTCCCCACTCCGTCTATGAGGGCTGAAAGCAGTTGAATGTTTCTTCTTTGTAGGAATGTTCACCACATCCTGGATTCTAGTTCATGTATGTTTTTCTGCATCTTCAGCCTTTTTCTGGGTGCTGTGGAGGGACAGGGTTTTGCTCTGACACCCAGGATGCAGTGCAGTGATCATGGCTTACTGCAGCCTTGAACACCTGGCTCAAGAGATCTTCCTACCTAGGCCTTCCAAGTAGCTGGGACTGCAGGCATGTTCCACCATGCCTGGCTAATTTGTTTATTTATTTGTTTGCAGAAATGGAATATTTCTATGTTGCCTAGGCTGGTCTTGAACTCATAACCTCAAGCAGTCCTCCAGCTTTGGTCCCCAAAAGTGCTGCAATTAGAGGCATAAGCCACCATGCCAGGTCAATCCTTAGCATTTTTTTATGGATCTTAAAAGGCAATAATTTTAATTGGAGGTCTCAAAAATCACTGTTCAGAGTATGAAGTTGTTTAGCCCCGCTAGAGAAGTTTGGTAGTTCCTTTATAATTTAAACGTAGAATTTCCATATGACCCAGTCATTCCACTCCTAGATGTGTACCACAAAGAACTGAAACAGGTGTGAATGTTCATAGCAGCATTATTCATAATATCCCTAAAGTGAAAGCAACCCAGATATGCATCAGCTGAGGAGTGGATAAATAAGATATGGCGCAGCCACATATTGCAATATTGGTTGGGCATTGTTTTAGTCCAGTCTCACATTGCTATAAGGAAATACCCAAGACTGGGTAATTTGTAAAGGAAAAAGGTTTCATTTACTCACAGTTCCACATGGCTGGGGACGCCTCAGGAATGTTACAATCGCGGTGGAAGGGGAAGCGGAACATCTTACATGGTGATAGGTGAGAGAAGAGCAAGTGAAAGGGGAAGAGCACCTTATAAAACCATGAGATATTATTAGAGCTCACTATCACAAGAACAGCATAGGGGAAACTGCTCTTATGATCCAATCACCTCCCACCAAGTCTCTCCCTCATCTGGGGATTATAACTGAAGATGAGATTTGAGTGGGGACACAAAGCCTAACCATATCAGGCATAAAAGGAACAAAGTACTTTTGGTAACACTGTAGTATGTTTACGCACATATTATCAGGTGGGTGAGCCTAGAAAACATCATGCTTAGTGACAGAAGCCAGAAAAAAAGGCTACATGGTGCATGATTCCATTCATATGGAATGTCCGGAACAGGCAAATCCATAGAGAGAAAAAGCAAATTAGTGGTTCTCAGGAGCTGGCAGAGAGGAATGAGAAGTTACCACTGACAGGCAAGGAATCTCCATTTAGAGGTGATGAAAATGTTCTGGAATGAGATACACATGAGAGTTGTACAACATTGTGGATGTACTGAGTGTCACTGAGTTGGACACTTAAAGTGGTTTAAATGGTGAAGCTGATGTTATGTGAATTTTATCACAATTAAAAAAAGAAACTATGAGTTTGAGGCTTAGTAGCTTCATTACCTTGTCAATGTGTGTTCACTAGTCTTTTCTGCTTTCTACGTCTTAATTATTGTGAAGTCCTAATTATGGAGGGAGGTCAGGATAGGGGGATGGAGGGAAAGTAGAAAGAGGAGGCAGGTAAGCTGTAAGTCTCCCTTTCTTCATGCTCTGGAACACATAGCCCTCCTTCTCAAATAACTCACAATCTGGCTGCACCCAGCTACACCAGACCCTTGGCTGATACAAAATTGCAAGTTATCTCACTGAAACCTTGGCATTATTGGAACTGCACAAAGCCTTCTTCAGCCTACAGCACAAACACTATCCTATAGAATCCCCAGCAAGTCTTTGTCTCTTTTCAATCAGCTCCTATTTCATTGACCTGCCCATTGAACCATTGCATTCTTGCAATGTATTTTCCTACTCTCTCTAATGAATCTTCTTTTTTTAAACCTACAATTTTCTTGGTACATTCTTCTTATTCCTGCATCATGGACCACAGATAGTCGCCAGTCACCCATGACAATTAGCAGTCAAAGCTGACTGCTCTTTTCACAGCCTATAACTTTATTTTTTTTTTTTCTGTAAACATTTTCAAGTGGCCACATGTATCTTGAGTAGACAGAGGCTAATTGTCAGCTTTTGCTTTCTGGATTGTCCTATTAGGGTATTAGGATCCTATGGCAAAGAGCAACTGTGAGGGTAAGTGGAAATTCTTAAGAAAACCTAAGTATCACATCTAGGGTAACAAATTAAGACCCAGAGCCCATGATCAGAAGTTGGATAGAAGCAACATGAATCAGAAGCTCTGGGAGAAATGGAATGGTCCCCCAAATTAGGCACCAGCTGCAGGTGCATGAGTGAGGAGGGAGGGATGGTGCATTTATACACTGCATTCAGGTTAGTGAAACATTTATATAGTGCATTAGTGTTAGCAAATGCACATATAGGATTTTATCCCTTTTATTTTTTAACCATCTTGAGAAATGGAGAATGGGTTTGGAGGAGGCAGAGTGAAATGCATTTTACTCAGTTTGAGTTTTTGTACTCTTGTGCCTTTGTTTGTGTGTGATATCTTTTAACCATGGGGAAGAGGCTGGCAAGTTTTAGTCAAAATTTATTTTCACCTTTACTTAGACCAATTTGGTAGATATAGCAGGCAAGCAGTTTCCTACCTTGAATGGGGGCATGAGAAGAATGTATCTGCTTTTGCTGCAGACAGCCCAGATCTGGAGACCCTGGGATTGGGAAGGGTGGTTCCACTGGGTAGAAGCATGGAGAATGTGGGCTAGGCACCATCAGGGAACATGGTGTGAGCTGATGTGGGCACCCAAACACATGGGGGCTGTCCTTAAAGTGCCTATTGGCTGCTTGTAGATGTCAAGTCCACTTATATTTTTGTGGGGTCTCGTGGCTTGGATCCCTGAAGACTCACCAAGGATATGACGATTATGTCACTGTGGGCAAATTTTACATTGCATCCTCCTCAAGCTGGACTTTGAACCTAGGAAAATGATGTTTTAATTATTTTTTGACACATTATGTTTGTACATATTTATGGAGGATGTGAAATTTTGTTACATGCATAGAATATATAATGATTAAGTCAGGGTATTTGGGGCATCCCTCACCTTGAATGTTTATCATTTCTATGTCCTGGGAAAATTTCAAGTCTTCTCTTATAGCAATTTTAATATAATATATTGTTTTTAACTATAGTCACCTTACTCTGCTATGGAACATTAGAATTTATTTCTTCTTTATAAATGTATTTTGTACCTATTAACCATCTCTTTATTGCCCTTACCCCCTACACCCTTCCTAACTTCTGATATCTATCATTCTACTCTCTACTTCTGTGAGATAAACTTTTTTAGTTTCCACATATGACTGAGAACATGTGGTATTTGGCTTTCTGTGCCTGGCTTATTTCACTTAACATAATGACCTCTAGTCCCATCGATGCTGCTGCAAATTACAGGATTTCTTGCTTTTTTATGTCCAAATAATATTCTGTTATGTAGATAGACCATATTGCCTATATCCATTCATCTGGTGATGGACACTTAGGTTGGTTTCATAGCTTTGCTATTGTGAATAGTGATGCAGTAGACAAGGGAGTGCAGGTGATATGGTTTCACTGTGTCCCCACCACAAATCTCATCTTGAATTGTTATCCAAATTATAATCCCCACATGTTGGGAGAGGGACCTCATGCAAGGTGATTGGATCATGCGGGTGGTCCCCGCATGCTGTTCTCATCATAGTGAGTGAGTTCTCACAAGATCTGATGGTATTATGAGGGGCTTCTCCTGGCTTTGTTCCACACTAGTGTCTTCTGTTACCATGTAAAGAAGCTTTCTCCTTCCCTGGCACCTTCTGTCATGATTGTGAGTTTCCTGAGCCTCCCCAGCGATGTGAAAGTGTGAACCAATTAAACTTCTTTCCTTTATAAATTACCCAGTATCAGTTATTTCTTATACCAGCAAGAAAATGGACTAATGTAGCAGAGCTCCCCCTGACACATTGATATCTTTGGCTCTAGATAAATATTCATTAGTGGGCTTGCTGGATCATATTGTAGTTCTAGTTTTAGTTTTTTGAGAAGTCTCTATGCTGTTTTTCATACTGGCTGTACTAGTTTACATTTGCACTTATACATGTAAGCTATTGGTCATCTAATTACCAAAGCAATTTTTTACAAAGTTCCTCTATATCTTTTTATTTATAGATCCTCTCAGCTGTATGCTCCAATTTATGGCCCCTGAAAAAAGGACAGCAATTATGAGATAGCTTGTTCAGGGAAAGCAGCTCTGTACACAGGTTAGGGCCTCCCATTCCTGTCTTCCTGTGACAGACACCCAGGCCAATTACCTTGTCTATGAAATGCCTTTAACACAGAGGGTTAATTTAAAATTTTTTATCTCAGTTTTTTATTCCTAAGCAAACCAAAACTTAATAATAATATTGAAGTTTTTGTTTCTTTAAAAATATAAATCCTCTTATTGTGAATTACACCCACCATTCATGACATGCTTTCTGTTTTTTCCAGACCATCTGGAAAAACTTTCTGTTTTTTCCAGACCATCTCTTTTTCCTTACACAAGCAGTCATTTTATTTTAGGACAGAACTTAGCATACAAGTTTCTTCATCATATAAAATTATTTGCCTCCTGAAGGAAGCACTAAATATGGAAAGAAAAAACCAGTAACAGCCACTGCAAAAACACACTAAATTGTAAAGACCATCGACGCTATGAAAAAACTGCATCAAGAAATGGACAAAATAACCAGCTAGCAAAATAATGACAAGAACAAATTCACACATGACTATATTAACCTTAAATGTAAATGAATTAAATGCCCCAATTAAAAGATGCAAACTGGCAATTTGGATAAAGAGTCAAGACCCCTTAGGACAAGACTCATCTCATGTACAAAGACACACATAGGCTCAAAATAAAGGGATGGAGTAATATTTACCAAACAAATGGAAAGCCAAAAAAAAAAAAAAAAAAAAAAAAAAAAAAAAAAAGTCAGGGTTTGCACTCCTGGTCTCTGATAAAACAGATGTTAAACCAGCAAAAATCAAAAGAGACAGAGAAGTACATTGCATAATGGTAAAGGGATCAATGCAACAGGAAGATCTAACTATCCTAAATATACATGCACCCAATACAGGAACACCCAGATTCATAAAGCAAGTTCTTAGAGACCTGCAAAGAGACTTAGACCCCCAGACAATAATAGTGGGAGACTTTAATACCCCACCAATATTAGACAGATCAACAAGAGAGAAAATTAACAAGGATATTCAGGACTTAAACTCATCTCTGGACCAAGCGGAACTAATAGACATCTACAGAACTCTCTAACCCAAATGAACCGAACATACATTCTTCTCAGCACCACACTGCATTTATCTAAAATCAATCACATAATTTATGGAAGTAAAACACTCCTCAGCAAATGCAAAAGAACAGAAATCATCCTTACCAGTCTCTCAGACCACAGAGCAATCAAATTAGAACTCAGGATTAAGAAACTCACTCAAAACCACACAAATACATGGAAACTGAACAACCTGCCCCTGAATGACTACTGAGTAAATAGCAAAAATAAGACAGAAATAAAGAAGTTCTTTGAAACCAATAAGAACTAAGACACAAAGTAAAAGAATCTCTGGGACACAGATAAAGCACAATACTAATTGCCCACAAGAGAAAGTGAGAAAGATCTAAAATTGACACCCTAACATAGCAATTAAGGAACTAGAGAAGGAAGAGCAAACAAATTCAAAAGTTAGCAGAAGAAAAGAAATAACTAAGATCAGAGCAGAGCCGAAGGAGATAGAGACATGTAAAATCCTTCAAAAAATCAGTTAATCCAGGAGCTGTTTTTTTAAAAAGATTAATGAAACAGACTGCTAGTCAGACTAATAAAGAAGAAAAGAGAGAAGAATCAAATAGACGCAATAAAAAAGGACAAAAGGATATCACCACTGATCCCAAAGATATACAAACTACTTTCAGAGAATACTATAAATACATCTACACAAATACACTAGAAAATCTAGAAGAGATGGATAAATTTCTGAACACATACCACCCACACCCCCAAGACTAAACCAGGAAGAAGTCAAATCCCTGAATAGATCAATAACAATTTAGGAAATTGAGGCAGTAATTAATACCTTACCAACCAAAAAAAGCCCAGGACCAGATGGATTCACAACCGAAGTCTGCCAGAGGTACAAAGGGGAGAAGATACCATTCCTTCTGAAACTGTTTCAAACAATAGAAGAAGAGAGACTCATCCCTAACTCATTTTATGAGGCCAGCATCATGCTAATACCAAAGCCTGGCAGAGACACAAGAACAAAAAAGAAAATTGCAGGCCGATATTCCTGACATCGATGCAAAAATCCTTAGTAAAATATGGGCAAACTGAATCCAGAAGCACATCAAAATCTTATCCACCACGATCAAGTCCGCTTCATCCCTGGGATGCAAGGCTGGTTCAACATACACAAATCGATAAACATAATCCATCACGTAAACAGAATCAATGACAAAAACCATATGATTGTCTCAATAGATGCAGAAAAGGCCTTTGACAAAATTCAACACATTTTATGCCAAAAACTCTCAATAAACTAGGTAATGATGAAACATATCTCAAAACAATAAGAGCTGTTTATGACAAACCCACAGCCAATATCACAGTAAATGGGCAAAAGTGGGAAGCATTCCCTTTGAAAACTGCCACAAGACAAGGATGCCCTTTCTTAACACTCCCATTCAACATGGTACTGGAAGTTCTGGCCAGGACAATCAGGCAAGAGAAAGGTATAAAAGGTATTCAAATAAGAAGAGAGGAAGTCAATTTGTCTCTCTTTGCAGATGACATGATTGTATATTTAGAAAACCCCATCATCTTGGACAAAATCTCTTTAAGCAGATAAGCAACTTCAGCACAGTCTCACGATACAAAATCAATGTGCAAAAGTCACAAGCATTTCTATATACCAATAATAGAAAAACAGAGGGCCAAGTCATAAGTGAACTCCCATTCACAATTGCTGCAAAGAGAATAGAATACCTAGGAACACATCTTACAAGGGAGGAGAAGGACCTCTTCAAGGAAAACTATTAACCATAGCTCAAGAAAATAAGAGAGGACACAAACAAATGGAAAAACCTTCCATGCTCATGGATAGGAAGAATCAATATGGTGAAAATGGCCATAATGCCCAAAGTAATTTATAGATTCAATGCTATCACCATCAATCTAGTGTTAACTTTCTTCACAGAACTAGAAAAAATTACTCTAAATTTCACATGGAACCGAAAAAGAGTTTGTGTAGCCAAGACATTCCTAAACAAAAAGAACAAAGCTGGAGGCATCATGCTACCTGATTTCAAACTGTACTACAAGGCTACAGTAACCAAAACAGCATTGTTCTGGTACCAAATCAGATATACAGACCAATGGAACAGAACACAGACCTCAGAAACAACATCTCACATCTACAACTATCTGATCTTTGATGAACCTGACAAAAAAAAGCAAGGGGGAAAGCATTCCCTATTTAATAAATGGTGTTGGGAAAACAGTCTAGCCATAAGCAGAAAACTGAAACTGAACCCCTTTCTTACACCTTACACAAAAATTAACTCAAGATGGATTAAAGATTTAAATATAAGACCTAAAACTATAAAAACCCTTGAGGAAAACCTAGGCAATACCATTCATGACTTAGGCACGGGAAAAGACTTCATGATTAAAACACAAAAAGCGATGCCAAGAAAAGCCAAAATAGACAGATGGGATCTAATTAAACTAAAGAGCTTCTGCACAGAAAAAGAAACTATCATCAGAGTAAAGAAGCAACCTACAGAATGGAAGAATTTTTGCAATCTATTGATCTGACAAAGGGTTAATACCCAGAATCTACAAGGAATTTAAACAGATATACTAAGAAAAAAACAAACAACCCCATGAACAGGTGGGGAAAGGATATGAACAGACACTTCTCAAAAGAAGACATTTATACAGCCAAGAAACATATGAAAAAAAGCTCATGATCACTGTCCTTAGAGAAATGCAAATCACAATCACAATGAGATAACATCTCATGCCAGTTAGAATGGTGATCATTAAAAAGGTAGGAAACAACAGATACTGGAGAGCATGTGAAGAAGTAGGAATGCTTTTATACTGTTTGTGGAACCGTAAATTCGTTCAACCATGGTGGAAGACAGCGTGGTGATTCCTTAGGGAGGCAGAACCAGAAATACTGTTTGACCCAGCAATCCTATTACTGGTTATACATCCAAAGGATTATAAATCATTCTACTATAAAGACATGTGCACACATAGTATTTATTGAAGCACTATTCACAATAGCAAAGACTAGGAACCAACACAAATACCCATCAATGACAGACTGGATAAAGAAAAGTGGCACATATACAGCATGGAACTAATCAGCCACCAAAAAGGATGAGTTCATGTCCTTTGTAGATACATAGATGAAGCTGGAAACCATCATTCTCAGCAAACTAACACAGAAACAGAAAACAAAACACTGCATATTCTCTCTCATAAGTGGGAGTTGAACCATGAGAACACATGGACACAGAGAGGGCAATATCAAACACTGGGGCCTCTTGGGAGGTGGGGGGCTATGGGAGGGATAGCATTAGAAGAAATACCTAATGTGGATAGATGACTGGTTGATGGGTGCAGCAAACCACCATGGGATGTGTATACCTATGTAACAAACCTGCACGTTCTGCACATGTACCCCAGAACTTAAAGTATTGAAAAAATACAATAATAATAATAATAGTCCCAGGAAAAAATTATTTCTCTTTAAGCTTTCTTACCACAAAAAAAATCTCTTTATTTTTATAACTTTCTTTATATCTCTTTTTATTTTCTGATTCCTTTCACCTTATTTCATATATAACCATTAAATAAGCTTTGAATTAGACAAAACTTTTTCACCATTATTTGAAAAGGACACAAGTTTTTTTTTTTCTTAGGAAGAATGTTGTCCTACAATAAGTACTTTTTGGAAAACATCTAAATTATGAAATATCTACTATTTAATTTAATATAACTTTATATTCTAAATTATGACCCGTTTGTCTACAAGTATTTATCCTATGACATTTACCTGATTGTTTTGTTTTCATTAATTATTCATGAAAATTGTAATAGTTGTGATTTATAACTTTTAAAGTTACAAAAGTGCTATTGTAAAATTATAACTGAGAAAGTGAAGAAAGCTTTTACCTAACTGACTGCATCTTGCTCTTAACTTCCTAGCTGTCCTTGTTCATTCCTGGGCAAAGGCCAAAGTAACTTTGCAAGGAAATTAGTTTTCAGGTTAGCTTTGAAACAGAGACCATAACAGTGCTTTCCCAAAACAAACCTCCTTACTGCCTGTAGACTAAACTGCTTAAAGCCAAAAGATTAGAAGTTATGGTAATTTTACTAAGTAACTCAAGATGTAACTATTTTCATTACACCAACATGAATGTCTTACTTATTAAAAATTACACAAGCAAAGGTCAGTCTGTTTTGGGCTGGGTTTATACTTCTGTAGTCCCTATGCCAAAATATGACATCTTATACTGTTTGGCAGGGATAAGTCTGACATTACTTGATTAATAAATGAAAAAAAATGTATGCTGGCAATTATTAAGACATTTCTAATATTACTTTACCAATTATTTTAAAGCTAGCTTTGTTTATTAAATATTTTACTTAAGTTATATCAACTTGAAAAAGAACTTGACTAGTCCTTTTTTTTCCTGGTAAAGTATTTGATTTAAGCACTTTTATATTTCTTCAAGCCAATTACAGCTGTTTTATATATTTTTAGTAGTGAAACATTGTGTACCCAACCCATAAATACATAGACTTATTAGGCATGCCAATGGAAGTACATTTTATACATTCATAAACACCCTTCCTTTCATGTGTGTCCATGTGAAGAGACCACCAAACAGGCTTTGTGTGAGCAATAAATTTTAATCACCTGGGTGCAGGTGGGCTGAGTCCGAAAAGAGAGTCAGCGATGGGAGATAGGGGTAGGGCAGTTTTATTGGATTTGGGTAGGTAAAGAAAAATTACAGTCAAAGGGGTTGTTCTCTGGGGGGCAGGAGTGGGGGTCGCAAGGTGCTCAGTGGGGGAGATTTTTGAGCCAGGATGAGCCAGGAAAATGACTTTCATAAGGTAATGTCATCACTTAAGACAAGAACCGGCCATGTTCACTTCTTTTGTGGTGGAATGTCATCCGTTAAGCTTGGGGAGGGTATTTTCACTTCTTTTGTGATTCTTCAGTTACTTCAGGCCATCTGGGCATATACATGCAAATCACAGGGGATATGATGGCTTAGCTTGGGCTCAGAGGCCTGACACTTCCTCTTTCCCCCCCTATCTTGGACTTTTAGATTCTTGATAACCTGTTTCACAACCCTAGCTGGTTGTCAGCTAAATAGCCTTAAATTTGGATATTAAAGGAAACAATTCAAGTGAAAATCAAATAGCAAATTTACATCATAAGGTACAGAGAGAAAAAGTCTGGTTTTCCTAGAGGGAGATGCTTTTATTTTTCTTTGAACCAAATAAAACAAAATTACACAAATCCATCATATGATTTTATAAGGAAACCAATTTTATTTAGATAAGGATGACCTATCTTTTAAATGGATCTCTGAGCTCTGGGCAGAGCCTCTCAAAAAGCCACAACTTTTGCACCCCCTACCCCCCCCCCAAAAAAAAAAACCACAAGGTCTTAGACGAGAAAAACAAACAAAAACAAAACATGAAGGTCTTTTAAATACAAACATGCAAACATACACACACACGCGTGCGCACAAACACGCACACACATCATGGATCTTAGCCTTTTAATTACACTGACTTCTAACCATTGAGATCCTTTAAAACATGTTTTTAAATCTCATTACCTTATTTCAGCTAGGATAAAATGCTGCTATTTCAGAAGTATAGCCATTGCTCTTTCAGTTTGGTCTGCCTGGCAAAAAGGCGGCCTTGTAATGTAAATGAAAGCCCTTAAGAATCTTTCCTTTTAGTTTTTTTCTTTTGCTAGCTGTTCTCCTACCCTTACCATACCACCCCTTTTTGTGTGTGGCAGGGGATGCATGGGGGACAGTAATTAGCTATTTCAGAGGACTTGTTCCTTATAATTTAGAGTTCTCCTTTGGATTTGACCAAGTCCAGATGTGTGTCAGACCCTAAATGTGTTGCTTGAAGAATGTGCTTTTCAGGGTCATTACCCCCTGAACTGGTTCAGTCCACTTGTTTCACAGCTACCTGGTGCAGTGTGCCAGGGGCTCGAGGTGTGGGAGGGATCAGATACTTATATGCAGCTGCTGGCTGAGATTAGACCCTAAGTATTTTTTCTGAGGGGGAAACCTATTTATAGCAACTGCACGTCTTAGGGAGCATTCATCCCAGACAAACTAATGCAATTCTCAGTCGCCTGAGAATTTTGCCAAGGTTGAGGATGTGCACCTGTGACAACCTCAGGAAGTCCTGATGACATGTGCCCAAGGTGATTGGGCACAGCTTGGTTTTATCCATTTTAGGGAGACAAGAGACATCAATTAATATACGTAAGAAGCAAAATGGTTCTGTCCAGAAAGACAGGACAACTCAAAATAAGCCCCTCCTGCCACATGCTTCCAGGTTACAGGTAGATGAGAGACAAATGGTCCCATTCTTTTGGATTTCTGATAAGCCTTTCCAAAAGAGACAACCAGAATATGCATCTATTTCCCTTACCAGAGGAATGACTTTGAATAGCCTGCCATACTTGTTGTTAGAAGTAAATGCCCATCTACATAAAATGGGTAGCTCAAGTCTAACAATTTTATACACACTGAGGGCTCTGGGTTATGATGATTGTTGTCTTTGCTGTTACAGTTCATATTGTCATCTAACTGTCAGGCCTCTGAGCCCAAGCCTACATGTATACATCCACATGGCCTGAAGCAAGTGAAGAATTACAAAAGAAGTGAAAATGGCCAGTTCCTGCCTTAACTGATGACATTACCTAGTGAAATTCCTTCTCCTGGCTCAGAAGCTCCCCCACTGAGCAAGTTGTGACACCCACCCCTGCCCACCAGAGAACAACGCACTTTGACTGTAGTTTTTCCACTCCCTACCCAAATCATATAAAATGGCCGTGTCAGGCCTCTGAGCCCAAGCTAAGCCATCATATCCCCTGTGACCTGCACATAAACATCCAGATGGCCAGTTCCTGCCTTAACTGATGACATTCCACCACAAAAGAAGTGAAAATGGCCTGTTCTTGCCTTAATGGATGGCATTATCTTGTGAAATTCCTTCTCCTGGCTCATCCTGGCTCAAAAGCTCCCCTACTGAGCACCTTGTGACCCCCACTCCTGCACACCAGAGAACAACCCACCTTTTTGTTTACCTACCCAAATCCTATAAAATGGCCCTACACCTTCCTATCTCCCTTTGCTGAATTTCTTTTTGGACTCAGCCCGCCTGCACCCAGGTGAAATAAGCAGCCATGTTGCTCACACAAAGCCTGTTTGGTGGTCTCTTCACATGGACGTGCATGAAATTTGGTGCCCTGATTCTGATCGGGGGACCACCCTTGGGAGATCAATCCCCTGTCCTCCTGCTCTTTGCTCCATCAGAAAGGTCTACCTATGACCTCAGGTCCTCAGACCCACCACCCCAAGAAACATCTCACCCATTTCAAATCTGGTAAGCGGCCTCTTTTTACTGTCTTCTCCAAACTCCCTCACTATCCCTCAACCTCTTTCTCCTTTCAATCTTGGCACCACACTTCAATCTCTCCCTTCTCTTAATTTCTATTCCTTTCATTTTCTGGTAGAGAAAAAGGAGACACGTTTTATCCGTGGAGCCAAAACTCTGGCGCCGGTCATGAACTAGGGAAGGCAGCCTTCCCTTGGTGTTTAATCATTGCAGAGACACCTCTCTGATTATTCACCCAGGTTTCAGAGGTGTCAGACCATGCAGAGATGCCTGTGTTGGTCCTTCACCCTTAGCAGCAAGTCCTGCTTTTCTGGGGAAGGGGCAAGTACCCCAACCCCTTCTCTCCATGTCTCTACCCCTTCTTTGCCTTTCTGGGGGGCAAGAAACCCCCAAACCCTTCTCCTTTACCCTTAGTGGCAAGTCCCACTTTTCTAGAGGAGGGGCAAGTACCCCAACCTTGTATCTCTGTGCTGCAATCCCTTATTTCCATGCCCCAACCTCTTATATCTCTGCCCCCCAATCCCTTATTTCCATGCCATGACCTCTTATCTCTGTGCCCCAATCCCTTATTTCCATGCCCCAACCTCTTATATCTCTGCACCCTGATCCCTTATTTCCATGACCTGACCTCATATCTCTGTGATCCTACCCCTTTCCTGCTTTTATGGAGGATAAGAACCCCCGAACTGCTTCCCTCCATGTCTCTACTCTCCCTTTTCTTTAAACTTGCCTCCTTCATTATGGGCAACTTTCCACCCTCCATTCCTCCTTCTTCTCCCTTAGCCTGTGTTCTTAAGAACTTAAAACCTCTTCAACTCTCACCTTACCTAAAATCTAAGCATCTTATTTTCTTCTGCAATGCCGCTTGGCCCCAATACAAACTCTACAGTAGTTCCAAAAAGCCAGAAAATGGCACTTTCAATTTTTCCATCCTGCAAGATCTAAATAATTCTTGTCATAAAATAGGCAAACGGTCTGAGGTGCCTGACGTCCAGGCAGTCTTTAACACATCGGTCTCTTCCTAGTCTCTGTGCCCAATGCAACTCATCCCAAATCTTCCTCCTTTCTCTCCCACCTGTCCCCTCAGTCCCAACCCCAAGTGTCGCCGAGTCTTTCTAATCTTCCTTTTCTACAGACCCATCTGAATTCTCCCCTCCTCCCCAGGCTGCTCCTTGCCAGGCTGAGCTAGATCCCAATTCTTCCTCAGCCTCTTCTCCTCCACCCTGTAATCCTTTTATTACCTCCCCTCCTCACACCCAGTCTGGTTTACAGTTTCATTCCATGAGTAGCTCTCCCTCACCTGCCCAGAAATTTCCTCTTAACAAGGTGGCTGAAGCTAAAGGCATGGTCAAGGTTAATGCTCCTTTTTCTTTATCAGACCTTTCCCAAATCAGTGAGCATTTAGGATTGTTCATCAAATATGAATAACCCAGCCCAGTTCATGGCTCATTTGGCTACAACCCTGAGACACTTTACAGCCCTAGACCCTAAAAGGTCAAAAGGCTGTCTTATTCTGAAAATATATTTTATTACCCAATCTGCTCCTGATATTAAATAAAACTCCAAAAATTAAGTTCCAGCCCTCAAACCCCACAATAGGATTTAGTTAACCTCACCTACAAGGTGTACAATAATATAAATAAGTTGCAATTCCTTGCCTCCACTGGGAGACAAACCCCAGCCACATCTCCAGCACACAAGAACTTCCAAATGCCTGAACTGCAGCAGCCAGGCATTCCTCCAGAACCTCCTCCCCCAGGAGCTTGCTACAAATGCCAGAAATCTGGCCACCATGCCAAGGAATGCCTGCAGCCCAGGATTCCTCTTAAGCCATGTCCCATCTGTGCAGGACTCCACTGGAAGTTGGACTGTCCAACTCACCTGGAAGCCACTCCCATAGCCCCTGGAACTCTGGCCCAAGGCTCTCTGACTCCTTCCCAGTTCTTTTTGGCTTAGCGGCTAAAGACTCATGCTGCCTGATTGCCTCAGAAGCCCCCTAGACCATCACAGATGCAAGCTTTGGGTAACTTTCACAGTGGAAAGTAAGTCCGTCCCCTTCTTAATCAATACGGAGGCTACCCACTCCACATTACCTTATTTTCAAGGGCCTGTTTCCCTTGCCTCCATAACTGTTGTGAGTATTGAGAACCAGGCTTCTAAACCTCTTAAAACTCCCCAATTCTGGTACCAACTTAGACAATACTCTTTTAAGCACTCCTTTTAGTTATCCTCACCTGCCCAGTTCCCTTATTAGGCTGAGACACTTTAACTAAATTATCTGCTTCCCTGACTATTCCTGGATTACAGCTACATCTCATTGCTGCCCTTCTTCCCAATCCAAACCCCTTCCCTTCTTTGCATCCTCCTCTTGTATTCCCCCACCATAACCCACAAGTATAAGATAACTCTACTCCCTCCTTGGTGACTGATCATGCACCCCTTACCATCTCATTAAAACCTAATCACTCTTACCCCACTCAATGCCAATATCCCATCCCACAGCATGCTTTGAAAGGATTAAAGCCTGTTATGACTCACCTGCTATAGCATGGCCTTTTAAAGCCTATAAACTCTCCTTACTGTTCCCCCATTTTACCTGTCCTAAAACCAGACAAGCCTTACAAGTTAGTTCAGGATCTATGCCTTATCAACCAAATTGTTTTGCCTATCCACCCCATGGTGCCAAACCCATATACTCTCCTATCCTCAATACCTCCCTTCACAATCCATTATTCTTTTCTGGATCTCAAACATGCTTTCTTTACTATTCCTTTGCACCCATCATCCCAGCCTCTCTTCGCTTTCACTTGGACTGACCGTGACACCCATCAGGCTCAGCAAATTACCTGGGCTGTACTGCCACAAAGCTTCACAGACAGCCCCCATTACTTCAGTCAAGCCTAAATTTCTTCCTTATCTGTTACCTATCTCAGCATAATTCTCATAAAAAACACAAGAGCTCTCACTGCTGATTGTGTCCAATTAATCTCCCAAACCTCAATCCCTTACAAAACAACAACTCCTTTCCTTCCTAGGCATGGTTAGTGCAGTCAGAATTCTTATACAAGAGCCAGGACTGCATCTGGTAGGCTTTCTGTCCAAACAACTTGACCTTACTGTTTTAACCTAGCCATCATGTCTCTGTGCAGTGACTGCTGCTGCCCTAATACTTTTAGAGGTCCTCAAAATCACAAACTATGCTCAACTTACTCTCTACATTTCTCATAACTTCCAAAATCTATTTTCTTCCTCATACCTGATGCATATACTTACTGCACCCCGGCTTCTTCAGCTGTACTCACTCTTTGTTAAGTCCCACAATTACCATTGTTTCTGACCCAGACTGCAATCTGGCCTCCCACATTATTCTTGATACCACACCTGATCCCATGACTGTATCTCTCTGATCCACCTGACGTTCACCCCATTTCCCCACATTTCCTTCTTCCCTGTTTCTCACCCTGATCACACTTGGTTTATTGATGGCAGTTCCACCAGGCCTAATTACCACACACCAGCAAAGGCAGGCTATGCTACAGTACAAGCCACTAGCCCATCTCTTAGAACCTCTCATTTCCTTTGCATCATGGAAATCTATCCTCAAGGAGATCACCTCTCAGTGTTCCATCTGATATTCTACTACCCTTCAGGGATTGTTCAAGTCCCCTCCCTTTCCTACACATCAAGCTCGAAGATTTATTCCTGCCCAGGACTGGCTAATTGACTTTACTCATATGCCCCTAGTCAGATAACTAAAATACCTCTTAGTCTAAGTAGACACTTTCACTGGATAGGTAGAGTCCTTTCCTACAGGGTCTCAGAAGTCCACCATGGTCATTTCTTCCCTTCTGTCAGACATAATTCCTTGGTTTGGCCTTCCCACCTCTATACAGTCTGATAACAGACCAGCCTTTATTAGTCAAATCAGCCAAGCATGTTTTCAAGCTCTTGGTATTCAGTGAAACCTTTATATCCCTTAGAGTTGTCAGTCTTCAGGAAAGGTAGAATGGACTAATGGTCTTTTAAAAACACACCTCACCAGGCTCAGCCACCAACTTAAAAAAGACTGGACAGTACTTTTACCACTTTCCCTTCTCAGAATTCAGGCCTGTCCTTGGAATGCTACAAGGTACAGCCCATTTGAGCTCCTGTATAGACGGTCCTTTTTATTAAGCCCTAGTCTCATTCCAGACACAAGACCAACTTGGAATGTGCCCCAAAAACTTGTCATCCCTACTATATTCTGTCTAGTCATATGCCTATTCACCATTCTCAACTATGCATACATGCCCTGCTCTTGTTTACACTGCCAGTTTACACTGTTTCTCCAAGCCATCACAGCTGATATCTCCCAGTGCTATCCCCAAACTGGCACTCTTAACTCTTGAAGTAAATAAATAATCTTTGCTGGCAGGACTATGCTGAATCTCCTTAGGCACTCTCTAATTAGATGTCCTGGGTCCTCCCAATTCTTAGACCTTTAATATCTGTTTTTCTTCTTCTCTTATTCCATTTAGTTTTTCAATTCATACAAAACCATATCCAGGCCATCACCAATAATTCTAAATGACAAATGTTTCTTCTAACAGTACCACAATATCACCCCTTACCACAAAATCTTCCTTCAGCTTACTCTCTCCCACTCTAGGTTCCCACGCCACCCCTAATACTGCTCTAAGCAGCCCTGAGAAACATCGCCCATTATCCCTCCATACCATCCCCCAAAATTTTTGCCATCCCAACACTTTACCACTATTTCATTTTATTTTTCTTATTCATATAAGAAGACAGGAATGTCAGGCCTCTGAGCCCAAACTAAGCTATCGTATCCCCTGTGACCTGCATGTACACATCCAGATGGCCGGTTCCTGACTTAACTGATGGCATTCCACCACAAAAGAAGTGAACATGGCCTGTTCCTGCCTTAACAGATGGCATTATCTTGTGAAATTCCTTCTCCTGGCTCTTCCTGGCTCAAAAGCTCCCCTACTGAGCACCTTGTGACCCCCATTCCTGCCCCCCAGAGAACAACCCCCCTTCTCCTTTACCTACCCAAATCCTATAAAATGTCCCCATCCCTATCTCCCTTTGCTGACTCTCTTTTTGGACTCAGCTCTCCTGCACACAGGTGAAATAAACAGCCATGTTGCTCACACAAAGCCTGTTTGGTGGTCTCTTCACAGGGACGGGCATGAAAGCCCCCACCCCTACCTCCCTTCACTGACTCTCTTTTCAGACTCAGCCCACCTGCACCCAAGTGATTAAAAAGATTTATCGCTCACACAAATCCTGTTTGGTGGTATCTTCACATGGATTCGTAGGACACTAACCCTGAAGCTTTTCATTCTTTCCATTGCTTTTTCTACTGAGATTAAATTTGCATTTCTGCTGCTCTTGCACTCTAGAGAGGTAGCCCCCCTCCCACTGCCTTAACTAGTTGGCTCTTAAGAGATCATAAGATAGGTATTAACTTTGCCTGAGTAATTTCCCAACTCCTGGAATGGGATGGGAAGCATATAATCTCATGACAAGTTCAGTCACTTCTGTGCCATAAATCAACCAGAGCCCCACCAGGGCACTCGTCCATCCATGAGCCTCCTTTTCAAGGGAGCATTCAGCCTTGACATGGTGGTCAGTGCCACTGGACATGGCCAAAGATCTACCCTGAAAATTGGGAAGGATGCTTATTGAAGACCTTTAATGTGTTAGAGTGTCAAGTGCTTCCCAGGCTTTGGACAGTTTGCTTTCTGTTGATGCCTGCAGAGTCTGCTGCTCTTCTTTCTTTCTTTTTTCTTTTTTTTTCAATTTTGTTATGGTAAGAACACTTAACGTGAGATGTTCTCTCTTGTTACATTTTTAAATACACCCATATTTTTAACTCTATGCAATAATATTATACAATAGATGCCTAGAATATATTTATCCTGAGTAACTGAAAATTTATACCTATTGATAAGTAATTTCCCATTTTCTTCTTGCCCATTCTCAATGCCTGGTGACCACCATTCTACCCTAAGATTTTCTATGTTTGACTGTTCAGCTACTTCATATAAGAGGAATCATTAAGTATTTGTCCTTCTGTGACTGACTTATTTTGCTCAACATCATGTTTTTGTTTTTTGTTTCATTGAGATGAAGTCTTGCTCTGTCACCCAGGATGGATTGTAGTGGCACAATCTCAGCTTATTGCAACCTCCACCTCCTGGGTTCAAGGGATTCTCCTACCTCAGCCTACCAAGTAACTTTGTTTACAGGCATGCACCGCCATGACTGGCTAATTTTTTGTATTTTTACTAGTGTTACCGGGGGGTCCTTGCTCCCAGAGCTCCCAAGATGGTAGGGGGCCGCTTCCAAGATGGCCACAAGCCTCTTCTTATCTGACCTGGGATTCTTGACCTCACAGATTCCAAGGAATGGAATCTTGGGCCATGCAGTGAATGTTATAGCTCTGTTAGAAGCCGTGGGTCATGGAAGAGAACCGCGGAACCCAGCGACAAGTGTTCAGCTGCATTAGGATGAACCAGGGCACTTAGCCATGTAGGAACAATGGCAAGCCTTTAGCTGATCTGGAGTGGCAATGTGTGCCTCACTGGATCAGGAACACAGTGGATACCCTGCTGGATCTGTGGGGGCGGAAGTCAGCAGCAGGTCTGCGATGGTGGCAAACAACAGTGGTGAACAGCAAGCAAAAGCTCAGCTAAAGCAGTAACAAACACGAACCAGAACCGTGTGCAGTTGCAAGATTTAATAGAGTGGAAACAGAGCTCCCATACAAAAGGAGGGGATCCAAAGAGGGTAGCCATTGCCAGCTGGAATGCCTGGGTTTATATCCAGACTATTGTCCCTCCTGCTGTGCTTTCAGGTGATAGATGATTGGCTATTTCTTTACCTCTGTTTTTGCCTAATTAGCATTTTAGTGAGCTCTTTTTACTATCTGATTGGTCGGGTATGAGCTAAGTTGCAAGCCCCATGTTTAAAAGTGGATGTGGTCACCTTCCCAGCTAGGCTTAGGGACTCTTAGTCAGCCTAGGAAATCCAGCTAGTCTTGTATCTCAGTAGAGATGGGGTTTCATCATGTTGGCCAGGCTGGTCTCCAACTCTTGGCCGCAAGTGATCCACCTGCAGTGGCCTCTCAAATGCTGGGATTGCAGGCATGAGCCAGTGTATCCAGCCTCAACATAATGTTTTAAGTTTCATATGTGCTATTGCATATTGCAAGATTTCTTCATTTTGTAAGGTTAATAATATTGCAAGAATAATACTGTAACAATAATGTTACATTGTATGTTGGGATGGCTAATTTCATACATCAACTTGACTGAGCTAAGGAATGCCCAGGTAGCTAGTAAAGCATTATTACTGAGTGTGTCTGTGAGGGTGTTTGTGGAAGAGATTAGCATTTGATTATTTCTTATTTTAATGTATTTGGGAGTACAAGTGTTATTGTATTACAGGAATATATTGTGTAGTGAAGTCTGGACTTTTAGTATACCCATTATCCCCATCATCCAAATAATATACATTGTACCCAATAGGTAGTATTTCCTCCTTCACCCCTTCCCACCCTCCCATCTTAAATAGTCTTCAATGTGTATTATTTCACTCTGTCTGTCCATGTGTACTCATTGTATGTATCTCACTTATAAGTGAGAACATGAGGTTTATATTTTTGTTTCTGAATCATTTCACTAGGGAACATTCTCTTTGCTACAGTCAAGTTCCTGTTATGTAACTTTGTTGTTTACATGTCTTTTGTAGCAACATGGATGAACTGTCCTCCAGTTTCACCCACGTTGCTGCAAAAGACCTGAGTTTTTTTTTTTTTTTTTTTTTTATGGCTGAGTAGTATTTCATAGTGTGTGTGTGTGTATGCATGTGTGTACACACAATGTGTGATACATATATATACACACACACACACAGACACACACAATGTGGTGCGTGTGTGTGTGTGTATATATATATATATAGCCCATTGTTTTTATCCAGTCACCATTGATGGACATTCTCCTTAGATCCAGGTAGATTCCGAGAAAATGCATCAGACTATAGATGTATAAACATCACAGGGTTTTAGACATGGTAGGAACCTTTTTATTTTACAGCTATAGAAACAGAGAGCTGCAAAGACTGGATAACATGTCCAAATATTGACAGCTAGTTAGCAGCAGCACCAGGAAGGCAGCCTGTTGTAGTGGCTGACACCTGTAATCCCAGCTACACTGGAGGCCAAGGTGGGAAGATTCCATGAGTCCAAGAGTTTTCAGTAAACCTGGACTACATAGTGAGAACTCATCTCTACAAATATATATATATTTTTTAAATTAGCTAGGTGTGGTGGTGCATGCCTGTAGTCTCAGCAATTCAAGAGGGTAAGGCAAGAGGATTGCTTGAGCCCAGGATTTTAAGGCTGCAGTGAGCTGTGCTTGCACCATTGTACCCCAATCTGGGTGCTAGAGTAAGACTTCATCTCTAAAAGAAAATAGTTTTATTTAAAAAATTAAAAAATAAGAAGGAATTAACAGAATTATCACACATGCAACACTTAATGTGTCCCAAACACTTCTAAAGACTTCAAATGTAAACAAACAGGTCAGGCAAGACTTACTTTTTTAAACATAATTTTTAGATTAATATGTTGTTAATACTCAACATATATTATGATAAACTTAATTGTGCTAGGTATAATTGATTCTATTGAGAAATACAAAGACCAATGCACCAGGTAGTGCAGCACAGTAAATAGAAACAGATTCGCTAAATCGGTAAATCCTGAACATTTATTTCAGAAAAATCACACGTGATTGTCCAGGCCTGGTGGCTCAGGCCTGTAATCTCAGCACTTTGATAGGCTGAGGCAGGTGGATCATGAGGTCAGCAGACCAAGACCATCCTGGCTAACACAAACCCTGTCTCTACTAAACATACAAAAAAAAAAAAAAAAATTAGCCAGGATTGGTGGTGGGCACCTGTAGTCCCAGCTACTCAGGAGGCCAAGGCAGGAGAATGGCATGAACCCAGGAGGTGGAGCTTGCAGTGAATCTAGATCGGGCCATTGCACTCCAGCCTGGGCAACAGAGCGAGACTCCGTCTCAAAAAAAAAAAAAGAAAGAAAAATCACACACGTAATTTAAATATGTATTTAAATCTATAAAAAATATCTGTTTAGATACGATTTCAGAATGGGTTTTCGCTGTCCTCATGTCAGACTATTTTTCTTTATCTAATTAAAACAGGATATTTATTAGACAATAACATTTTGTGACCCAAACTTCACCACTGTGCATACCAGGGAGTGAACAAAGCTGCTTTTCTTCTAAAAACATTGTTTGTCATGCAAGTTTTTCTTTGTTTTTAAAAACCTTTCTTCCCAATCTAGCAAATATATCAGGAACATTTTCTTTGATGTGGTTAAGTTTCTGTTATATAAGCACATTGTTAATCTTCTTTTAATGAACAAATTTAATATAATTACATGTGTAGTTATAAAAATGTTATTTTGTCTCTCTCCTTCCTAATGATTTCTTCTATGAACAGCGCTTTCTCTATAAAAAAAAGTTTTTAATGATCTTTTGCCAAATAAATTTGTTCAGAAAAATGATTTTTAAAGGGAGAATTGTGTAGTTTTTCAGAAGTTAATGCACCATGTTCTTAATATTTTGGAGTGGAGCACTTTCATTTAATTTTAAGTGCTATTTATTTATTTATTTTACATTTTTATTACACTTTAAGTTATAGGGTACATGTGCACAACGTGCAGTTAAGTTACATATGTATACATGTGCCATGTTGGTGTGCTGCACCCATCAACTTGTCATTTAACATTAGGTAGATCTCCTAATGCTATCACTCCTCCCTCCCCAAATCCTACAACAGGCCCAGTGTGTGATGTTTCCCTTCCTGTGTCAATGTGTTCTCATTGTTAATTCCCACCTAGGAGTGAGAACATGTGGTGTTTGGTTTTTTTGTCCTTGTGATAGTTTGCTGAGAATGATGGTTTCCAGCTTCATCCATGTCCCTACAAAGGACATGAACTCACCTTTTTTATGGCTGCATAGTATTCCATAGTGTATATGTGCCACATTTTCTTAATCCACTCTATCATTGTTGGACATTTGTGTTGGTTCCAAGTCTTTGCTATTGTGAATAGTGCCACAATAAACACACATGTGCATGTGTCTTTATAGCAGCATGATTTATAATCATTTGGGTATATACCCAGTAATGGGATTGCTGGGTCAAATGGTGTTTCTAGTTCAAGATCTCTGAGGAATCACCACACTGACTCCCACCATGGTTGAACTAGTTTACAGTCCCAACAGCAGTGTAAAAGTGTTCCTATTTCTTCACATCCTCTCCAGGACTTGTTGTTTCTTGAGTTTTTAATGATGACCATTCTAACTGTATGAGATAGTATCTCATTGTGGTTTTGATTTGCATTTTTCTGATGGCCAGTTATGATGAGCATTTTTTCATGTGTCTTTTGGCTGCATAAATGTCTTCTTTTAAGAAGTGTCTGTTCATATCCTTCACCCACTTTTGATGGGGTTGTCTGTTTTATTCTTGCAGATTTGTTTGAGTTCATTGTAAATTCTGGATATTAGCCCTTTGTCAGATGAGCAGATTGCAAAAATTTTCTCCCATTCTGTAGGCTGCCTGTTCACTCTGATGGTAGTTTCTTTTGCTGTACAGAAGCTCTTTAGTTTAGTTAGATCCCATTTGTCAATTTTGGCTTTTGTTGCCATTGCTTTTGGTGTTTTAGACATGAAGTCCTTGCCAATGCCTATGTCCTGAATGGTATTGCCTAGGTTTTCTTCTAGGGTTTTTATGGTTTTAGGTCTAACATGTAAGTCTTTAATCCATCTTGAATTAATTTTTGTATAAGTGTAAGGAAAGGATCCAGATTCAGCTTTCTACATATGGCTAGCCAGTTTTCCCAGAACCATTTATTAAATAGGGAATCCTTTCTCCATTTCCTGTTTTTGTCAGGTTTGTCAAAGATCAGATGGTTGTAGATATGTGGCATTATTTCTTAGGGCTCTGTTCTGTTCCATTTGTCTATACCTCTGTTTTGGTACCAGTACCATGCTGTTTTGGTTACTGTAGCCTTGTAGTATAGTTTGAAGTCAGGTAGTGTGATGCCTCCAGATTTGTTCTTTTGGCTTAGGGTTGACTTGTCAATGTGGACTATTTTTGGTTCCATATGAACTTTAAAGTAGTTTTTCCAATTCTGTGAAGAAAGTCATTGATAGCTTGATGGTGATGGCATTGAATCTATAAATTACCTTGGGCACTATGGCCACTTTCATGATATTGATTCTTCCTACCCATGAGCATGTAATCTTCTTCCATTTGTTTGTATCCTCTTTTATTTCATTGAGCAGTGGTTTGTAGTTCTCCTTGAAGAGGTCCTTCACATCCCTTTTAAGTTGGATTCCTATCCCTGATGAACATCAATGCAAAAATCCTCAATAAAATACTAGCAAACCAAATCCAGCAGCACATCAAGAAGCTTCTCCACCATGATCAAGAGGGATCCATCCCTGGAACGCAAGGCTTGTTCAACATACACAAATCAATAAATGTAATCCAGCATATAACCAGAACCAATGGCAAAAACCATAGTTTATCTCAATAGATGCAGAAAAGGCCTTTGAAAAAATTCAACAACCTTGATGCTAAAAACTCTCAATAAATTAGGTATTGATGGGACATATCTCAAAATAATAAGAGCTATCTATGACAAACCCACAGCCAATATCATAGTGAGTGGGCAAAAACTGGAAGCGTTCCCTTTGAAAACTGGCACAAGACAGAGATGCCCTCTCTCACCACTCCTATTCAACATAGTGTTGGAAGTTCTGGCCAGTGCAATTAGGCAGGAGAAGGAAATAAAGGGTATTCAATTAGGAAAAGAGGAAGTCAAATTGTCCTGTTTGCAGACGACATGATTGTATATCTAGAAAACCCTATCGTCTCAGCCCCAAATCTCCTTAAGCTGATAGGCAACTTCAACAAAGTCTCAGGACACAAAATCAATGTGCAAAAATCACAAGCATTCTTATACATCAATAACAGACAGAGAGCCAAATCATGAGTGTACTCTAATTTTAACTACTTTTTTTGCCAATGACTCTGTTTCAGTTTTTGAAACCTCTTTATAAACACCTTGTTCTAAGCCAGGCTTGTAGGAAAGATAAAGTAAAGTCCAGTTACTTCTGCTGGTAATAATTTATATACAGTGGAATTAGAAGTGGCTCTCTTGTTTTGTTTTTTTTATTTTTTTATTTTTGAGATGGAATCTCACTAACTCTGAGCACAAGCTGGAGTGTAGTGGCACAATCTTGGCTCACTGCAACTTTTACCTCCCAGGCTCAAGCAATTCTTTTGCCTCAGCCTCCTGAGTAGCTGGAATTATAGGCACACAGCACCAAGCCTGGCTGATTTTTGTATTTTTAGTACAGATGGGGTTTCACCATGTTTGTCATGCTAATCTCACAAACTCCTGACCTCAAGTGATGCACCTGCCTCCACCTCCCAAAACGCTGATATTGCAGGCATAAGCTACTGGCCTTCAGTGGCTTTTAACAAACTTAAATTTTCACACATTCTTAATTGGGCTAGATGGTACTTCTCATCCTAGTCCTGATAATATCTACCCCAGGCACATTTTGGAGTTATAATTAATGATATGCTGTCACACTGAGCTAACCGAAATCATTTTGTGATTCAGAGATTAATATTGACATTAAAAATTATTAATAGGGTTTTATCCTATTGGGTCCAATTTCAATAAAAAGGTCTTCACCTGAACTAACCGTTTCATCACAAAGCACAAAAAATAGAAATAAACCTCCAAGGAGCGTGCGCATGTTCGCAAACACACACACACACACACACACACACACACACACACACACACAATGGATCTCTATTTACCTACTTACTTTTAAGATAGAGTCTCACTTTGTCACCCAGGCTAGACTGCAGTGCCATGATCTCAGCTCACCGTGAACTTCAGCTCACTGTGACCTCCACCTCCTGTGTTTTAGCAATTTCCCTGAGTCAGCCTCCTGAGTAGATGTGATTACAGGTGTGCACCAACATGCCTGGCTAATTTTTGTATTTTTAGTAGAGATGGAGTTCCACCATTTTAGCCAGTCTGCTCTTGAACTTCTAACCTTAGGTGATTCTCCCAGCTCAGCCTCCCAAAGTGTTGGAATTACAGGCATGAGCCACCATGCCCAGTCTAATGGATCCCTTCTATGGTGGCATCTTGGTGTGGAGCAAATTAATGATCTTAAGCCTCCAGTATTTTTCATTGTTCCCTACCCAGCTAATGACACCAGTATCTTTATTTTTCTTTTATTTTATTTTTTATTATTTTTATTATACTTTAAGTTCTAGGGTACATGTGCACAACGTGCAGGTTTGTTACATATGTATACATGTGCCATGTTGGTTTGCTGTACCCATGAATTCACCATTTACATTAAGTATTTCTCCTAATGCTATCCCTCCTGCATCCCCACATCCCACGACAGCCCCTGGTGTGTGATGTTCCCCACCCTGTGTCCAAGTGGCCTCATTGTTCAATTCCCACCTATGAGGGAGAACAGGCAGTGTTTGGTTTTCTGCCTTTGTGATAGTTTGCTCAGAATGATGGTTTCTAACTTCATCCATGTCCCTACAAATGACATGAACTCATCATTTTTTATGGCTGCATAGTATTCCATGGTGTAGATATGCAACATTTTCTTAATCCAGTCTATCCTTGATGGACATTTGGGTTGGTTCCAAGTCTTTGCTCTTGTGAATAGTGCTGCAGTAAACATACAAGTGTATTTGTCTTTATAGTAGCATGATATATAATCCTTTGGGTATATATCCAGTAATGTGATTGCTGGGTCAAATGTATTTCTAGTTCTAGATCATTGAGGAATAGCCACACTGTCTTCCACAATGGTTGAACTAGTTTACACCCTCACCAACATTGTAAAAGCATTCCTATTTCTCCACATCCTCTCAAGCACCTGTTGTTTCCTGAGTTTTTAATGATCACCCTACTAACTGGTGTGAGATGGTATCTGATTGTGGTTTTGATTTGCATTTCTCTGATGACCAGTGATGATAAGCATTTTTTCATGTGTCTTTTGGCTGCATAAATGTCTTCTTTTGAGAAGTGTCTATTCATATCCTTTGCCCACTTTTTGATGGGGTTGTTTGATGTTTTTCTTGTAAATTTGTTTCTTTGTAGATTCTGGATATTAGCCCTTTGTCAGATGGGTAGATTGCAAAATTTTTCTCTCATTATGTAGGTTTTCTGTTCACTGTCATGGCAGCTTCTTTTACTGTGCAGAAGCTCATTAGTTTAATTAGATCCCATTTGTCTATTTTGGCTTTTGTTGCAATTGCTTTTGGTGTTTTAATCATGAAATAATTGCACATGGCTATGTCCTGAATGGTACTGCGTAGGTTTTCTTGTAGGGTTTTTATGGCTTCTAGGCGTAATATTTAAGTCTTCAATCCATCTTAAATTAATTTTTTGTAAGGTGTAAGGAAGGGATCCAGTTTCAGCTTTCTACGTATGGCTAGCCAGTTTTCCCAGCACCATTTATTAAATGGGAAATCATTTCACCATTTCTTGTTTATGTCAGGTTTGTCAAAGATCAGATGGTTGTAGATGTGTGTTGTCATTTCTGAGGGCTCTGTTCTGTTCCATTGGTCTATATCTCTGTTTTGGTACCAGTACCATGCTCTTTTGATTACTGTCACCTTGTAGTGTAGTTTGAAGTCAGGTAGTGTGATACCTCCAGCTTTATTCTTTTTGTTTAGGATTGTCTTGGCAATGCAGGCTCTTTTTTGGTTGCATATGAACTTTAAAGTAGTTTTTTTCCAATTCCATGAACAAGTTCTTTGGTAGCTTGATGGAGATGGCATTGAATCTATAAATTACCTTGGGCAGTATGGCCATTTTCATGATATTGATTCTTCCTATCCATGAGCAAGGAATGCTCTTCCATTTGTTTGTGTCCTCTTTTATTTTGTTGAGGAGTGGTTTGTATTTTTCTTTGAATAGATCCTTCACATCTCTTGTAAGTTGGATTCTTAGGTTTTTTATTCACCTTGTAGCAATTGTGAGTAGGAGTTCACTCATGATTTGGCTTTCTATTTGTTTGTTATTTGTGTATGTGATACTTGGGATTTTTGCACATTGATTTTGTATCCTGAGACTTTGTTGAAATTGCTTATCATCTTAGGGAGATTTTGGGCTGAGACAATGGGGTTTTCTAAGTTTATAACCGTATCACCTGAAAACAGGGACAATTTGACTTCCTTTTTTCCTAATTGAATACCCTGGATTTATTTCTCTTGCCTGATTGCTCCGGCCAAGAACTTCCAACACTATGTTGAATAGGAGTGGTGAGAGAGGGCATCCCTGTCTTGGGTCAGTTTTCAAAGGGAATACTTCCAGTTTTTGCACATTCAGTTTAATATTGGCTGTGGGGTTGTCAAAAATAGCTCTTATTATTTTGAGATCGTTCCATCAATACCTAGTTTATTGAGAGTTTTTAGCATGAAGAGTTGTTGAATTTTTCAAAAACATTTTCTACATCCATTGAGATGATCATTGTTTTTTGTCTTTGATTCTGTTTATTTGATGGATTATGTTTATTGATTTGTGTATGCTGAACCAGTCTTGCATACCAGGGATGAAGCCCACTTAATCATGGTGGATAAGTTTTTGATGTGCTGCTAGATTCGGTTTGCCAGTATTTTGCTGAGGATTTTTGCATTGATGTTCATCAGGAATATTCTTCTAAAACCCTTTTTTTGTTGTGTCTCTGCCAGGCTTTGGTATCAGGATGATGCTGGCCTCATGAAATGAGATAGAGAGGAGTCCCTCTTTTTCTACGGTTTGGAATAGTTTCAGAAGGAATGGTACCAGCTCCTCTTTATACCTCTGGTAGAATTTGGCTGTGAATCCATATAGTCTTGGACTTTTTTTTGGTTGGTCGGCTATTAACTGCTGCCTCTATTTCAGAGCCTGTTATTGGTCTCTTCAGGGATTCAACATCTTCCTGGTTTAGTCCTTGGAGGTTGTGTCCAGGAATTTATCCATTTCTTTTAGATTTTCTAGTTTGTTTGTATAGAGGTATTTATAGTATTCTCTGATGGTAGTTTTTATTTCTGTGGGGTGGAGTCAGTGGTGATATCCCTTTTATCTTTTTTTATGGTGTCTATTTGATTCTTCTCTCTTTTCTTCTTTATTAGTCTTGCTAGCAGCCTATCTATTTTGTTGATCTTTTCAAAAAACCTCCTCCTTGATTAATTGATTTTTTAAGGGTTTTTTTGTGTCTCTATCTCCTTCAGCTCTGCTCTAATTATAGTTATTTCTTGCCTTCCACTAGCTTTTGTTTTGTTTGCTCTTGCTTCTCAGTTCTTTTAATTGTGATGTTAGGGTGTCAATTTTAAATCTTTCCTGCTTTCTCTTATGAGAAATTAGTGCTATAAATTTCCCTCTACACACTGCTTTAAATGTGTCCCAGAGTTTCTTGTATTTGTGTCTTTGTTCTCATACATTTCAAAGAATATCTTTATTTCTCCGTTCATTTCTTTATTTACCTAGTAGTCATTCAGAAGCAGGTTGCTCAGTTTCCATGTAGTTGTGTGATTTTGAGTGAGTTTCTTAATCCTGCATTCTAACTTGATTGCACTGTGGACTGAGAGACAGTTTGTTGTGATTTCTCTTCTTTTACATTTGCTGAGGAGTGCTTTACTTCCTTCCATCTATGTAGTCCATTTTGGAATAACTGCAATGTGGTACTGAGAAGAATGTATATTCTATTGATTTGGGGTGGAGAGTTCTGTAGAGGTCTATTAGGTCTGCTGGTGCAGAGCTGAGTTTAAGTCCTGGATGTCCTTGTTAAACTTTTGTCTTGTTGATCTGTCTAATATTGACAGTGGGGTGTTAAAGTCTCCGATTATTATTGTGTTGGAGTCTAAGTCTCCTTGTAGGTCTGTAAGGATTTGCTTTATGAATCTGGGTGCTTCTGTATTGGGTACATATATATTTAGGATAGTTAGCTCTTCTTGTTGAACTGATCCCTTTACCATTATGTAATGGTCTTCTTTGTCTCTTTTGATATTTGTGGGCTTAAATTTTGTTTTATGAGAGACTAGGATTGCAGTCCCTGCTTTTTTTTTTTTTTTTTTTTTTTTTGGCTTTCCATTTATTTGGTAGATCTTCCTTCATCCCTTTATTTAGAGCCTATTTGTGTCTCTGCATGAGAAATATGTCTCCTGAATACAGCATATTGATGGGTCTTGACTCTTTCTCCAATTGGCCAGTTTGTGTCTTTTAACTGATGCATTTAGCCTATTTATGTTTAAGGTTAATATTGTTATTTGTGAATTTGATCCCATCATTATGATGTTATCTGGTTATTTTGCTTGTTTCTTGATGTAGTTTCCTCATACCATCGATGGTGTATACAATTTGGCATGTTTTTGCAGTGGCTGGTACCAGTTGTTCCTTTTCAGGTTTAGTGCTTCCTTCAGGAGCTCTTGTAGGGCATGCCTGGTGGTGAAAAATTCTCTCAGCATTTGCTTGTCTGTAAAGTATTTTATTTCTCCTTCACTTATGACACTTAGTTGACTGGATATGAAATTCTAGATTGAAAATTCTTTTCTCTAAGAATGTTGAATATTGGGCCCCACTCTCTTCTGGCTTATAGAGTTTCTGCCAATAGATCCTGTTATTCTGATAGGCTTCTCTTTAAGGGTAATCTGACCTTTCTCTCTGGCTGCCCTCAACATTTTGTCCTTCATTTCAACCTTGGTGAATCTGAAAATTATGTGTCTTCTGTTTGTTCTTCTTGAGGAGTATCTTTGTGGTGTTCTCTGTATTTCCTGAATTTGAATGTTGGCCTGCCTTGCTAGGTTGGAGAAGTTCTCCTGGATTTATATCCTGAAGACTGTTTTCCAGCTTGGTTCCATTCTCCCCATCACTTTGAGGTACACCATTCAGACATAGATTTGGTCTGTTCATATCGTCCCATATTACTTGGGGGCTTTGTTTGTTTCTTTTTTCTCCAAACTTCTCTTCTTGCTTCATTTCATTTAATCTTCAATCACTGATACCCTTCCTTCCACTTGATTGAATCAGCTACTGAAGCTTGTGCATGTGTCACGTAGTTCTTGTGTCATGGTTTTCAGCTCCATCAGATCATTTAAGGACTTCTCTACACTGTTTATGCTAGTTAGCCATTCATCTAATCTTTTTCCAAGGTTTTTAGCTTCCTTGTGTTGGGTTAGAACATGCTCCTTTAGCTTGGAGAAGTTTGTTAGTATCAACCTTCTGAAGTCTACTTCTTGGTCCAGCTTTGTTCTGTTGCTGACAAGGAGCTTCGATCCTTTGGAGGAGAAGAGGCACTCTGGTTTTTAGAATTTTCAGCTTTTCTGCTCTGGTTTCTCCCCATCTTTGTGGTTTTTTTCTACCTTTGGTCTTTGATGATGATGACCTAGAGATGGGATTTTAGTGTTGATGTCCTTTTTGTTGATGTCGATGCTATTCCTTTCTGTTTGTTAGTTTTCCTTCTAACAGTCAAGTCCCTCAGCTGCAGGTCTTTTGGAGTTTGCTGGAGGTCCACTGCAGACCCTGTTTGCCTGGGTATCACAAGCAGAGGCTACTGAACAGCAAATATTCCAGAACAGCAAATATTGCTGCCTGATCCTTCCTCTGATGCTTTGTCTTGGAGGGTTGCCTGGCTGTGTGAGGTGTCAGTAGGCCCCTACTTGGAAGTGTCTCCCAGTTAGGCTACACGGGGATCAGGAACCCACATGAGGAGGCAGTCTGTCCTTTCTCAGAGCTCAAACACTGTGCTTGGAGAACCGCTGCTCTCTTCAGAGCTGTCAGACAGGGATGTTTAAGTCTTCAAAAGTTTCTGCTGCCTTTTGTTCTGCTATGCCCTGCCCTGAGAGGTGGAGTCTACTGAAGCAGGCAGGTCTCCTTGAGCTGCGGTGGGCTTTACCCAGTTTGAGCTTCCCAGATGCTTTGTTTACTTACTCAAGCCTCAGCAATGGCAGATGCCCCACCCCCAGCCAGACTGCCGCCTCACAGTTCAATCTCGGACTGCTGGCTAGCAGTGAGCAAGGCTCTGTGGGGGTGCGACCCACTGAGCCAGGTGCGGGATATAGTCTCCTGGTGTGCCATTTGCTAACACCATTGGAAAAGCGCAGTATTAAGGCAGGAATGTCCCGAATTTCCCTGTACAGTCTGTCATGGCTTCCCTTGGCTAGGAAAGGGAAGTCCCCCAACCCCTTGCATTTCCTGGGTGAGGCGAGGTCCTGCCCTGCTTCAGCTCACCCTCTGTGGGCTGCCCTGACTGTCCAGCCAGTCCCAGTGAGATGAACCAGGTATCTCAGTTAGAAATACAGAAATCACCCATCTTCTGCGTCAGTCACGCTGGGAGTTGCAGACCTGAGCTCTTCCTATTCAGCCATCTTGGAAGCTGATATCAGTATCTTCTTGTTTTTTGTCTTGTTTTGTTTTGGTTTGGTTTGTTTTTGTTTTTTTGTTTTTGTTTTTGTTTTTTGAGATGGAGTCTTGCTGTGTCATCCAGGCTGGGATGCACTGGCATGATCTGGGCTCACTGTAAGTTCCGTCTCGTGGGTTCATGCCATTCTCCTGCCTCAACCTCACAGGTAGCTGGGAGTACGGGCAACCACCACCATGCCTGGCTAATTTTTTGTATTTTTTTCCTAGAGGCAGGGTTTCACCGTGTTAGCCAGGATGGTCTTGATCTCTTGACCTCGTGATCTGCCCTCCTCAGCCTCCTCAGCCTCCCAAAGTGCTGGGATTACAAGCATGAGCCACCATTCCTGCCCTTGGTTCCAGTATCTTTCTACAGAGCAAGGCGGATATCAGCATTGACTGTTTTCTCTTTCTGACATTTTGCATCCAGACAATTACCAGGTTCTGTTGATTGTGTCTCAAATTGGCTCAGTTCTCTCCTGCCTGCCCCTGTGCTAGTCTGGACCAGCTTCCCTGGGGGGGTTATGGCAATTGTCGTGGGATCCACTCTAGTTTCTGTCTAACCCTTCTGCAAGGGAGCAGCCAGAATGTCTGCAGGAGTGAAATGAAACCATGCCTGTCACCCTAGTGTCCTCAATCTCTGCTTCATCACTTCTGAATAAAGATAAATGCCCCAAACCTAAATTAAAAGAAAAAAATGATAAATACCCTCCATGTCTGATCATGATGATTTATCCTGACCTCTTGTCCACCTCACAGTCAGAGTTTTGCATGGAAAAAATAACGAACCAGCCAATGCACACAGTTTGTAGTAATACTGCAACATCGGCAACTTATACAATAATGATAGAAAACAAAGAATATGGAGATAAACACACACATATTACTTGAGTGTCTCTCTGAGTGGCTGGTTGATAGTTTCTCTTTTGTGCATTTATAATAAAAGTAAAAAAACAACAAAAATATACTTTAAAAAAATTCCATTTTTGTGTACAAAAATTACAAAGCATAGTAGCCCAAAGTAGGTCTCTATATAGCTGTTTATTTTTGTGTCTGTGTGAGATTTTAGTTAATAGTCACATAGAGCCTGCATTTTGCTATATTTAATCTCTTTTTCAACAATTTCCCTTGGGGCTACACTAAATGCCTTTTTTTCTAATTTCAGTGCTTTCAATTTTCAATTGTAAAACACAAATTTATTTATTTATTTATTTATTTATTTATTTATTTATTTATTTATGAGACAGAGTCTCACTCTGTTGCCCAGGCTGGAGTGCAGTGGTGCAATCTTGAAGTACTGGAAGCTCCGCCTCCCGGGTTCACGCCATTCTCCTGCCTCAGCCTCCCTAGTAGCTGAGACTACAGGTGCCTACCACCATGCCCGGCTAACTTTTAAAATTTTTAGTAAAGACAGGGTTTCACCATGTTTGCCAGGACGGTCTCGATCTACTGACCTCATGACCCACCTGCCTCAGCCTCTGACAGTGCTGGGATTACAGGCGTGAGCCACCGCGCCCGGCCCCAAAATTTATTTTTATATGGTTGCTGAGTTGAGACATGTGTCCTTAAATCGCTTATATAAATTCTGATGAATGATTACTAATGAAACATGTTCTTAAAATAAGTTCAACATGACATTCAGAGCCACTACTCTGGAGTGCTTTTCCTCATATTCATTGACACAATTGAACTTCTCATCTTAAGCTGTTGGAGTTATCTACTACTGTGTAACAAATTGCACCAAAACTTAACAGCTTAAATCAACTCACATTTGTTATCTCATTGTTTCTGTAAGAGAGAAATCTGGGCACAGCTTCTAGGTCTCTATTAGTCTGCAATCAAGTGCCGGAGCTGCGGTCTCATTTGTGGTTCAAATGTGGCAGCATCTCTTTCCAAGCTCATTTAGTTGGTTGCAGGCAGGGCTTAGTTCCTCACAGGCTGTCTGCCTGAAAACCTCAAATTTTGCTGGCTGTTGGCTAGACATTTCCCTCTTTTCCTTATAACATGAGCCTCTCCATAATGGCCACTTACTTCATCCACAACCAGAAAGATCTAGAGTGCCAGCGAGATAGAGGTCATAGTCGTTGGCAACCCAATCACAGAAGTGACATCTGATCACTTTTCCCTTATGCTATCATTGGAACTAAATCAGTAGGTGCAGCCCATACTCAGTGGGAGGGGATTGTATCAGATGTGAATACCAGAAGGGAAGTCACTGGGGCCACTTTTAGTTGGCTGACCACATTTTTTTAAAAACACTATTACTATACTTTATACTCTACATATCATATTGTTATTAATAATAACTTACAAATTAATAATTCAATATTATTAAATAACTACAGTGAAAAACTGTGGCCTCTTACTATGATTTCCTTACTAAATCAATAAGTACTAAGAACCCAGAAGGAGACCCTGTCTCTCTCTAAAAAAAATTTAACATTAGCTGGGCATGGTGGTGATCCCTTGTAATCCCAGCCACACTATTAACAAAATTTAAGGTCCCCAAGGCTGAGGTGGGAGGATTGCTCGAGCTGGGAGGTCAAGGCTTCAGTGAGCTTTGATTGTGCAACTGCAATCCAGCCTGGGTGAAAGAGTGAGACTCTGTCTCAAAATAAATAAATAAATTAAAAATAAATATTTAACAATCCTCAGTGTGTAGTTTTATCCTCAAAATAATACTTATAAGGTATTATTATTCCTCTTTTACAGAAGAGAAAACTAACAGGCTAAATATACAGCTCGTGGTTTCACTGCTAGCAAGCACGGGAGAGAGAACGTAAATCTCAACAACAAAAAACACATTTCTGACTCTACTGCCCAATTTAGTGGACATAGTACTTGCGGATTTCCTCATTTGACCAGTCAAAGTCTTGTAAGGTGACTGTGTGTCTCATCCAATGTGGAACCACCACAGGACTGTTATGATGTCATCTTTCTAGGTTTTACACCGTGTTTGTGGAATTGAAATGGATTCAGTTGAATTGTCAGTGAATTGCTTTCTATTGTAAAAGTGTAGCTAGATTAAAATGCCCCTAACAAGTTACACTTGCCTACCACTTTATCATTTTGGAAAACTTTTTTTGGGGTGGAGGGGGAGGGCAGGGTCTTGGTCTCTCGCCCAGAGTAGAGTGCAGTGGCATGATTATAGCTCACTGTGTAGCCTCAAACTCCTGGGCTCAGGCCATCCTCCTGCCTCAGCCTCCTGATTAGCTGGGACTACAGTCACGTGCCACCAAACCCAGCTAATTTTAATTTTTTTTTCTAACCTCAGGTGTCCCACTGGCCTTGGCCTCCCAAAGTGCTAGGATTACAGGCATGAGCCAATTCCCCTAGCCTAATTTTTAAATTCTTTGTAGAGTTGTGATCTTACTATGTTTCTCAGGCTGGGCTTGAACTCCTGAGCTCAAGCAATCCTCCTCCTCAAAGTGCTGGAATTGCACATTTAAACTGCTGCATCTGGCCACATTTCAGAAATATTTTATTAGTCATCATGGGTGACTCCATGATGGTTAAGGTGACATCTCAGAGTGATGTGCAGAAGAATGATTCACAAGGAGAACATGCCTCCTAAAGCATCATAGCTGGTGGTCTGAGATGAGGTCAGAGTATGACTCATTTCTCCTTTCATTCTGCTCGTTCTTGAAAAACAGAGAATAAAAGCTACCAAGGAGATAATTAAGGAGAGTTAGGAATCAGAGAGTAGCTGCAACCAAAAAAAAAAAAAAAAATGGAGACTATCACATTTCCTGGCTTGGTTATCTTTACAGGAAGAATTCTGGAGCTCTGGGTTTGCTTTTTATGAAAACAGGAGATCCTGAAAAGGGAGGGAGGTGAGAAGGTGATTGGAAGTAGGTCAGGGGAGAGAGACAGAGAAGGCTATGGTGTCCAGGCTGGATGCAGTGGCCCATGCCTGTGATCCCAGCACTTTAGGAGGCTGAGGTGGGCAGATCACTTGAGGTCAGGAGTATGAGACCAGCCTGGTCAACATGACAAAACCTCGTTTCTACTAACAACAAAAAAACTTAGCCAGGCGTGGTGGTGAATGCCTGTAATCCCAGTTACTCGGAAGGCTGAGGGAGGAAAATCACTTGAACCCACTAGGTGGAGGTTGCCGTGAGTCCAGATTGTATCACTGCACTCCAACCTGGGCCACAGAGTGAGTACTCTGTCTAAAAAAATAAAATAAAATAAAATAAAGAAGGATATGATTCCCAATGATGAATGTGTGGGACTAAGGATTTTTTTTTTTTTTTTTTTTTTAGTTGGAGTCACTCTGCTGCCCAGGCTGGAGTGCAGTGGCACAATCTCGGTTCACTGCAACCTCCAGCTCCTGGGTTCAGGCGATTCTCCTGCCTCAGCCTCCTGAGTAGCTAGGACTACAGGCTTGTGCCACCACACCCAGCTAATTTTTGTATTTTTAGTAGAGATGGGGTTTCATCATGTTGGCCAGGATAGTCTTGATGTCTTGACCTCATGATCTACCTGCCTCGGCCTTCCAAAGTGCTGGGATTACAGGCATGAGCCACTACTCCTGGCTGGATTTTTTAATTTGGGTTCAGACTGGCAAGGAGCACGATGCTGTTGTGCATAGGATAACTCTTGATAAAAATGCAAGGTAGCGAAAGATTTGCCACATGGACAAATGGTGGAATAAGCAACTGGAAAGGTATGAGAAGAAGAAATATTTTCAGCCTAATGTTTGCCTCGAAAAGCCTTTTTGGAGATGGTTGCCTATGTGCATTGGAATTTAAGGGCTTCTATAACTTGTAGAAGTATATTATACCTAACGAAGATTGTCTGTTAGAATTGAAATGTACTTGAGGGTGCAAACAAGAAATTTTCACCTACTCAAATGGATTGTCATTTCCAAATCCTTTGGTAGATGCCCGTCTGCCTATGTACAGGGACAGAAGAAATAAATTGCAATTCTGTTATGTACAGGAGGTGAAAATGCTACAGATGATATTGTAATGCCAAAGGTTGTTGCCTTAGACACACCAAAGAATTTGTGTGGTGGCTGCTTGCGGAGAGTGATGGAGACGTGGACCAAGATTAAAAAAAAAAAAAGCTGTAGGCTTTATTGAGCAGAGTAACAGTATAAAGCTTCCACAGCGTGGAAGGGGTCCTGAGTGGGTAGCCAGAGTTTGATTATGCAGTTGCCTTTTAAACTCTTTAAGGTGGGAATTACGTCCAGAGGGAAGATGTTAACCAAGCAAGAAAAAAACCAGTAAATTATTTTGTGACATGCCTTAGATTTTGAGGAAAACCAAAATTGCAACTTAGGTTTTATCTACCTTTTGACCTTGCAGCAGCATGGTAAAGGAGACAGGATTTTACAGGACTTTACAAAGTATGTTCACAAGGAATTGGAATTGGGAGCATAGATAAGGACCACTGGTCACAGAAAAACAGGTCTTTAACATTCCTTTTAGTTTTAGGGGAGGGGGAAGGGAGAGAGGGAGAGAGGACACAGGGAAGCTTACAGCAAAATTTTTGCTGTCTATAGCTTTCTTGGGGAAGAAAACACATGCAAAAATCTTGCTGTTAAGAATATAACTTTAATATTATTCATCCAGGACAAAAGTAAGTCCTGAAGCAGGAAATAAGTGAGTTTCACAGCTTTCTGAGCCTTTACTTGACGCAGGAATGCCAGCTGGCCCCTCCTTTCAACAGGGAGGGTAACATGCTAGCAGTAATGCAGTGGTTTCAACCAGGGGCACTTGTGTGCCCCAGAGGATATTTGGCAGTATCTGAAAGACACATTTATTTCACAACTAGGGGAGAACAGAGAGGGTTGGGGGAAGCATCCTGTTGGGGTTTTGTGAGTAGAAGCCAGGGATGTTGCTAAGCATCTTACAATGCACAGAACAGCTCCCCTCCCCACCAATAAAGACTCATTTAGTCCCCATGTCAATAGTGTTGAGGCTGAGAAACACTATCAACAAAATCTGAGGTCCCTAAGTCAAATATCACTCATGATAAAAATGAGTTCCCCTGTTATTTTTTCACACAGGCGAAATTGGTTAAGAAGTAGGTAAAGCAGTTGCAGTGCTTGGTACATATTAAGCACTCAATTATTATTTTAATATAAGAAAAATTGTGTATTTATTTTCTGTATCTAGTGAAACATGAACCTAGTAATGAAGTAGATACACAGAACACAGCCTGCTGCCTCTAGCCTTCTCTGATATGAATACTATATATTGCACTCTTAGAGAGACAGGTTATTAAGCTCATTCTTTTGCAAATTTCTAATATTAGTTATGGATTTGTAAGGCATTAAATCTACTTAGGGACTCCTGATTCTCCAACCCTGAGCTTTTCATGGGCATTATTAATGGTGTTGTTGGTTATCTTTAAATCCTCCAGTGTGTCTCACACTTCATATTTAAAGACGGATGCTAAATTTGAATCTTCTCTGTACCCTGTAAAACCTTCCAATCATTTAAAAACTGGTGGATGGCCCTGCTTAATTTCTTCTCTGGTTGAAATGGCATGAGGGCCTTTTAATTAAACAGAATAAACATACATGTTTGATTTAATGTGTCTTTCTTAGATACTTGCTCAACCAGCCCCTGCTCACATGGTGTCTACAGTCCAATTAGGAAGGGGAACAATCCTCTGATCTCTGATTTACAAAACTTCTCTGTGATTATTTACTCATTGGCTCAGTTTACAAATATTGACTATCTAGTGTGTGCCAAGCGTGAGAGTGGATGGTAGGGACATAGCCAGGAGGCATTTAGACTTCTTCCTGCCTGCAGAATGTTTCCAGTGTAGCAGGGAAGATTAAACACAAAATAACCCAAACTGCAGTTGCTTGTATCATCAGTACTGAGAAAGAAATGCACAGTGATAATAAAAGGAGAACTTATTCCTCCCATACAAGGAACTTCCTCCCATGCAAGGAATCCCTAGATAAGTCACATGGAAGCTGGGGATGGGGGCTGAAGATTGGCCTCTCCAAATTATCTCTGTCCTTCTTTCATTCTTCAGCCTTTCCTCACCTCACTCCAATATGAGGTCCATTGTTATGATTGCAGTTTTTAAAGATGGGAAAGTTCACCTTTTATTACATTCATCTAGCTGTTTAAACAGAAGCATGCAGTACTTGTACAGATATTTTTGCTCATGCTTCCGATTTCTGTATCACGGATGTGGAATTGGAGCCTAGATTTGTCAGCCAAAGAGTTAATGATGTTGAATGCAATGAAGAATTGTCTCAAAATAGCTTTTCCAAGAAAGGGATAGTGTTTCTAAAACAAACAAACAAACAAAAAAAACACACGACAAAATGTGTTGGAGCACACATCATCTTGAGTCTAGTCTTAAAAAGCCTGTTTACAAGATAAGCCAGTTTTCTCTTTGTTACCAAGTTTGTGTTTAAGGACTTAAGATTTGGGAGAGACTCTCTACTTAGCTGTGGGTCCTGCCCAGCACAGTGTTCACAGTCTGCAAGGAAGGTAGCAGGGTACTGCATGGGATTTTATGTTAATGATGTTCAGGGGATGGTAATTCTCACCTGGGAAGGAGATGATCCATTAGTAACACTCTCAGTCTGTGTCTTAGGCCAGTGTGAAGCCATCACAGATCTTTAACTGCAAAATAATAATTTTATGATGAGATAAGGGGTAGTTTTATTTCTGGCCTCTTTTAAAAGAGAGAAGAGGCAAAGTCTATGCTAAGGACTATATCATTTTTTTCTAGACTTTCTATAGAATTCATGTCAAGTGAATGTCATAAATTATAAATGAAATGTGTGTCACATAAAATAATTCTGTGGTAATAATGATAGAACTAAGCTGAATAATCTGAATATACCAAATACATGTCTGTGTGTGTGTGCATGTGTGTGTTTTCATGTAAACATTTCCCCCATCATAGAAAGTGAATGACCATCAAACACATCCTTGAATTCTAGGATTAGTCCCATGGACTTTAGTCTCCCAAGGAGATAAAAGTGAAGAGACTTAAAGCAAACAAACAAAAAAACTATTTTGCCCTATTTATTTGAAAAAATAAGAGTAAGAGAATCAATCACTCAATCACCTTCCAAAGCTTAGGAATCTAACTGAATAACAAAAGTACCAACTCAATGTAGATAAGGAGAATTGAGTGGATCAGGAGAGAGAGAGAGGTGATTGACTATGATTAGTAATGTCATGTGTGAAGGAAGTACCCCCAGACTGCCAGTCACATAGCTTCCCACATTTAATGTGTCTTCTTTAAAAAATAGCATGCTTCTGAAAATACTTCACATTCTACTAGTGTGCAGCTGCAAGAACATAGAGTTAATGATTGCATGGAACAACTATGTAGGATGTTGTAAGAAAAAATACTTCTCTTGGAGCTAAGAGGAAAATGTAGTTGACAGTGACTTCTTTCTCATTACTGAATCTCTACTCTCTCACACCAGCTTCCTTTTTTTGCTGTAATAGAGTAGTATTCAAGCAGCAGAAATTTTTGTCTCCCTTTCTCTCAGCAGTGGCTGGTACAGTCTGGAGACATCTTTGGATCTCATAACTGAGGGGAGTTATACATGTTACTGGCATATAGTGGGTAGAGGCTAGAGATAAGCTGAATATCTTGCAATGCACAGGACAGGCCCCTACACTAAGAATCATCTGTCCCCAAATGTCAATAGTGCAGAGACTGAGAAATCCTGATTTAATGCCATTCATGACATATAACGGAACCCATTATCCTGACTGTCTAGTTTGCATTTGTGTGTACTCCTTTACCAAGGCTGAATTAAGTAATTTAGTGAATATTTATTCACTCAGAGAGCCATGGGGGAGAATTGCAAAGGAAAATTAAGGGATTATAAATACTTTATGGGAAGTCAAGGTGAATACACATGAAAACAGACCAAAAAAAAATCCACTTCAAAATGTTGTTGATTTTCTCTGGACCCTAATTATGTATATTATATCAATATTTGCAGTGCATAGCTTTTGTCTGTTTTTGCAAACTGACAACTCAGATAATATAGTGTCTCAGCAAATTGTTACCACAATAATGTCATGTACACTCTGAAGCTCAACAGTTTAACACAACAGTGTATATTCTCACTGGTTTTTCTGTTGGCTGAAACAAACAAGCTCCAAGCTGCCTGTTGGGCTGTGTCTGCTACAAATGCATTTATTCTGGGGCTCAGGCAGAAAGGGAGGTAGCACATACTAGAGAAAGTGCTTCTTGTAGTAATGACAAAAGTACAACGGGCCAGGCTAAACATGCAAGTATAATGTTTCTGCTTCTCTTACATCTGATAGCATCCCATTAGCTAAGCCAAATCACATGGTCAAGCCCCAAATCAACGCTGAACAAGTATACTGTGGTTTCTATAAAGCCAGTGCAAATTACATGGCCTCATTCAATACCAGTGGGTCAGAGAAAGGATTGCATTTTGTTGTTGTTGTTGTTGTTGTTGTTTTGAAACAGAGTCTTGCTCTGTCAGCTAGTCTGGAGCACAGTGACATGATCTTGTCTCATTGCAACCTCTTCCTCCTGGGTTCAAGGGATTCTCCTGTCTCAGCCTCTGGAGTAGGTGGGATTACAGGCACATGCCACCACGCCCAGCTATTTTTTGTATTTTTAGTAGAGATGAGGTTTCACCATGTGAGCTAGGCTGGTCTCGAACTCCTGACATCTGGACTGCCTCAACCTCCCAGAGTGCTGGGATTATAGACATGAGCCACCACTCCCAGCCATCTTTTTTTTAACTAAAATGTTCATTTTAATATTTCCATTTCAAATCTAACATTACAAGATTTTTTCTTATTTGTTTTTTAAGATTGGTTATTTATAATTGTGGCAAAATACACATAACATAACATTTACCATCTTAGCCTTTTTTTAAGTGGCATTAAGTATGTTCACACTGTTGTGCAGCCATCACCACTCTTTATCTCTAGAGTTATTTTCATCTTGCAAAACTGAAACTCAGTATCTATTAAACAATTATTTCCAATTCCCCGGGATTGAGTACTTATTTTTTAAAAATAATAATCTACCACCCATTTTTAATCAGAACAAGGCTTATTTTTAAAGACATAATTGGCATATAGCATGCATTTATACTTTCCAGCCCAACCTATGCCTAAGGTGTATTCTATCCAGGATAGAGACATATCTTCAGGACCCAAGGTAGAAGCACCACAGAAGTCTGTTTTACTCAGATAAAAAAGCCTATTGAGAAGCAATTCCTTCCAAGTTCAGGCTGAGAAGCAGTATGGGCCACAGCCAGGTAGCCTGATTAGAGAAATCTATTGACATTCAGACACATGTCCATTGATCACTCAACAGGGAAGTCTACCTAATTCTCAGGTTCCAAGGGGGAAAAAAGTGAAGTGCGCTTTTACTGAAATCCACAAGAAATATTAGGACTTAGGGCATCAACAGCATATAGCTGGAAGCTTCAGGAACAACCAGTGCAGGAGCCAGCCATCTGGCAGCAGTAGGGGCTTTAGCAGTATTAAACCCCAAAGTCCATGAGACAGAGCTCCGTATCCTCATCATCAGCCACCAGTGGTGGGACTCAGTCTGGGTGGGCAGTGGTTGTGAGGTTTTTAGACAGGACCTGTTTCTATCAGCAGGAACAGGAGGCATCAGTACAGAGCCCTGGGAAATGACAGGCATTATTCAGTAGCTAAGGGAACTGCTTGAGTAATTAGAAAAGCACTGAAGTCTCCACCATGTGGAATGCTGAAAAGCCCATTAGAAATACTGGGTTCCAGGGACAATCTGAGAGAGAAGAGCCATAAGGAGTCCTGGGTGCTAGTCTAGAAACCACAGCTTGCTGTGAGTATGACTACGGCAGTTCACTGAATCTCTCTGGGTCTTTGTTTTCCCTTCTGAAAGTAAGAGAATTGAGATACATTATTTGCCTGGTCTTTTCTAACTGATATTGTCTTACCTGAATATTATACGAATGTTGTTATATTATATCAAGCCAGCCTTTACATTCATGCCAGGTTTTTTTGGTACAAAGTCTGTATTCTGTATTTAATAAATAAATTAATTAGAGAGTCTCACTCTGTCACCAGGCTGGAGAACAGTGGCATCATTACAGCCCTCTGCAGCCTGGAACTCCTGGGCTCAAGCAGTTCTCCTGTGTTAGCCTCTCAAGTAACTGGGACCACAGGCGTGCATTACCATGCCCAAATAATTTTTATTTTTATTTTTTTTAGAGACAAGATCTTACATATTTCCCAGTCTGGACTCAACCTCCTGAGCTTCAGCAGTCGTCCCTCCTCAGCCTCCCAAAACACTGGGATTATAGGTGCGAGCCCCCATGACCAGCCAATCTCTCTGAGTCTTAGTTTCCCCATCTGAAAATAAAAGAATTGGGATGCGGGATTTGCAAGGCATTTTTTAACTGAAATTATACTATCTGCATATTGCGGTACACTCTGAAGCCAGTGTTTAAGTTCATTCCAGCTTCTCACTGTGCAAGTCCACAGTCTTAAACCATGCTTTTAAAAAAAGAGGTTATTTCTCATTTTTTTTCAAAGCGTAAATATTAGCCTAACCATTAAGATGGACAAAGTCTTTGACATGAAGACATTGTGTGTCTGGATTATTTCATTCAGTCTTACATGAGGAATTCAGTAAGAAGTTACTTTGCACCAGCTTTGTCTGTATTTAGCATTTAAGCACATTAAACTAAATTGGGGGCCTTTAGACTCAATGGCAAAAATAGTTTCACATAATAATAGCAGAGTGCTTTTTACATTCATAATCTCTGTTTGAACATGTTAAATTCAAGATACCAGGTAGATGTCCGTATGGAGAACCTAATTCATTGTTTGGACATTCAGTCTCTCTGGATGAAAAACTGTGGTGTTTCTTAGCATTCATCTGGTATTTAATCTCACCAAGACAGCATGTGTATTTCATAAAGGTAAGGAGGAGATCACAAAAGCAGAAAGTGTCTTGAGGATTACAATATTTAGGAAAAGCACAAAGTGTCTTGAGACTTATGAACTGGACAATGGACAATGGACACTAAGAAGTGGCACCAGGTCAGGAAATACGTATAGTCATTGTTTGATTGTTTCTTTGAGTACTTGCACCAAGTTAGCCTACACATTTGTTTAAATTATCAAACTAATGGTCATATAACTGGAGGAAACTCTGTGTGTCTGTCTTCTCTTTAAAAATTGGAAGCTACTACAAGATAACATTTTTCAGGATGGGTGCAAGCTCTGGGTTGGCAAAGTCCCCTCCCCATATCAATTGCTAAACCCAGGCCATTTCCCATCTCCCATCCAGCCTTTGTAATTATGTGGGGTTGTGATCCTGATTCTGAGGTCCATGAATGAGGAAGAACCAGCAAATAGAGACTCTGCAGAAGGAGGGACACAATAGGAACCTCAGGGAGCGTGTTCAAAGAGGAGTGCATACCTGAGCGAGGGAACAGCTCACTCTGACAGGTGTTGCTGGAAAGCCAGGGAAGAGATTCTGCCATACTGTGTGCACTGGCCTTGATGCCAAGTGTCCTCAGTGACTCTGGGGGTGCTGTCCACATGCACTAAGTCTGGTGTGAGTGCAAGAGCAGATGCAGAGTAAGGTCAAGCTCACATGCCACTTTACATGCTGAAGGGCGATCAGTGCTCCACATATGCAGCAATGAGGGTCCAGTGTCAGGAGAGAACAAATAGGTACACTAAAAGCCCAGACTCCACCAGTACACATGCATGTAAGATATCTGTACTATGCCCCCTAAATCTGCACACATTTAAAAAATTAAAAGTAAGTAAAATTAAGCTGAGCACAGTGGCTCATACCTATAATTCTTGTCCTTTGAGAGGCCAAGGCAGGAGGATCACTTGAGCCCAGGAGTTTGAGACCAGCTTGGGTGACATAGCAAGACCCTATCTCCTCAATAATAATTGAAAATAAATTAGCCAAGCCCAGTGTTGCTCACCATCATACCGGATACTCAGGAGGATGATGTGGGAGGAGCACTTGAGCCCAAAAGCTCGAGACCAGCTTGGGCAACATAGTAAGGTCCTTCACTCTGAAACATAATAAAAAAAAAATTACCCAGGCATGGCAGTGTGCAACTGTAATTCTAGCTTGCTCAGGAGGCTAAAGTGGGAGAATCACTTGAGCCCACGAGTTGGAGGCTGCAGTGAGTTATAATCACATGATTGCACTCCATCCTGGGCAACAGAGCCAGAACCCTGTCTCAATTATTTTTTAAAAGAAAATAAATAAAAATAAAATTACTTAATAAAATGAAAAAAATGTTCAATTTCTTTCACTTTACAGTTAAGAAAACTAAGATTCAGAGAGCTGATATGATTAACAGCTACCCACCCCACCACCACCTAAACTGAATGTCATGAAATTTTTTCCTGGGCTAGTGAGAAAAATAAAGAATATATGTATATTTTTTCCCCCTGGGAAGGTGAGAAACAGAAAGAGAAAGTAATGAGTTCTGTCTCCTGATGTCAGGGTCAGTGCAGCAGAGACTTGGCTCTGGAAGTTTGTTTTTGTTTTTTGATTTTTGATTTTTTTTTTTTGAGAGGGAGTCTCTCTCTGTCACCCCAGTTGGAGTGCAGTGGCATGATCTCAACTTACTGCAGCATTTGCCTCCTGGGTTCAAGCGATTCTCCTGCCTCGGCCTCTCAAGTAGCTGGGGTTAGAGGCACATGCCACCATGGCTGGCTAATTTTTGTATTTTTTGTAAAAACGGGACTTCTCCATGATGGGCAGTCTCATTCCAAACTCCTGACTTCAAGTGATCTGTCTGCCTCAGCCTCCCAAAGTCCTAGGATTATAGGTGTGAGCCACCACAATCAGCCAAGAAGTTTTTGAGAGCAAGAACCTGGCTCAGGACTCTGAACCAGGAGGTGGGAGAGATACTGCCTACCACAGCTTATGGGGAGAAGACTAGAAAGACATTGATATTGAGTAAGATCTAGGGCTACCACACCACACACCTACCTACCACCTTCAAAGAAACCAAGCCAGGCCTTTCTCTGGCTGGGAAACATGTTGAGTAACCTACTCATATTTGCTCAACATAAACTCTGGTTCTGAATAGAGAACCTGTTGCAGGTGGGTCAGCAAAACCGCAGGAATCAGAAGAGAGGCAAACCACAAAATGAAGTAGAAAGCCAGCAACCCCCTCAACAAGAGGGACTCTGACTCAAGGGGAGACAGGCTATGGAACACACACATAGACCTCCACACAAAAGAGGCATTGTGTGTGTGTTCAAGCTGCCATTCTCCCTGAAGCTTCCTCCACCTGTTATTCTTGGAAGGAATGAAATGCAGTGAGGTGAGAGAGTGTTGAGATGGCAGACATGGACAATGGATGAATTCTCTTCCCTCTGTATATTTTCCAGCACAAAGAGCTGCCCCAGGCTGGTGACCTTGTGCACTTTGAGTTTTGAAAGGTTTCCATGTTTCCCTTAAAAAGCTACTAAGCCAGGACAGGCATCACAACTTAGTCCTTTGAGAGGCTGAGACATAAGGATCTTTTGAGCCCAGGAGTTCAAGACCAGTTTGGGTAATATAGCAAGACCTCATCTCCACAAAAAATACAAAGAGTAGCTGGGCATGGTGGCACATGCCTATAGTCCCAGGTACTTGGGAGGCTGATGCAGGAGGATTGCTTGAGCAAAGACAAGTGTCTTTCTTGCACATATTGTGTGACAAAGGCAAGTTTTAAGAATGGCCGCTCCAGTCACTTTGTGCAAGGAGGGATAGGGGTCCAAGAGGTGGAGGGTCACAGCCAACCACAAGCCAGCATTGTTCATTTCCTTTTTGTGTCCTTGTCCTTTACAGGAAGAAGAAGATTCCTTTCCACCTACTGTTCTTTCCGTGAGAAGCTGAGAGCCATGCAGCATCAAGGCCGAACATCATCCTGGTCATGGTTGACGACCTTGGCATTGGAGATCCTGGGTGCTATGGGAACAGGACTCTCAGGTTGGAAAGGCAGCTCCTCAGTAAACACATAAATCATAATGTTGAAGAAAATCTTCTCCACAAGACATAGCCAAATGTGTCTCACTTTCAACCTGAACCTTTGCATAACATTGCTTTTTACTTTTTTAAAATTAGATTGACCTATGATGTTGCTTAAATTTTAAAAAGCATATGCAAAGATAAGATCTCAGTTTTAAGAGAGCACTTTTAATTAATTATCTATGTGTGTTTTCTGCCTCACCTTTTGCCTGCATTTTTAAAACTTTTACAGATTACTTTTTACATCTGTGATATAGATCTTTTTAATTTAGTTTTTCTTACCAGTGTCACAATTTTATTCAGTTTTTTATTTTATCTTTTTTTAACTTTATGTATTCCTAAGGTGTATTGAGATAATAGATAACTGTTCCTACCAAGATGTCTTAATTAAAAAGTTAGAGCCAAGTCTTTAAAGTTAACTCTTTACCAATTATCAAAAGAAAAAATGTCTAAAAGTCCCATGGAAGAATTGATAGCAATATCAACCCTAGATCTGTCTTGGGCTCTATGTTAGAGTCCCGTTTTTTCTGAGTTACATTTCTCATATTATAGTTTGTAATATCACACCCCAAAATAGTCATTTTTTTCCATGGGCCAGTATAGACACTAGGAGGTTTAATTCAAATGCAAAAACCCTCTCCATCTTCTAAGCAGCTCACTCTTTAAGAAAACAGCAAAGTAGAAATACTGATAATTAAACACATTCACTAAATTAATAAATGGCCACTAGTTTGACATTACAGATCCAAAGGAAGTATTTCCCCCTTCAAGCTATGCATCACTGCAGCACTACTCTTGGAGAGTATTGCTCTAGGGAAGACATAGGACCAATGAACAAGATGTATACTCCCACCCCACAGGTGGCCATCTTGGAGGGGAGCCTAGTTAGCCATATCATTGCTTCACAGTGAGGAAGCTGGTGGGTTGGTGGAGTATGGACTACTCTCCTAAATACAGGTCATTTCCTTGCATAAACAAGGAAGAGCACTGGAGGCCCCTGAGAATTTCATCTGTACCTGGAACTGAAGGATGGCAGATGACTAGCCAGGTAGGGAGAAAGGGATTCCAGGATTCCCAGTGGAGGACTTGGGATATATCTTGTGGGGTATAGCTTAGTATGGTCCAAAAACTAAAACATATTAATTCCTAAATGACTTCCAAACGATGATCAGCCTATCCATTCATGGAGAAAAGGCACCAGGGTGGCTTATCTTGCATAAGGTATCACTTTACAAGTGAGCTCATAACAAGTATTTATAAAGTGTATTAAAAAATAAGCCAACAAAGGGTATGTGGGGATCACAACATCTAATTTCTTCACTATAATGTTTGTGCGTTTTCCCTGGAGCATATTAACCCACTTATTGATGCTCACTGTTGAGGCAAATGGAATCTGAGTATTTCCTGTCCCTGGGGGCATGAGGAAATTAGGCAGGGGCTTATTAAAGCTGGTTTTTGTTATTCCCTTTGGCTGTGTTGGGAAGAGGGGAGTCAGATTGACCCTGCAGATTTCTCTTTTTGGGAAACAGAGAAACTTGGAAGATGTGAGTGGGAGTACCTTCCCTCCTTGTAGTATACCATTTCTAAGACTTGGTTTCTCTCTTCAAACTCGGGGCTAGTGGGACCAGGAGCTCACAGCCCTCTATAGCATGAATGGACCTTCTGGGGATGTCCTACCTTCATCATTCACATATCTCCATGGTTTTGTTGTAGTTTGAGTCTTGGTTCTGTATCATTTCTTTCCTGCTTCCTCTGCATCTCATTTTTTCTCTCTCCCTCTCATAACCCCAGACTCACCCTTGCTCATTGAAAAGTTTCTTACTATAAAGAGCCACAGCACAGCTTCATTTTGAAAATTATCACAAGGCGGCTGGGCACGGTGGCTCACATCTTTAATCCAAGCACTCTGGGAGGCTGAGGCAGGCAGATCACTTAAAGTCTGGAGTTTGAGACAAGCCTGGTCAACATAGCGAAACCCTGTCTCTACCAAAAAATATAAAAATTACCCAGGCATGGTGGTACATGCCTGTTGTCACAGCTACTCACGAGGCTGAGTTGGGAGAATTGCTTGAACTCTCAGACGTTGGGGGTTGCAGTGAGCGGAGATCGCACTACTGCACTCCATCCTGGGTATAGAGTGAGACCATGCCTCAAAAATAAATAAATGAACAATAAATGAAAATGATCACAAATACTATCATTCTTTTTTCTAGGACTCCCAATATTGACTGGTTGGCCAGTGAGGGAGTGAAACTCACTCAGCACTTGGCAGCATCACCGCTGTGCACACCAAGCAGGGCAGCCTTCATGACTGGCCGGTAGCCTGTCTGATCAGGTAACCTAACTGCATTGCAGGGGCTGTGGTCTCCTTTGGGACAGCTTCTCACCTCCAGGTATCTCCTGGTTCCTAAGGGTTTATTTTTTCCTGGTTCAGGAATGGCATCTTGGTCCTGCACTGGAGGTTTCCTCCTCACAGCCTCTTCGGGAGGACTTCCCACCAATGAGATTACCTGAAGGTTGAAGGCTATTCAACAGTGCTAATAGGTATGGGCATCTGAGGAACAGCAGGGAGGACTTGGACAAAGTTCGTAGAAGAGTGGGAGAGAGCATCATGACAATTATCTTAGGGATAACATCAGTGGTATACTTTGAACAATTTTAATTGGGAACAAAATTATTTCAATTCTAGGTTAAAACCACAATGAGCCTACCTGGACTACTTGAATGTATAGATGTGTGTGTGTGTGTGTGTGTGTGTGTGTGTGTGTGTGTGTGTTTTGTCTGGTGTGTGTGTGTAGAGATAAATAGATACTTAGATAATTCCTTATGATAGATGGATAAATGGATGAATGGATGGTTGGAAGAAAGCATTGATGAATGGATGGATAGGTAGATAGATAGATAGATAGATAGATAGATAGATAGATAGATAGATAGATAGATAGATAGATAGATAAAGATGATATAGATGTGATGGATGGATGGATGGATGGATGGATGGATGGATGGATGGAATAGATGATAGCTAACTAGGTAGCTAATTACCTAGCTACCTAGATAGATAATAAAGAGACACATAGAGAAACAGATAGAAATATAGAGAGATACATATATACATCGATATATAGACAGATGCAGAAAGAGACAAAGATGAGATAGATGGATGGATAAATTGATAAAATAGATGATAGATAGATAGCTAGATAGATAGATATTATCAATAAATAAATGCAACGAGAGAGGCAAAGATGACAGATGGGATGGATGGATGGATGGATGGATGGATGAAATAGAGATAGATAGATAAATAGATAGATGAAATAGATGATAGATGTAACAGATGAAAGATAGACATATAGATGGAACACACAAAACTATATATACACATCATGCTATTGATAAAAATTTTCATTTTACTTTCCAGTACTAAAATTATGTCAGAATTTGTCATGGTTGACACACTCACTGATTTTATACTGTAGATAGGATTGACACCTTCCTGACTGCATGAAGAACTTGAGTCTAAGCAAGTCGTAAGATGAATCCTAGCGAACCTCAGAGGAGCAAAATGACTCATCTCTTTCTTCCAACATCTTGTTAAAAAAAATCATTTTTTGAGGCACTCATTAATTTAGTGATCTAATTAACATTTTATAGGACATTTTCAGAGGTGCTTTAAATAATTGCTGAGTTACTGAGAGTGATTTCTTCATGTCTCAGGGGTATGTTCTGAAGTAAGTATTCATTTCCACTTTTAACATTCATGGAACAAAATTAAGTTGCTTCTAAAACTTTAATTTTAAGGGCCTGTCTCAGAAAAGCATCTGGGCAAGAAAAAGACAAAAAAAAAAAAAAAAAAAAAAAAAACCCTTGTAATTTTCTGTGGAGTGTTTCCTGCCCATTAAAAATGTTAGGTATTTTCTTTTGGGATTTTGATCCGGTTGGGCTTTTTTGTTTTTTTTTGTTTTGTTTTGTTTTGTTGGAATCACTAAATTACTTCCTATTTTCTGGTAGACTGAGTAGGTAATACCTTAGCATTTGTGGAAAAAGAAGTGAAAAACTCTAAGGTCCTATGAGCAGGAAGGTTAGCTTCATAAAGTAGTCAGAAAGAGCCTCCTTTTCAGTATGTGGGAAAAGAAGCTTGGATTGGAATCAGGGTATTTATTGGGACTGAAGTGATCCCCCATTTGTCTTCTCAGAGAAATGGCACATTGGGATAAGCTGTCACAGCAAGACTGACTTCTTGCTTTTCATCATAGCTTTGATTATTTCTATGGGATGACCTCCTTAACCCATCTGAGAGACAGCAAGGCAAGGGAGGGCAGTGTCTTCACCATGGGCTTCAAGAGACCGGTCTTCATCCCCCTGCAGATCATCAGAGTGGCCCTCCTTACCCTCACTGCACTCAATTGTCTGGGGCTGCTCCACCTGCCGCTGGCCACTTTTTTTGGCCTTCTCTTCCTAGCAGCTCTGATCCTGATCTTTTCCTGGGCTTCTGTGATTACTTCCAGTCCCTGAACTTCTTCATCATGAGGAACTACCAGATCATTCAGCAGCCCATGTCCTATGGCAATCTCACTCAGAGGCTAATGGTGGAGGCAGCCCAGTTCATATAGTGGTGGGTATTGCCTTGACTTCTGATACTGCCTGTAAAAAAAAATCATTCTGGGTTATTTTTTTGTGGAGCTGGAAGAACCAGCAGCGTTATTGTGCTAGCCACATTTTCCCTTCCATACCTAACATATTTCTTCATCCAGAGATCTCCATAGCACATGTTTAACAGCTTCAGAAAGGTATTGCAATGCAGTGTGCTCTCCTTAGGGTCTCTTTGCCAACATTCCCCACATCCTGGGCCAGAAAGTCCATGCCAAAATAATGTCTGCTGATGACAAAGGAGGTGTCAGATAACCCGCTGGCCTTTACTCTTCAAATGTGGCCATCAAGAGAGGCAAGGTAATGGTTTATGTTTAGCTGAGAGATTGTCCTTGTGACATAAATAATGTGGAAAGATCCAAAATATTTTGGGCCAATCTCTGGGCAAACAAAACAAAACAAAGACCTCTGTAAGTAAATTGGGTGAAGTGAATGACATCTTTTGGGTCTCTTGAGTCCCACTGAGTTTATAGTTTTGGGGATTGCAATCTGTAAATGGAATAACTGTCAACAGAGGAGCAGAGAATATTCCTGAGTTATACAGGTATAAGTATAATATATACGTATATTATAATACATAATATAGAGAGCATGAAAATACATAGTTAGATATGTAAAGGCTAATCAAGAATATTTGCTATTCAAAACACACAAATTAAAGTATTTTTTCAACTTGTAACTGTAGAGGACAGGACATTGAAGAGAAATGGAAATTTCAACTGAAAATCAGAACTTTGGTCTTTTTTTTGTTTGTTTGTTTGAGACGGAGTCTCGCTCTGTCGCCCAGGCTGGAGTGCAGTGGCGGGATCTCGGCTCACTGCAAGCTCCGCCTCCCGGGTTAACGCCATTCTCCTGCCTCAGCCTCCCAAGTAGCTGGGACTACAGGCGCCCGCCACTACGCCCGGCTAATTTTTTGTATTTTTAGTAGAGACGGGGTTTCACCGTTTTAGCCGGGATGGTCTCGATCTCCTGACCTCGTGATCCACCCGCCTTGGCCTCCCAAAGTGCTGAGATTACAGGTGTGAGCCACCGCGCCCGGCCAGAACTTTGGTCTTTATGGTGACTTAAATCCTAGGGAAGATTTAAAAGATAGTTTTGGGGGTGATTAAAAAATTATAAAGGAGGCAAAGGAAATGTAAGTAATATTGGTTTATCATCCAAATAATTGCATGACACAAAATTCTAAAATCAATATCTGGATTGAACAATTATTGACAATAAAAGGGAAGTTACTGTGATGAAAGGAAAGTATATTAGAGATTTAATTTAAAAATAAGCAAATGTGCTTAGCCTAAGAAGAAATATGTAGTTAAGGTATGTGGAAGCTACATAAGGTAGGACTGGTGAGAACGGTAAAAGGTAACATACTCTGTGAAAATTATTTTGTCGTTTCCTCACATGGAAGATGTTGTGTTCCTCTGTCCAGATCTTGTGTGCATGGAGTTGATGCTTTACTGGAGGTTGGGAATGGCAGTGGTTCTCCTCACTCTCTTCTTCCAGTTATGAAACAGCATAGAAGCAACCCATTCACCTGGAGGTACAACAGTGTCCTGCTACCCACAACATCATGGATTATGCAATAGATAAATCATAGGGTATATTTTTGTATATCTGTTATCACAAAAGTGTTTCGTCAACTCTGACAGAAACCCACATATGGTTTGGGTGTCTGAACAGACTATGAAGTGACCTACACAAAAGTTGCCATTGATAGTGTCATTTCCTCCCTCTAAAAATCAGACAGAAGTAGAATGATTAGTTCTTATAGTTCACACCACCTCTCAGTTTTAACAAATTTTATTAAAATCTAAATTGTTGTTTAACTGTGAATTATAAAAACTGGTCATTGGTCATTGTAACTATTCTCAGTTTCAGCCTCTGGGACTTGACTCCAGAGAGTATTCTATGTACTAGCTGTCCAACTGCTAAGAGAGCACCTCACAGTTTTTTTCATTTTGGTTAGCATCCCACTTCCTCTGCCATTTCTGTTTTTGTCAGTGAAGACTGACAAAATCTTGGAGGATTAACACTTGAAAGTTTGTTTCTTGCCCATTCAAAATCTATTGCTGCTTGGGTGACGCTGTAGGGAAGCTTTGCTCCATGAGGAGACTCAGGGATCCAGGTTGCTAATATCTTGTGCTTCTGTCATCTTAGTAGGTGGCCTTCCCAATGGCATCCACAGGAGAAAAGAGTTGAAGGATCACTTGGCAGCTTTTCCTTACTTCACTGACCTAGGGGTCAGCTTGTAGAACAGGCCCCATGTCTCCACACTGACTTGACGTGGGGCTAAGAGGCAGTCTCCCCATATGTTCAGGAAGAAGAAAGTGAAACAGCCTTACTGAACACATAGAAGTGATTTTCCTACTGCAGGCAGTGATTTTCAAATTTGTTTTAAAGCTGAGGAATATTTCAGATGAAATTTTATGAGAAGCTAAGTATGTCAGAGGCATAAAAGTTGCAGTGCTTGGGTGAAACTGGAACAGAGGACTGCATTTGGAAACTACTGACATTTAGTAAAGCCCCATGAAACCTCATGAACAGCTGGAGAGAAAGGGCAGACTCTGAAACAAAAGAATAAAAGAACATCTGAGCAAACATCTAGTTAGTGCAGACTCTAGGCAAATTAATATTTAACAGACATTCATAAGTACAAAATGTAGGCACATGAAGAGAAAAATCAATATGAGCCTTGGAATTTTAAAAAATGGTTATTTGATATTACAGCTATATGAGTGGAGGTTGAAGGAATTTGCCCGAGTTTATAGATAAATGTAAACTAAAGGGGCTAATTTATTATAAAATTTGGATTGTAGACATGACCACATAATGACATTTTGGTCAACAGTGGACCACATATATGACAGAGGTCCTATGAGATTATAATGGAGCTGCCTTATAAAGCTGGACGTTTGTATCTTTTATACTGTAATTTTTCCTGTTCCTTTTCTTTGTGTACATATGACTAGATACACAAATACTTGCCATTGCTTTGCAGTTGCCTGAAGTACTCAGTACAGTCACATGCTGTGCAGGTTTGTAGCCTAGGAGTAATAGGCTTTACCATATAGCCTCGGTAGATAGTAGGCTGCACCATCTAGGTTTGTGTAAGTGCACTCTATGATGATTGCACAATGATGAATTTGCTTAATGATGCATTTGTCAGAACTATATGAGAACTATGTCTCTGCCACTATATGATGCATGTCTGTACTTGAAGTGTTGATGTAAAGTATACTCTTCATTGGTATTGTAATATTTTCATCAGAGAAAGAGTAAAGAAAAAATATTTTTTGGTGTTGTGTGTGTGTATGTTTGTGTATACATGTATGTGTAAAGTAAATATATATGTGTATATATGTAAACTAAATACGTGTTTATATATATGTGTATGTATGTGTACTTTACACACATATGTATTTAATTTACAAAGAGATAAATTATTGATCCTGATTTCCAAGGGAAGCTGTAGGAGATATGCATGTATAGCAGCAGCAAGTATTAATGTAAAGAATAAAAAATTTTCTACCCAGGGATGGATAATAGCCACTGAAAGTCCTTTAAGCAACTATTTATTGGTCTGTCAGAATCCAGGTAAGATGTGGGCTATTTGTCATGATTTTCACAGATTTGGGCTGACGGGCACATGCTGGAGGGGTTGTGAGTCGTTCTTGGGCAATATGCCTATAGTCTGGGTGCCTGTCCTGGGTAAACATTGGGGTCTGTGGGTAACCATAGCTCCATCATGTCATGCCCATGCTGACAGCCTGTCTTACCCAGGCACCAGAGACTGCAGAAACCTATCGGATTCTGCTCACAGTAAAATGGTATGGTGAAGGATGTTGTGCAATTCCTGAGAGAGGAAGGAAGACTTTAAGCTGTCAGTCACACTCCTGAACATTTATTTCAAGTATTATTTTCACAGAGATACTGCAGAGTTATCAGTGCCAGTGTTCAGCCCACACAGCTAGATGCAGGCATTGCAGGGGTGGCCACCTGCCTCCTGGACATGGTGCTTGATTCAGAACTATGCATTGTAGGTGGCCCTTTGCTAGCCTAGTGTGTGGTGGGTTATAATATAGGATCATTATGACTTCCTAAAGGTAAACAAAGAGGGGAAAAGGGAGATAGTCTAGGACTACATGGGTAGACAAGTGATACCTCAGACTTTGCATAAGGAAAATCCCAGAGGTGCTTATTACAGCTGAAGATGGCCAGGATGAACTCTAGGGACTGTCACAGAGTAGTCCTGAAATGAGACTTTGCATCAGCATTTTAATAAGCTTCCCAAAACATTCTAAACTGGGTGTTTCATAGGACACTCTAAGAAACACTGGGTTTCATATACATGTATGAGCTTTGGCCACTATGCTGAAATATTGCAATTATTTGTCACCTAGATTTTTCTAGAACTTGATGCCAACATGTAAAAGCTTTGGAACTTAATAAGATACATCATTCAGTTATATCATCATCTAATAAGATACACACAGATATGTGATTGAAACAAAAGCTTACAGAAATGATCTTTCTCTTACTAGGGTAATTACCCTAATATTTTCTACCCCGGTTTATTCTGTTTTTTTTTTGTTTGTTTGTTTGTTTGTTTGTTTGTTTTATGATCTGGTTGTGGAACTAAATTAAATTCATGATGTATCAATGGGTCACAGTCTACATGATTGACCATGTTCTTACCTGGTGTGCGAGCTTTACTGTGTTTGATAAACAGGAGCATAGCCATTCCAAGATGGAGCAACACTCTGGGAAGAATGTCAGGCCAGTCTATTTAAGGCATAAAACAACAGTGTGCTGTTTGTCAAATTTGCTGGGAAAGCTGGACATCCTTATATTAGTCTTCATCTACCATGAATCTCTCAAAAGCATACAGAGTGGAGATTAATAAAATGTCCTTCATATAATGATGGTCAAAAATGACCCTGGGCTTCCAGGCTGAATCACCTTGTATGACATGTATTTTGTGTGAAATTATTTAATCTGTTAGGTATGTGAATATTCATATGATTAAAAGGCATTTTAATGGCTTCCTTAGTATATAATTTTGGGAGGGGACCAAAACAAATTTGATGATCATGAGGACATTGAAGCCTGACAAGCTAATATTTATTACCTCTAATTATTCGGGAGCTAAGATTTTCTTTTAGAACTAGAGATTTAAGATGTTCTAGCAACATCAAAGTTGGAGGGATGGTTATTGAATTACAACAAAAGAGTTTTTTCTTTAAAATAGGTGATTCTAGTGTAGATGGCTATTATCCACATTGGAGCACGCACTGCATGGTTAATATTAGTGAAAATGCTAGCATTTTGAACACTGTGATGCCATTCACAAACAGCTTCTTACGTACATTATCTGAAGATACAAAGATTTAAAGCACATTGTTACAATCATCCTTGGGTAGAGCTGTCTATCTGTGTTAGATTAGTTATCTAATTCTCTGAATATGATATCCAAGAGTCCTGAGAGAATGGCCTTGATATGCTACCAAAGACCTAATATTTGTGACACCACTATGTTCAGAAAACATTCCTTCAATATCTGAAGACACATTTATGTGTGTTATTTCATTATCAAGAATATCCTGAGCAATTTAGCCAGGTCTTACAACTTTTGTAAGAAATGGAGGTAGAGTTATTCAGCAGCTGAAAATGGAATGCCTGATTAAAGCAATGGTAGTATTAGTGGAATTTATTCAAACGCTTTTGAATTTAAGAATTTCCAGTTGCAACTGGTGCCTTGTTTAGATATTTTAACATATATATATATATATATATATATATATATACACTTATGTATTTGTACACAGCTTTTTCTCAGTTCATCTGTCAAAGGTGGGAGGAAAATGATTTAAAATTCTTACTTCTAAAATTTACAGTCTTTCTCTATGCTGTGTTGCTGATATGATTTATACTCAGGGGTTTGCTCCTGAGATGCTGGCTTGTGATATTAGTGTATGAATGACAAGGGGGCATAAGGCAAAGATGCTTCATTGGTTTGTGATTCTTGAAAATGAGGTCCACATAGTCAAACCCAGTTTGTGGCCTGGGATTCCATGCACATATTTTCAAGTTGAGGAGAGTGATGATTTAGAATATATAAACATGCACTCCACAATCTTTCACCCTAATTGTCTCATTGAAGGATAATAAATTTATCCTTCTATTACTAGAGAGTTGGATAATTAGCTCACCATATGTTATATGCTGCATAGTCACACAGGAGATGGGTCATCTTGCATACACTTTAACCAGAAATCCTTGTTATTCTTGCAGAGAGGAATGAACTATAAATTTCGTGAAGATACCCAATGCTCTGTATGTGCTCTGCAGATTCATCCCATTATGACAGTTTTGGGTTTTGCCATTCCTCTCTTCATTTCAATGCAAAACAGATACAACTTAGGTGCACAGCAGAAATGGTAACACAGAATGGGACATGTTCAAGTATAATGTACACCATGAAGTGGTTGCCAATTATGTATCAGGTGCTGTGGATACACACATTGCTTTGTGTACCTTCCATACCCATTGCTTCCTTCATACCACATAACAACCTCATAAGGTCGGTAAATAGATGTCTCATCACGAAGAAACTTTCAGGCTGAAGTCCTTTGATTTCAGCCCCACAGGTAATAAAGAGTAGAGGCTGAATTTAAACAGAGTAAACTCAATCATCTGAATGTTGGAATGGTCCACAAACAGTTGGGGGATTCTCTTCTCCTCCATCCACTCTGGTGCGGTAGACTTACTGAGTGAGGATTAGCTGGAAGAAGATTAGGGCACTATATGGGTGTCTGAACACCTTTCTCTAGATAGAAGAGTCTAGGTCCAATGCTTAAGGAAGGAGAATGCATCTCTTTAATCCTCGTAGATAAGTTTCAATGTCAGTATTGTTGTCATTACCATGGTAATGGAGAAGTACCTGAATGTTCTGATAAGAAAATAAGGGGTACATGATGATGGGTGAAGTTAGCAATGAATAGGTTATGTTATCCAATTATGGGATTTATAGATTTATCTGAAATTTGCCATAATTAAAGTTTCAATTAAAAACTAATAATCTGTAGTCACTCTCAATGTAGGCTAACTCTTGTTCTTTATCAATGATTTTTTTAGCAAAGGGTTTATGGGTACCAAATTGAAAATTTGAAAATGATGTAGAGTTCTGTTTTTAATCTCTGACTTCCTGCATAGTAACATCTCCTATTCTGACTATAATAAACCCTGCTCCCTGACAACTCTCCACAGAAAAACAAAACAAAACAAAACACCATGACATCAGCATGATAGAAAGTATCAGTAACCAAGGAGTTGGGGGTTGGAGGGAAATAATCTTCATGAAAAGATTATACCCCTAGTGGAGAACTGTGGAAAGACTGTCTCCTCTACCATTTCCTATCATCTGTAGTTTAATGGTAAATAAATACTCATTTCTATAAGCATTGCTTGTATAATCATAATCCCCTAAAATCTATGATAGATAGTAAATGTATTATTGGAAAATATATGACTTTTTGTCCTGGTCTATGTACTGCCATCACCATTTGGCAAGGTCACAATCCTGAAATGCATTTATCAGATACCTCCAGCCTATCCTCTCCCATTTCCAGCTGGACTCCAGTGTAAGTGGCTGTGATGAATAGCTGTGATTTGGCTAAAAGTGTCTTTTGAATAAAGTGATCTTTAGGAGATTTCATTACTTTAGATAAGAGTGTAAGCCAGAAAGGAATGGGGTGATATTGATTTTAATTCATGGTAAGAAAAGTAAATCAGATTAAACTTTAAGGGCAATACACGGGATACAAACAGATGCTCATTCAAAAATGGAAAAGTTAAATAATTAAAGAGTTGTCATCAAGAGTCACATTATTATATAACTGTAGATGACGCATGATTTGTTTTTAACTTTTGTGGGCCTATGAGATAATGTATTTGAAAATGAAGGTAACAGGCACAATTACTCATGCCTGTAATCCTAGCATTTTGGGAGGCCTAGGTGGGAGGATAATTTGAGCCCAGGAGTTTAAGACCACCTTGGGTTATATAGCAAGACTCTGCGCCTACAAAAACTAAAGAGACATTAGCTGGGCATGGTGGTGTGTGCCTGTAGTCCCAACTACTCAGCCGGCTGAGGTGGGCTAAGGTGGGAAGATTGCTTGATTCCAGGAGTTTGAGACCAGCCTGGGCAATATAGTGAGACCTTGTCTCTAAAAAAATAAATCTTAACTCGACATGGTGATGCACATCTATAGTCTTAGCTACTCAAGAAGCAAAGGTGGGAGACTCTCTTGAGCCTCAGAGTTGGAGGCTGCAGTGAGCTAAGACTGCAGAACTACACTCCAGCCTGCCCAACAGAGCGAGACCCTGTCTCTGAAAAAAAAAAAAAAAAGCTGGGTGAGGTGCTTCTTTTTTTTGTTTGTTTGAACCCCTGGTTTCTGCCTGAGCATATCATAACAATATAGGTTCTGAGGGATATTTATCTTTTGCCATACTAGATCCAGTGGGTCCATGCCATTCCCAACTCACTGGGGCATAAGGAATACTTAAACCTGACCCTGGAAATGCCCCTCCAACCATAAATTTCTGTATCTCTGAATATCATACCTGTGAATAGCTCGAAAACCTGCATGTTTATGGAAAACATTCACAAATGCTGTCATGCTATGTGAACCTTTGGAAGCTACCTCTTTCTAGGAGCAAATTCTGACCCCTGCCAGGTTGAGATAAGTTCTCCTTCTCTGAATTCATTCTCTGCAGTGCTGAGTAGGGGCACTTAAGACAGCTTAGATTAGCTGTCAATGCTCTTGTCTGAACTGTGGATTGCTGATGGCAGGGTCCGATCCAGCCTCCTTTTGTATTTCTAGTGCCTGGTATCATGTGTCAGCAGAACATTTGCTTAGTAACTGCAAAACTCAGATGGAAGACATGAACAGCTGGATGTATAAATCCACCTGCTGCACATAGAGGTGGTCACATGAACTTCAGGGAGGGTGGGGAGGCAGCGACTGTTGATACCGCTATCTGATTTATGCCATACTCTAATTACCAGCAGCAAAAGGTAACCAGAAGGAATTCACAGACATCCCTACTTGCATTCCCATTATTCCCTATGTCCACTGCAGTTGGAACAATACTACAATAATAAAGGTCAGACACTCAGATGAAGATTATTATTCTGAATATCTTCAGAATTATATTTAATGGCAGACAGAAAAAAATGCCTTAGGCATCTTCTTGCCTGCATTTTTATTCGTGCCTCTATAGGACATAAATCTTTTTTGTTCTGAGATTGGAATGATTACATGTTCCTGGAAAGGCTCAGGGCTGCCTTCAGTGTTTTTAACAAACGGAGCACAGGCATGTAGCAGCTGAAAGTTCTATCTTTTTGCACAGTGTGAAAAACAGTGGCAATAAATTTTCAAAACAGTTCTTTACTGAAGTACTCCAGCTAATAAAAAAGGAGTTAAGCTGTTATTGAGAAATCTTTCTCCTACCAACTTGCTGATATGTCATTCAGTTTTCTAGGTCATAGAGAAGAGAGCCCAGATCTCCTCCCTGAGCCTGGGTGTGAAGCAAATGACCTTTCCTGATCTCTCAAAGGATACTACAAAGCAAGAATTCCTTCACCCGGGCACAGGCTGTCAATTACACCCTAGGTGTGTGTGGGAAATCTGGTGATTTATGTCTGTCTAGCCAACATTCCCATGCACCATTGATTTCATTTCTGTTTCCAGATGGTAAATCTTGGAACAGTATTTTTGCAAGCCAAGTATGCTTTTCTGTGTTTTCTGGGTTTGTTTTTGTATCGTCAAACCTAATCAACTCTACTCGATGCACAGAGTATACACAAAGATGCTCGTATCTCTGATGTCACCTATAGGATGAAAAACCACTGCTTTATAGAGAGATGTTAGAAAATGAGTTATATAAATATGTGAATTGTGAGAACAAACACATTAATTTCCTTCTCCCTTTCTAAGGGGGATTCCCCTGCATTCCAAGACAAAGATCATGTTCATAGCCTTGATTGAACCCGGAGTTAGATCTCTGACTCATCTGCTATTGAAGTCCTCATGAACTGGCTTGTATTTCATGCTCTCTTATTTATTGGTTGTACCATCTTTATCATTTATTTCTTTATTTCCACCTCACATTTTAATATGCTTCAATTTTACAATCCTGTCAATCATGTTGGCTGGTGTCTGTTTCTTGTTTATCATTCTTTGTTGTTGTTTTTTTTTTTTTGAACTTTTGAACAAGAGGACAACCATCCAAAATTGGAGAATCCAAGTTGAAACATGCAGTAGCTCTTCCTGCTCAGCAAATTCTGCCAGTCACATGCTATATGACCATGCTTGGGAGATTGAAATTTTAAGCTTTCTCATCTATTTTCTTTAACTTTAAATCTAAAAATAAATGGGAGAGCAGATGAGAGAGAAATTGCAGTGAGACTATTCTCATACATAATGTAACTATCTAATTAGGAACACAAAGATTGTAATTTCATATTTGTTTTGAGGAATCTAAGCGAGTTTAGGAGAACACAATCTGCTTCTGGGGAAGGAGGTGCAATTTGCCCAGGTGTGAATAAACTTTCCCCATAATAAGTAGGATGGAGGCCTCACAGTCTGCCCTGGGTGGCCAAATTCTCTAACATACTGTGGCTCCATTTCAGCTCCTCCAGGTTCCTCAAGGGCATCTTCTCTTAGAAGGAGCCAAACACATGGCTCAGTAGAGAGGCTCATATGTAAGTCATCAGCTAGGATGACAATTACAGTGCTTCCATCTAAGCAGTAGTATGTCCTCTTTTCTTTCTGAGACATAATGGTGAATGTTACAGACCAGGTCCAGTGGGCTCTCATTGCATGCCTTCTTATTCCAGTTACTGTGAGAGGAGAGACAAACCCCTGAGGAATTTGTTCTTTTTTTTACTTTCTGGGCTGTGAGATATTAATTTCCTTGCTTTATATTCTTGTAAAAGATGGGGAGTGGGACATAAATTGCCACAATGTACTGGAATAATAAAACATGGTACTAGTTATTACCAACAACTTGTTAGATTTAATCTGCCTATTTTCAGAGAACTGGAGATACCTGGCTTAGCTCTCACCCAAAGTGTGCTGTTCTGTGTTAATTTTCTGTTTAACAGGAGTAGGGGTTAATAAATATAAGGATTGACCTTAAATGGGAAGTGTTACAGCCATAGGTGTGAGCAGTTCACCTAGAAGGAAACACATGGTCTGGAGGATCCCAAGGTATATTGACATTAGCAAAATACAAATGCATTTAGAAAAGCATACATCTGGGCCAGGCATGGTGGCTCACACCTGTAATCCTAGCACTTTGGGAGGCCAAGGCAGGCAGATCACTTGAGGTCAGGTGTCCAAAACCAGCCTGGCCAACATGGTGTAAAAATATCTGTATTAAAAATACTAAAAAATTAACTCGACATGCTTGTGGGCAACTGTAATACCAGCTACTTGGGAAGCTGACGCAAGAGAATCATTTGAACCTGGGAGACAGAGGCTGCAGTGAGCTGAGATCGTGCCATTGCACTCCAGCCTGGGTGACAGAGTCAGATTCCATCTCAGAAAAGAAAAAAAAAAAAAAAAAAAAGACTCTCCAGGCCCTAGCACCATGCCTGACCTGTGGAAGATGCTTAACAATATTGTTTTAGGGTTCCCTTTTCTAAGCCCCAACAGTGAAACTGGAGAATACTGAAGACAAAGAGGAGAAAACCAGCAGAGAATTGTCTCTCAGTCTCATCCTCTCCTGAGGCTAGCCGTACAAACTAGAATCCCTTTTCCCCAAGGCAGGTTATAGAGACCAGAACACCTTCTCCCCAAAGCTAGTCATAAGACTGAAAAATAGGACAAATTTTTCCTCATCATTTCTATGTAAAAACCGGCCATAAAGAAATCCCCCATCCTACCTTGTTTGACTGTGGGTCTTAGTAGTACCATTCCAGAGAAGGTCTTACACCACACCTAGGAGGAAGGCTCAGAGAGGCCAAGAAGAAACTAGATAGAAAGGCCTTGTCGGCTTTCCCCATTCAGTCCATTACCTTTTGCCCAATCCCATTTCTTTTTTTTTTTTTTTCTTTTTGAGATGGAGTCTCTCTCTGTTGCCAGCCTGTAGTGCAATTATACAATCTCAGCTCACTGCAACCTCCACCTCCAGGGTTCAAGCGATTCTCCTGCCTCAGCTTCCCAAGTAGCTGGAACTACAGTCATGTGCCATCATGCCCAGATAATTTTTGTGTTTTTAGTAGAGACGGGGTTTTACCATGTTGGCCAGGATGGTCTCTATCTCTTGACCTCGTGATCTGCCCGCCTTGGCCTCTCAAAGTGCTGGGATTACAAGCATGAGCCACTGTGCCTGGCCTGTCCAATCCTATTTGCACATGCTTTGTTGAACCTAAGCAGAAAAATAGACAATTTACCCTTTATCTTTGGATCTTCAATCTGAAGGCTCCTGTGTGTACACATTAAATGAATTTGTATGCCCTTTCTCCTATTAAAAAAAAAAAGAAATCAAATTCCTGCCCTCATCCATTCATTGATTCTCTCATTTGTTTGGCAATATTATTAAGCATCATCTACAGGCCATGCATGGTGCTAGGGCTTGGAGATTCAGTGGAAGGCAAATGCCCCATGGTGCTTTGCTCTGATGGGACTGCCTGGAAAAGGGGAACAGGCTCTCAGAGAATGTGGCATTGGAGATGGCTTCTGAGTAATGACTGCTTACCAGGGAGAGGAGGAAGTAAGTTTTAGGTTGAGAGATGATGATGTGCAGAGTATTGAGCTGTGAATATGCAAGCTGTGTTTGGGACTGGTTATCACATTGGGGTAGAAGCTGGGCTGTGTGAGAGTGTTGGCATCAACATAAGGCTTCATCAGGACTCTTCATGTTTTGTTAATAAATCTGAAGTGTAGTTATTTAAGGAACCCACCCAAGTTCACAGAAATAGTTAAAGCTTGAATCAGGGTAAGAAGAAGACATTGGGTAGTGGGCAGTGAGGCAGGGGCTGTCATTAAGGTGTTTCCCCTCTAAGCATTGCAGCTTCTTGCATGAATCTCTTAGAGCTTCCTCCACCCCTAGGGAAGTGGACACTTGTCCTGTGCCCTGATAGCCTTCAAAAAGGCCTCTCACCCAGTATTGTCTTTTAGCAGAAAGAAATTGCTAATTATTTCCCAGATGAGGGGTAAAGATTGAGCCTACAATGTGAAACTGAGACACAGCACTAAATGCATCTCTCAGAGGGCAACCTGAGGTGATGAAGCAGCCTTGGGACTTACTGATCTCTATCAGCAGACTCAGTTGTGAAAACTCAGACCTCCCTATAGCAACATTGCTCACAGCCCATTGTAGCAAGGGCCATGCATTGACAGTGACTTATAACTCTTGAACATCTGTGCATTGTAATCAATTCAAATGAAGGAGGTTTAGGTGCCCTCTGAATTTAGGAATACATTGGCAGTATCATTCCTCTCTCGATAGGTTTGGGCCAATTGAATGAGTGTTCTATTAAAATTTTGAATACTCTATTCAAAATTTCAGTATTGACCATTGAGTGTTCACTTTATACTTGTTGTATTATAGAAGCAGGTAGAACACAAAGTTGAGTTGGACTTAAAATGGCATTGATGAAAGTAGTTGACAAATGAAGGTACACAATGGAATACGATTTACCTTTAAAAAGAAGGTAATGCTGTCATTTGTGACAACATGGATGAACCTGGAGGACATTCTGCTAAGGGAAATAAGCCAAACACAGAAAGACAAATACTACAATATCTCACTGCTTTTTGGAATCTAAGAAGAAAGTTGAACTCCTAGAAGCAGACAGTAGAATGGCAGTTACCAGGGAATCGGGCTAAGAGAGTGGATGAGGAATGGGGAGATGTTGGTCAAAGGATAAAAAGTTATAGTTAGACAGGAGGAATAGTTAGGGTATGTATTGCCTTGCCTGGTGAGTATAGTGAATTACAATGTATTATATGTTTGAAAATTGTGGTGAGAGTAGATTTTAAATATTTTCACCTCAAAGAAATGACAACTATACAATAAATGAATATTTTAATTACCTTTATTTAATCATCCCACAAGTGGACATATATTACTGCATTGTCCACAACAAGTATATATGAGAACTATTGTGTATATCAATTTATTTATTTCAAATTGGTATTTGAATTTTTGTATATATATATTTCATATATATATGTATAATTATTTGCATATATCAATCACAATTTTTAAAAGATGGTATTTTTTAATAATGTGCATATATTTGTGTATAATTTTTTTCCGAAAGAAAATACTATTTTCAGGGTGCTTGAATTCATTTTAATCACCGCATACAGAAGGAAAAAGAGAATTTAAAACAAAACAAAAAAACAAATACAGACAATTTTCTATTAAATCTCTTTCTGAGTTGGGTCTTTGGGAGATGTGTCAGTAACATAATTCTTCACTTACTGATCCATAGAAGGTAACAATAAGTCACTTCATAGAGACAAAATAGAGACTTACCTTTCTCTGACAGAAGATACCATCAGGAAATTAACTTGTAGTATTTTGTGAATTTTCAAATAGCCTGCTATGATAATAGGTGGATCCTAATCAGAAGGGTGGCAGACATACTCACATTGTCTGTGGTCTTTTTTTCCTCCCTTTTTTTTTTTTTTTTTTTTTTTTTTGCAGGAACACTGAGACTCCTTTCCTGCTTGTCTTGTCCTACCTCCACGTGCACATGGCCTTGTTCTCCAGCAAGGACTTTGCCGGCAAAAGTAAACACGGAGTCTGTGGGGATGCTGTTGAGGAAATGGACTGTAGTGTGGGTATGTCTCTCCTCGGTGAATACTTAGAAAGCTGCTAAGTCTTTGCTTCCTTGTGTTTTCTTTCTTGTCTATTTCCACCTATGTTTCTGATGCCTTTAGAGACAGCAAGTGTATGGTGTTTTTTGAAGGTAACCAAAAATGCATTGATCCTGAAAGGTAAAGAGAATACAAAAAGCACCTTCACCAGCCAGGGCAACATAGGGAGACCCCATCTCAACAAAAAATAAAAAAAATTACCCAGGTGTGGTTGTGCATGCTTGTGGTTCCAGCTACTTGGGAGGCTGAGGTGGGAAGATGGCTTGAGCCAAGGAGGTTGAGGTTGAGCTATGATTCTACCACTGCACTCCAGTCTAGGTGTCAGAGTGAGACCTGTCTCTTTAAAAAAAAAAATCTTTGCCCCCATGTGCATGTCTGCAGTTGCCAGTGGATACATTGCAGGGGAAGTCTAGTCTGTGGTCTGAAGATGGAAGAGATTCATGAAGGAGAGAAGACAAAACATTAGTCCTTATTATCCCTTATTCTATCAGCAATGAAATATGAACAATGTCTTGTCATTATCAGTTAGATGTCTGGATCTTAGGCAGATAAAAGATGAAGGGGGTGAAGGGGAGGTTAGAGACTTGAGGCTTCTTCAGTTTAGCATGTCAAAATGCCATCTTTGGGGATATCAGTTGCTGAGTCCCAGCATGTAACCTCATTTTGTGCTGCCAGTGGTCTTTGTGCAGCAGGTGATGTTCTCATCATTCCCATTCCACAGGAAAAAGGCAAGCGAGGCTTGCAAGTTAAGTACACCCACCTCAGGTTACAGAATTCATAATGGATGAGCATGTGTTCAAATGCAGGTGTCCCACCTAGAACCTGAAATCTACATGACTTTATTCTTTTTCTTCCCATATAACAAGAAAGTGTGTATTATGTCAGTGCAGTCAACAACGTATCTCCAGGAAAGAGCCAGTTCATTTATTAGTCATGTTGACTGGATGTCTTCACACCTCCCTGTCTGTCTCTGATCTTTGCTTCCATAATCTTGTCTCCTTCACTTACTCTGACACACCCGCCTCCCTCTTATAAGGACACTTGGGATTATGTTCGGCCTGACTGGATAATCCCACATCATCTTCTCATCTCAAGATCATGAACTTAATCTGCAAATTCTTTTGCCCTGGGGTGTAACATGTTTGCCATGGGGTGTAACATCCCAGGGATTAGGATGAGGGTATTTTAGGGAGGTCATTATTCAGCCTACATGAACCCACAATACACTATTTCAAGCTGATGCTTCTTTTAACTTTTTTTTTTTTTTTTTCAGCATTAGCTGAGCCACTTTCATGGTGGATCAGGCATCATGCTAGTTATTGGAGATATTCAATAAGATCCAGACTCTGGCTTGTACAGCGTATGCTTTGGTACATAAAACACACATATCTAACATCTAATATTTATACTTAGACATATCTAAATGTATGTAGACACACCTATCCTTTAATCTCTATATACATTAGGCCTAACTAAAGTCTAATATATACATACCTAATGTCTATGTTATGTGACAGACATTACATGACACACAGTATTGCTGATTTCACAAAGTGATATGATACCCAAAATGATGTATTAGTTCTAAGGGTTGGAACTCTGCAGCCAAACCTGCAGTGGATGTGGGTTGAAGGTACAAGAAGAGATGATGCCTTAGCCAAGAAGGTAGGGTGTATCAGAGCTTACATGCAAAGATATGAAAGAATAATATAGGGAATGCTTTTATCTAACAATTTGTTTAGAAATGTTGATTATCTTCTGTGTTTCCGGCATTGGGCCAGACACAACACTAAACATCAAACATGGTGTCTGCCTTGAAGGAAGTCATGTTGCAGTAGGTGGGTGGGTAGGTGATGGCGTGAAGCCTAGAAGACTGGTGAAATTTGATAAAGGTGCTGACACTTGTATGCACAAGATACTAATGACACAAAGGGAAAGAGAGCCTCACTTGGCGGTGGTTCCCAGGAATGTTTGCAAAGGAGATGTGGCTAGAAATGAGGTCACCAGTGGGTCTGTGCATCTGCTCTTATTCTCCTTCTATCTGTTTCTGCCTTTCCAACCCCTTGCTCTCTTTCAACATGCTGGAAGTGAGAAGAAGCAAATAGCTTGTCATGCAAACTGCAATTTGCTCAGGAAGGCCAGACTACACGACGCCTGAAGCAAAGAGAAAGAGTGCTCTGTAGCATATCCTTTGGGCCGCAGGTACCTTATGAAACGATATACTTCTATTTACATATGCATGTGCACATCTGGAGTCCTGTGACAGGCTGAACAAATGGGGGAAGGAACTAACTCCTACATCTTTTTTGACCTGGCACCTAGCACAAAAAGATGCCTGTTGCATCTGGATGACCTTTATAGGCTTCTCAGACATCCTCCCAGCCTCTTCCTTTAGGTCTCATTGTTACATTGCTCAATGCATTATGCATTATCAATATGTAATGTGGGTTCTATTAATGAACAAATGTGTTTAATCTGAACAGGAATAACCCCAGTAAGCTATCACTCTTTCAGCCCTTCTCTGTGTACTACGTTATTTTAGAGTAACAAAAAGTGGAAACATGTACTTCTCATATATGAAGACTTGGTGTCACTGGGCTGAACTAGGATCCACTCAGCCAGTACAGTAGGGCCAAACATCCACACCAAACTTTTGCAGTGGGGGAAAGGAAGGTATCTATTTGCAGAGTTGCAATCAAGTAGAATGAGGCAGCTCTCACTTAAGATTCTACTTCCCTGATGGTTTGCAAACAAAGGCTTTTAAAGGCTAGGAGGCAGAGGCTACAGGCAGTCATAAGTCAGTACATGGAGGTTATATGTTCGTTTGACCTCAAAAGGCAGGACATCCCAAAGAAGGGCACCTGCAGGTCACAGGTGGCTTCAAAGCTTCCCTGATTTGCAGTTGGTTGAGGAAGTGAAGCTTTGTCTGAACGATTGCTTTGGTCAGCAAAAAACAAACAGGATATCTGGCCTGTGGTCATGGCTTCTTCCAGGACCCTTGAGAAGAAATTTGGAACAAAGAATGTCAATGAGAGTTCAGTCCTCAGTTCCTCCTCACCTCTGGTTTAAGTCCAAGCAGACTGCATTTTCCATTTGGTAGCATTCCAGGTTTCTGAAAAACAACCCCTGGACATATGTTAACATGTTATCTTTAATTATTATAGGGAGCCAAACATTCTGTGGCTCTAACTTCCTTGTCTGTGGCTTTACACTACCATTACCTTCTTGCTCATTTATCTTTTAAAGATAGCTAGGTGCCTGGAATTTTTCTTGAAGGAACTCAAGATTTTTCTCTACTTCCATTCTGGGGGGAGCCCAGAAGACCCCTAAGAGGGGTCCTTGCTCCATCTCATCATTGTTTCAGTGTTATTTCCATGAGGCTATGGCCTATGAGGAGAGAGTTGTTTTTATTTCATGTTGTGGATGCCAGTGTCTCTAAAGACTGGAGTTCCAGGCTGCATTCCACACTCTCATTCATCTATTTATTCATTCTCTCTCTTACTGTCTGTTCAGTTCCAAAACAGCTTAGCAGCTGCCAAGGAGGAGATGTGTATATAAATCACAATGCTAGAAGTGGTTAGAGAGTAATAGTTTCTTAAGAAGGGTACATATATTGCAAAAAATTTCTCCCATTCTGTAGGTTGCCCATTAACTCTGATGGTAGTTTCTTTTGCTATGCAGAAGCTGTTTAGTTAAATTGGATGCCATTTGTCAATCTTGGCTTTTGTTGCTATTGCTTTTGGTGTTTTAACATGAAGTCCTTGCCCATGCCTATGTCCTGAATGGTATTGCCTAGGCTTTCTTCTAGGGTTTTTATGGTTTTAGGTCTAACATTTAAGTCTTTAATCCATCTTGAATTAATTTTTGTATAAGGTGTAAGGAAGAGATCCAGTTTCAGCTTTCTACATATGGCTAGCCAGTTTTCCCAGCACCTTTTATTAAATAGGGAATCCTTTTCCCATTGCTTGTTTTTCTCAGGTTTGTCAAAGATCAGATAGTTGCAGATATGCGGCATTGTTTCTGAGGGCTCTGTTCTGTTCCATTGATCTATATCTCTGTTTTGGTATCAGTGCCATGCTGTTTTGGTTACTGTAGCCTTGTAGTACAGTTTGAAGTCAGGTAGCATGATGCCTCCAGCTTTGTTATTTTGGCTTAGGATTGACTTGGCAATGCAGGCTCTTTTTTGGTTCCATATGAACTTTAAAGTAGTGTTTTTCCAATTTTATGAAGTTTTGTGAAGAAAGTCATTGGTAGCTTGATGGGGATGGAATTGAATCTATAAATTACCTTGGGCAGCCTGACCATTTTCATGATATTGATTCTTCCTACTCATGAGCATGGAATGTTCTTCCATTTGTTCATATCCTCTGTTATTTCGTTGAGCAGTGGTTTGTAGTTCTCCTTGAAGAGGTCCTTCCCATCCCTTGTAAGTTGGATTCCTAGGTATTTTATTATCTTTGAAGCAATTGTGAATGGGAATTCACTTATGATTTTTCTCTCTGTTTGTCTGTTATTGGTGTATGAGAATGCTTGTGATTGTTGCACATTGATTTTGTATCCTGAGACTTTGCTGAAGTTGCCTATCAGCTTAAGGAGATTTTGCGCTGAGATGATGAGGTTTTCTAGATATACAATCATGTCATCTGCAAACAGGGACAATTTGAATTCCTCTTTTCCTAATTGAATACCTTTTATTTTCTTCTCCTGCCTGATTGCCCTGGCCAGAACTTCCAACACTATGTTGAATATGAGTGGTGAGAGACGGCATCCCTCTCTTGTGCCAGTTTTCAAAGGGAATGCTTCCAGTTTTTGTCCATTCACTATGATACTGGCTGTGGGTTTATCATATATAGCTCCTATTATTTTGAGATACTTCCCATCAATACCTAATTTACTGAGAGTTTTTTGCATGAAGAGTTTTTGAATTTTGTCAAAGGCCTTTTCTGCATTTTGCAATCCACTCATCTGACAAAGGGCTAATATCCAGAATCTACAGTGAACTCAAAGAAATTTACAAGAAAGAAACAAACAACCCCATCAAAAAGTGGCCGAAGGATATGAACAGACGCTTCTCAAAAAAAAAGACATTTATGCAGCCAAAAAACACATGAAAAAATGCTCATCACCACTGGCCATCAGAAATGCAAATCAAAACCACAATGAGATACCATCTCACACCAGTTTGAATGGCAATCATTAAAAAAATCAGGAAACAACAGGTGCTGGAGAGGATGTGGAGAAATAGGAACACTTTTACACTATTGGTGGGGCTGTAAACTAGTTCAACCATTGTGGAAGTCAGTGTGGCAATTCTTCAGGGATCTAGAACTAGAAATACCATTTGACCCAGCCATCCCATTACTGGGTATATACCCAAAGGATTATAAATCATTCTGCTATAAAGACACATGCACATGTATGTTTATTGTGGCACTATTCACAATAGCAAAGACTTGGAACCAACCCAAATGTTCAACAATGATAGACTGGATTAATAAAATGTGTCACATACCCACCATGGAATACTATGCAGCTATAAAAAATGATGAGTTCATGTCCTTTTTAGGGATATGGATGAAACTGGAAACCATCATTCTCAGCAAACTATCCCAAGGACAAAAAACCAAACACTGCATGTTCTCACTCATAGGTGGGAACTGAACAATGAGAACACATGGACACAGGAAGGGGAACATCACTCACCGGGGCCTGTTTTGGGGTGGGGGAGGAGGGAGGGATAGCATTAGGAGTTATAGCTAATGTTAAATGACTAGTGCAGCACACCAACATGCCACATGTATACGTATGTAACAAACCTGCACATTGTGCACATGTACCCTAAATCTTAAAGTATAATAACAACAAAAAAGAAGAAGTGTACATATAAAAGGCTGTGGAGACTCAGGGCAGGGAGAAGTGACCCCTGACTGACAATCCCAGAGAGGCTTCATGGGGCAGAGAAGGAAAGACATCACATTTTGCAAAGATAGTTTGGTAGGGCTCAGACACACAAGAGGTATGGGTCAGAAAGTGAGCCTTGAGGGTCTTTAATGATGGCTGGGAACCCATGTTTTATCATACAACCCCACAAGTATGTCAGGAATTATTTTTTTTAAAGAAATGTATTGGATATATTAGAAAAAATGTTTTGCTTGAATGTTGGAGATACCATCAATATGTGACACTATTAATGTCTCAGTCACTGTTCCACCACTGCTCTATTGCAAAATATTATCCTTTTATCAAACATAGTTCAAATTAAATTTACAGTTAAACATTGTTAAAATACAATGCCCTAAAAATAAGGTGGGGTTTCCTTCTAGTTATGGGAAGTAGGCTTCTGAGTGTCAAGACATCTTGTTCTCTAAAGCTGCAAACTCAAACACACACCTATGGTTTATGCAGACACAGAGAAATCACGGGATTTAACACCTGTTCAAAATAGCTTCCTTTTCTGAGTAATCACAACTTCTACTCTCCATCAAAACCCCTCAAAGATTCTTTTCTATTGGAACTTTTTTTTTTCCTTTTGAGAAACTCTTGCTCTGTTTCCCAGGCTGGAGTGCAGTGCAGTGACCTCTACATTTGAACCTACTGATTCCACTGCATTCCTAACTCAAATCTGTTTCCCTACTGAAATCTACAGGATTCATCAAATGACAGATTGGATAAAGAAAACGTGGTGCATGCATGCAGTGGCTCATGCCTGTAATCCCAACACTTTGGGAGGCCAAGGCAGGTGGATAGCGAGGTCAGGAGATGGAGACCATCCTGGCCAACACTGTGAAACCCCATCTCTACTAAAAAAAAATAGAAAAAAAATTAGCCTGGCATGGTGGTTGGTGCCTGTAGTCCCAGCTACTCGAGAGGTTGAAGCAGGAGAATGGCATGAACCCGGGAGGCAGAGCTTGTAATAGCCGAGGTCGGGCCACTGCACTCCAACCTGGGCGACAGAGGGAGACCCTGTCTCAAAGAAAAAAGAAAAAGAAAGAAAGAAAAAGAAAAAAAGAAAATGTGGTATATATACAACATGGAATACTATGCAGCCATAAAAAGAATGAGATAATGTCTTTTGTAACTTGGATGGAGCTGGAGGATATTATTCTTAGCAAACTAATGCAGGGAAAAAAAACCAAATACCACATGTTCTCACTTATAATGGGAACTAAATGATGAGAACTTATGAACTTGTAAAAGGAAACAACAGAGACTGGGATCTGTTTGAGCGGGGAGGGTGCGAGGAGGTTAAGGAGCATAAAAGATCACTGTTGAGGACTAGGCTTAATACCTGGGTGATTAAATAATTTGTACACCAAACCCCCATGACATGAGTTTACCTATGTAACAAACTAACCTTCGCATGAATCCCCAAATCTAAAATAAAAGTTAAACATAAATAAAATTAAATATACCAGACTTCCTGTTAAAAAAAAACAAATCTATGGGCTAATTTGATAGAATAGCTAGGATTAAATCATCCTTCTATTAAATTCAACATGTTATTCCTTTTAATAAGAGGGGCATTACATGTCTGCTGCAGTCTATGTTTAAAAACAATTATTTAATATTACAGGGGTAACTGAGTAATAACAGGACAGTTTCATTTTTTATTAAGGAAATGAGTTTGCAGTATGATTATTCTGTTTAGATTTGGTTATTGGTAAATTTTGTCTTTGCCAAAATGTTCTAGCATAAAGTGAAATTGGGAAATAGAAGTAGGGTCAAATGTGTATTTTGGATATAATTCTAGTCAAAGTTTAGAAATCTTGGCAGTAAGTCCTTTATAGAGTACTTCCTAAAATATTTCCCTCTGAGACCTTTCTAAAATAAATTTTCTTCTATTGTCCACATGCTTTGAATGATTGTGTCAACCTAATAAAACCAATTTTCTAAGGAATAATTTATCTTCCCATTTAATAATTAAGAAATCATTGTCTCCATTAGGGCTTCCAGTTAATTTGACAGTGTTCCATACCATGTGATTATGATTTTCATAGACAGCAAGATAAATAAGTAAACCACAGAACAACTCATACCCTGTGACCCTTTGTAGCTGTTAAATGTAAAATTTTCCATCAGAGCTGTAGACATTTGAAAATGTTCACGTTGCTTCTTTGGGATCTCAGGAGTAGAAACCATTGCTTTAAACTCACAGAGGATTTAAGATTTTGACGCAATCCTGAACTCTTTCTGGAAAACTTGCATTATGGCTCAAGCATGTTCCCGCACCCTGGATAGGTATTGGATATACTTGGATCAGCCTGGTGGGTGAGTCTTGAGAGGATACTTCATTTTGCACTTGTATCTGTGTCAAGGCAGTGGAACAGAAAGGAGTTCAAGTCAAAAGTCCTGTGAATTGCAGTGTCTTATTGAAGGAACAAGTTGTACCATACCCAGCTTCACTTGTTTAAATCAGAGTTATAAGCCTTTGAGACTCTCTTTGCATAGAGAAGTGGAAACATATTCATGGAATTTCCTTCTCAACCTTCACAGCAGCTCCTTCTCACCTGATCCACCTCTTGATATCAATGTTGGACATCTCTGGGACTCTGTCCTGTGGCCCCTGTCCTCCATCCTCCTTTATCTTCACACTTGCCCTATCTGATGTCATCTAAATCCAGGACCTCATATGACATCCAACTGCAGGGCATCCCACATACTGAGCTGGGAACCTACTGTGAAGGTCCATGTTGCCATGTCCAGCTGCCCACTTGCCACACAGCATGGAAGCTCAGGAAACATGTCATATCAAACAGATACAAGCTAGACCTCAGATGCAAACTAGCCCAAGCCCACACATCCCCAGATTTGCATGATCTTACTGAATGTTTTATGCAGTGACTGAACCTCAGTGCTGTGATGTTTGCTGGTTGATTGTCTTGTTTTATTTTGCCTTTCTTTAAATCCTATGTATCCCATCCTTTGGAATCACATTTATTTTCTAAGTTTATCTGACATTGGTCCTCTTTTTTCAGCTGTATCAATTTTCCATCTTGTCCAGACCACTGTGCTCTGCCCTATGGACTTCTCCAATGTGCTTCCTGGTGGTCTCCCTAATTCTTTGTTCTCACACTCCATTCTCTACCCAGACACTGGAGTGAGCTTTCATAAACATAATGTACTCTGTTGAATTTCTGAGGACTGACATAACTGTTAGTACCACAAACTGGGTGGCTTAAAAGCAGTAGAAATTTTTTCTCTCTCAGTTCTGGGGGCCAGGAGTCTGAAAGTAAGGTGCTGGAAGTGCTGGGCTCCCTATGAAATCTCTAGGGGAGAATCCTTTGTTGTTTCACCATTAATTCTTAACTTTCCTTGACTTGCAGATATATCACTCCAACTTCTGCCTCTATTTTCACATGGCTATCTTCCTTTCTTCGAACACTCAAATATCTACCAGGCATGGTGGCTTAGACCTGTAATCCCAGCACTTTGAGAGGCTGAGGTGGGTGGGTCACTTGAGCTCAGGAGTTGGAGATCAACCTGGGCAACATCGTAAGTCCTTGTCTCTACAGAAAATATGTAAAAATTAGCTGGCTGTTGTGTTGAACACCTATAGTCCCAGCTACTGGAGAGGCTGAGGTAGGAAGATCACCTAATCCCAGGAGTTGCAATCTGCAGTGAGCTATGATTACTCCACTGCACTCCAGGCTCATCAAAACAGTGAGAACCCTCTTTCTACAGAAAAAAAATAATAATAATACATTAACCAGATGTGGTGATATACATCTGTAGTTCTAGCTAGTTGAGAGGCTTAGGTAGGAGAATTGCAATTCTGCGGTGAGCTATGATTGCATCACTGCACTGAACAATAGAGCGAGATCCTGTCCCCAACAAACAACAAACAGAGAAAAAACAAACAACAACAAAAAAAACCTCACTCCAATTTCTTCCCATACACTCAAAATACAATGTGAAGTCTGCTACCCCAACTGTACAGTTTTCTCCTCCTCTCTTCATGTTTTTGTCTGGGGCCCCCAACCCATTAATCTTGTTCTCACTTTAGGGTCTTTGTGTTGACAGTTTCTTCTGTTAGAAACTCATACTCACATCTCATCTCTGGATGGATTTTCTCTTTCACTCATATGTTGCCTTTGTAAGGTCTCCCTGGACCACCAAATCAAAAGTCCTTGGCCTCTCCCACCACTCTATTCTAATTGCTTGCCTATCTGATATCTTACCTGTTTATTATTTTATTTGCTCATAGTTCTTCTCCTGTGGAAGCTGAGATCTGGGCTGCCTCATTCACCACTGTGTCCTAGTGCCTTGAATACCCATGGAGTAAGCATTCAATAAGAATCTACTGAATGAATAGGGTTATAGTTTGGCTGCGTCCCCACCAAAATCTCACCTTGAATTATGGATCCCATAATCCCCACATGTTCTGGGAGGGACCCAGTGGGACGTAATTGAATCATGGGGGTGGGTCTTTCCAGCATTGTTCTCGTGATAGAAAATAAGTCTCATGAGATCTATTGGTTTTATAAGGGGCAGTTCCCCTGCATGTGCTCTCTTTCTTGCTGCCGTATAACACTTGTCTTTGTTCCCCCTTCAACTTCCACCATGATCATTAGCCCCTCTGCCATGTGGAACTGTGAATCCATTAGAACTCTTTTTCTTTATAAATTACCCACTCTTGGGTATTTATTCATAACAGTATGAAAATGGACTGATATAAACAGTGAACCCTTCTCAGATTTCTCTTTCTCTGTCTCCTTCTCTCCTTGAGTATTTCCTCTCTTTTTCCTAAAATACTATCCTTTAGATGGGATCAGAATAACTTCCTTAAGATTTCCTTTTTGCTGAGTTTAGAGTTGTTTGCCTTTGCCTTATTGTAAAATATTTCCTGTATTCTCAGAAAAGAACAGTTAAAATTCTATCTCTGGCTTCATTTCCATCCCTCTCCCAAATCAAGGTCACTCTGAAGAAGGCTCTTCCTCCCTCTCTTTTTCTCTGCCTACAGACAAGTAATAAATGTCAGTGGAATGGATAGATGAACTCTATAGATGTCTTCTGCAGAAGTGTGGGGTGGGGGATCACATTTTTCAGAATGTTCAAGAATGCAGACTTTTTTTCCATGTGCAGAGAAATGCTTTTAAAATTCCCTGATGGCTGCGTGGAAGGAACTGCTCTTTGTGCATGTTTTTACTTTAAACAAAAATTCCAAACACATGGCTTGGGTCCATATTGCTTATGGGTTGCTTCTTACAGTCACTGCTTTTGGCATCTCTTTCCCTCATGCAATAACACATCTTTCAGAGAGCAATTGATACTTTCATTATGAAAAAAAAATAGTAGTGACTGGCTCTAGTAGATTATTACAAGGTAGTTATGTTCAAATGATGTTGGCAAACATTGTCATTGGCTTCCCAAGAGTAGGCAAAGCTGCCGCTTCATGATAGTATCAGTATTTAGTCCTCCAGCAGGTATTCACAGCTTTTCACCTTTGAAAGAAGATCACATCAGTCTCATTTATCTGTGCATGCATTCAGTTGAATTTGACAGACATGCAATTATATATTGATTCTATAGAACATACCATGCATATGCCTAGTTGCTGGGCTATATAGGATAATTTTGAAGGATTCTTTGAACTGATATCAACAGGTCATTTTTCCTTATTTTTGCCCTCATAATAATTGAGTAATATGTGGTAGAACCTAAAAAATCTCATTACATTACTCATCTGCAATTCATACGTTTTAGTCTCTGGCATGAATAAATCAAGGAACGTGAAAATGTAGCATCTTGGGTGAGAAAACATTTCGCATGAATTATCACATGCTTCAATGTGGTTTGCCTCAATTCAGAGAATCAGTGTTATTTCCAGGTAAGGAGATTCAAGGAGAAAAAATGAAAAACAGAATATTACATGAACCTCTGCCTAGATCAAGCATAAGAATGACTAGCATATGCTCTTGCCATTAACAGTTATTTGACCTGCTGTGTGGTAACATTCAGAAGGACAAAAATAGAAGCCTTGTTTGCAAGCAGCTGTTTCTGTCAAGTCTTGGAGTACATTGTAAGAGAATCCTCTCTATGCTTGCCTGGAGAGATTGAGTAACTCAGCCATCATCCTTCTATTATGGGAACACAACCACAACATGCCATCAAGATATTTAAAGTGTGAATTGGACAATTACTGTAACAAATTTTAAACTTAAACCAGACCAAGACTTTTTCTCTGCTCATAAATTTTCAGGAAAAATAATTCATACTCCTTCACCTGTTTTTCTTTTTCTTTCCCCCATATTCCATTCTCCAACTTTCCTAAGTTTATTTCTACTTTGAAACCCAAATCAAAATCTATTTTGATTTTGGGCAGATTTTTACCTGGGCAGATTTTCCCAGGTAAAAGACATTTTCTGTTGGCACTCAATCAATTACCTGTGGATGTATCTTTTTGGGTTTTCTTTTTTGTGTGTGTGTGACAAGGTCTCACTTTTTCACTATATATAGATATAGATATACAGATATAGGGGGAACTTCTTCCCTTATATATTGCCCCCAAGTGGGCAATTTGTGTATATCAAACCATTAATGAAACTACTCCTTTTTCTTATATAGGAATCACTTGTTTTGTTGTTAAATTTAAAGTGAAAATGGTGTGAGTTTGATCAAGTAGAAGGATAAGCAGGTGAAAATTCTATGAGTTTGATGGGTCAGAGGAAAAGAAGACTATAATTCACACATTATGATTTCTCACAAAGCTCTGCTTTCAACTGCCTGAATGAACGATGGCAAAGTAATTAAACTTCTCATTTGTTGGTTGTGATCTCTGTGAAGCAGGAATCACAATGTCTCTCAGAGAATTACCTTCAGGTGATATTGAAAAGATAAAATAGGGGAAGAGTTTTAGCTTTCATAGGAGGCCATTACAGTATCTAGAACACATGATGTGAACTTCCATGATAATCTTCCCTAAGTGTCTGTACATATGGAACATATGAATGTCTGCAAAAGGCAGAGCCTGCCAGCAAGAGAAATTCCATCTACAGTCTTCAGTTGTAAGAAATAATGTTTTAACTATTCACAATAGCAAGGACATGGAGTTAACCAAAATACCCATTGACAGTGGACTGGATTAAAAGAAATGTGATACATACACACCAAGCAGTCATATAAAAGAAAGAGATCCTGTCCTTTGCAGCAAGATGGATGGAGCTGGAGGCCATTATATTAAAATAATTAATGCAAGATCCTAAAACCAAATACTGCATGCTGTCACTTATAAGGGGAAGCTAAATTTTAAGTACGCATGGACACAAGGAAGGAAACAACAGACCTTGGGGCCTACTTGAGAGTGGAGGGTGGGAGGAGGGAGAGGATTGAAAAACTACATATCAGGTACTATGCTGATTACCTGTGTGATGAAATAATCTGCACACCAAACTCCCAAGACAAGCAGATTACCTATATAAAAACCCTGCACTTGTACCCCTGAACCTAAAATAAATAAAAACAAATACATAAACAAATACATACATAGATAAATAATGTAACATCTGAAAAACACACTGGAGCAGAATACAATAACAGGAGGCATTCCTGTAAAGATTAAAAAGAGAGAGAGAGAGATGAGCTTTTAACAATGGAGATTTGCTTCAGGATCCCTGAAACCTCTGTCTCTAGTAATTTACCTCCTAAATTGACTTATTTCCACTGTGGCACTTATTTCCACTGTGACTCACACATGATACCCCTGTGAGGAATGAGTGTTTTTCCATTGGCTCCATTCTCACTTATCTCACACCAATTGTTTAAAACAGTCTCTTTCTTAGAGTAGCTGAACTTCAACTCCATTCCCTTTGGCCCCAGGCTAACTTCCTGATGGCTACTTCTATGCCACTTAGCTCTATGCTCTGTTTGTTATAAAAGGTGAGGAAGCAGTGTTTATTCCCCAGCCATGGGTCACCTGCCCAGCTTGAGTGACTTCAGCCCTGGCCTGTCTGAGCCCTATACTGGAGCACTTGGTCTCTATCCCTCAACGGGAGGTGTTGGTCATATAAGGGCCACAGGAAAACTGCCTATCTTGCAGGTGGTAGGCTCAGTGCTTGTGATAATCGTTCCACATAATACTCACATGGAAACACTGTGGGAATGTGAGACACAGAAAGCTGAAGCTATTTTCTCAAGGGAACAGGGCTGATGTGCCTGTTTCCTATGTCTGTTGTAATAGTTGACCATGAATTTAGTGGCTCAAAAAATGATTAAAAAAAAAAAAATTAGATTCAGAGAGTACGTGTGCGGGTGTGTTACATGAGTATATTAAGTGATGCTGAGGTCTAGAGTTCTAATGATACTGTCATCCAAGTAGTGAACATAGCACCTGATAGTTTTTCACTCCTTGACCACCTCCCACTTTCCCCCGAGTAGTTCCCAGTGTCTATTGTTGCCATCTTTATGTTTATGAGTACCAAATGTTTAGCTCCCACTTATGAGAAAGAACATGCAGCGTTTGATTTTCTGCTCCTCTTTGGGGGCTATTTTGAAATATGTCAGCGAAATGTATTTTGGGGTAAAGAACTTCAATTTCTGTCAGGACTTGCTATCTGTCACATTGGTATCTTACTGCTACAAAGAGTCTGTTTGGTCCCAGAGATCCCTAAGAATCTCTGGATCACACTTTGAGACTAGCCAGTGCTATGCTAAGAGTAGAGATTCTAGACCCCCAAAGCTTGAATTAATATACATATATATTTTCTTTTAGATGGGGATCTCATTCTGTCACCTAGGCTGGAGTGCAATGGTGCGATCTCGGCTCACTGAAACCTCCAACTCCCAAGCTCAGATGATCCTCCCACCCCAACATCTTGATTAGTTGGGACCATATGTATGCATCACCATGCCCAGCTAATTTTTTTAGGAGGTTTTCTGGTGGTTTTTTTTTTTTTTTAAATTACACTTTAAGTTCTGGGACACATGCAGAACATGCAGGTTTGTTACATAGGTATGTACATGCCATGGTTGCTTGTTGCTCCCATCAACAAATCATCAGGACATAGGCATGGCCAAAGACTTCATGACTAAAACACCAAAGCAATGGCAACAAACACTAATTTTTTGTTTTGGGTAGAGACTGGGTTTCTGAGATCAAGCATTTCTCCTGACTCAGCCTCCCAAAGTCCTGGGATTACAGGCATGAACCACCACACCCAGTGAGTTCATATTCTTGTATTCACTGCAGGATAAGTGTTGAACTTCCTGGGCCTTCACTCCTTCTCTGGAAAATGAATTCAGTAATAGCACTGACTTTACAGGATTGATAGGATGATTAAAAACCTACTTGCCTGTAACGTGCAGTAAAAGAAGTCATGAATATTTGCCATTTTTCATTTTGCCTGCCATATTGAGATAGTAGTTACTTATATATTAGTATAATTCTTTCCTCTTCTACATTTAATACTCATCCAAGATAATAAAATCATAAAATTTGAGGGCTAAAGTGGAATTTTAAGATCTTCTACTCTAGTCAAATTATTATTTTTTTTCCACTCTAATGATGGAAAACATGGCAGCAATAACACACATAATGTTTTTTCTTATATAAAGACAAAAATCCCATTCTCTCTTTCACCTTTTCATTGGCTGTGGTTGTTACCTTTGAAATGAAGCTTAATACTTCCTCAAGTAGCTAGAACAAAGTGTTCAGGCAATCTCATTCATTTCATTTCTTTCTCATGACCCATAAAATTGAAACCATAGACACTCTTCACTTTCATAATATCCTGGAATGGTTTTCCACCCAGTCGGGGGAAAGCAAGGTAAGGAAAAATTTCAGAGGCAAGAAAAAAAAAAAAAAGAAAATGTTGTTATAATGGAAAATCCCATCAAAGCTTTTCAGCAAAAGCATCTAGACAGTACCCTCACATCCGTATCCATCTTTAAATGTGATACACAGATCTCTGCCCTTTAGAAAATAGGCTTAACTCTTTCTTGTTCAGAGAGGTGCTAATAAGCTTTGTAATCTTCCTGATAGAACAATATTAAATTTGCATTTCTCAGGAGAAGAAACTCATGCAGAGGGTTGGATCCAAGCTGTTTGATGAGCACTTAACAAAGTGCCTTCACTCTTTATTCATTTTGTTTGAAGAAGAGAATTTATGTTCAGCAGACCCCCATTCTTCAAGAACTGTCCTCTAATTTTCAAAAAGGATTTTGGAACAAATGGGAGCCCTTCCTGGCCAATCAAAGTATGGTGGGAGATCAGAAGCCCTTGGATCTAGGGTTTCTACTTAAGTGAAAAGAAAGGTAGTCTGGAGGAACAAAGGAAAGATTTATTTTATTTTAGTTGCAGCATCTTAACCCTGCAGTGAGAATAGTTCTCTAATTCAACCCCATGGTATGCTTATGTAAGACTTGTCTCTGGTAGTGAACTGTTTCTTCATATGCATGTTAGTGATTCATTTTCGTTCACTGGCATGACTTATCAGAACTTTCAGTGCCCATCATCCTGGGCATATTCAGAAAAATTATTTTCCCCAGGTCTCCAAATAAGCTGATATTGGAAATAAAGGGCAGCCTTTTGGGTTATAAAAGGCAGGCAACACGGGCTTATGAAAAAGAATAATCAAATACCTAAATGCATTAATTCATTAACATGAAAATTCTTTCTGTGGGTCTCATCTTTGCAAGCAGATACAATATTGTCATAGTATGAGTATGACCATGCCCCTTCCTAACATGTTATTAACATCATTAATAAAGAATGGTAACAAGCCATAGTTGGTTACATCTTTTGTAAAATATCAAAATTTTAACAATAGACCCTTCAGATGGGACAGAGTGCTGGCAACCTCAATAATCAAATTTTAGAGGTGAAATATTTAGATCTTACAGTCCATAATTAAAATAAAAATTGACTTTTTTTTTAAGTTACAAAAATAATGTTTTTAATTCTCAACATACTTTTGTCTAATAGAGACAAGGAATGGGCTTAGCTGACTTCTCCCAGTAACTTTTGCTGGTTTATAGCTGAGCCACTAGAGAAGACCTTTTCGATAGAGTAATACAGACAAAAAAGTCAGTGAGCTATATCTGGTTCACATCAGTTTTGCAGAATCAAAGGTGACTCTCTTCATGGGAACAACCTCAAGTTTGTGTGTGCAACCACTTATAACTGATCTTGCTTTCTGTTCAACAAAGGGCAGAAGGTTTAATGTTTACAAATGGAAACATATTTTTCTAAATTGTGAAAATAACTTTCTTATACTTAAGAGTCCCTATAGTTTATTACATATATATGTACTTTCTCCTAAAAACCTTTCCTTAACTATGACTGTCTACATTGAAATCACTGTCATTTTTATATCGAACAAGTTGCTCACAAACATTGTGCCCCAAATAAGCTTTTCTATTAGTCTCCAAGACCTCCCTTTCTGTATTACCCCCAAAACATTTTCCTTTTCTTATGATCCTTCAGTCCTTCTAGAGTTGGCCAGGCAAAGGGCGTGTGGGAAGGACATTTCATGTGGAGGGATGAGGATGCTGAAAGCCTCAGAACTGAGAGAGAGCACAGCACATTCTTGGAGGATTGATGTGAATAGGGTTCAGGAAACGTTTCCAGAACATGTCCTTTTTAATTATGTAAAAATTATCTCTATGGTATTTAACTTGACCTGAAATTTTGACACAAGGGTCCCTTGCAAATAACCTGTTAATTTAATAGTACTACCATTATTGTCAGTCAGGAACCAAAGGAAAATAATTTTACCTTCCAAATTAACAACATTCCCAAACACCCACTTTTCCACCAAGAGCCATGTGGACAGTAGGACAGACAACACATCCTGTTTTTTAATATTGGCTGTTATTTCAAACATGCCACAAAAACTTCAATTAATTTGCAAGAAAAAGCCCTTTAGACTGTTTACAGAGAAAACAGCAATGTTTGGGGTCACTTTGAAAGTGGATTGGCCCATCTCCCCCAGAACCCAACATTCTAAAAGCATTTTTGTACTAGCAGCATTAATGGAAATGTGCTGTCCTCTGGGTTGTTACCATGGTTAACTGCAAATCCCACAAATGGTTTAAAAGAATCCCAAATATTTCTTTTTTTTATTTTTTAATTTAATTATTGTTATACTTTAAGTTTTAGGGTACATGTGCACAATGTGCAGGTTAATTACACATGTATACATGTGCCATGCTGGTGTGCTGCACCCATTAACTCATCATTTAGCATTAGGTACATCTCCTAATGCTATCCCTCACCCCTCCCCCAACCCCACAACAGTCCCCAGAGTGTGATGTTCCCCTTCCTGTGTCCACGTGTTCTCATTGTTAAATTCCCACCTATGAGTGAGAACATGCGGTGTTTGGTTTTTTGTTCTTGTGATAGTTTACTGAGAATCATGATTTCCAATTTCATCCATGTCCCTACAAAGGACATGAACTCATCATTTTTTATGGCTGCATAGTATTCCATGGTGTATATGTGCCACATTTTCTTAATCCAGTCTATCACTGTTGGACATTTGGGTTGGTTCCAAGTCTGTTATTGTTAATAGTGCCACAATAAACATACGTGTGCATGTGTCTTTATAGCAGCATGATTTATACTGCTTTGGGTATATACCCAGTAACAGCATGGCTGGGTCAAGTGGTATTTCTGGTTCTAGATCCCTGAGGAATTGCCACACTGACTTCTACAATGGTTGAACTAGTTTACAGTCACATCAACAGTGTAAAAGTGTTCCTATTTCTCCACATCCTCTCCAGCACCTGTTGTTTACTAACTTTTTAATGATTGCCATTCTAACTGGTGTGAGATGTTATCTCATTGTGGTTTTGATTTGCATTTCTCTGATGGCCAGTGATGGTGAGCATTTTTTCACGTGTTTTTGGCTGCATAAATGTCTTCTTTTGAGAAGTGTCTGTTCACGTCCTTTGCCCACTTTTTGATGGGGTTGTTTGTTTTTTTCTTGTAAATTTGTTTGAGTTCATTGTAGATTCTGGATATTAGCCCTTTGTCAGATGAGTAGGACGTGAAAATTTTCTCCCATTTTTCAGGTTGCCTGTTCACTCTAATGGTAGTTTCTTTTGCTGTGCAGCAGCTCTTTAGTTGAATTAGATCGCATTTGTCAATTTTGGCTTTTGTTGTCATTGCTTTTGCTGTTTTAGACATGAAGTCCTTGCCCATGCCTATCTCCTGAATGGTAATGCATAGGTTTTCTTCTAGGGTTTTTATGGTTTTAAGTCTAACATGTAAGTCTTTAATCCTCTTGAATTAATTTTTGTATAAGGTGTAAGGAAGGGATCCAGTTTCAGCTTTCTCCAGTTTTCCCAGCACCACTTATTAAATAGGGAATCCTTTCCCCATTTCTTCTTTTTGTCAGGTTTGTCAAAGATCAGATAGTTGTAGATAAGTGGTGTTATTTCTGAGGGCTCTGTTCTGTTCCATTGATGTATATCTCTGTTTTGGTACCAGTACCGTGCTGTTTTGGTTACTGTAGCCTTGCAGTATAGTTTGAAGTCAGGTAGCGTGATCCCTCCAGCTTTGTTCTTTTGGCTTAGGATTGACTTGGTGATGTGGGCTCTTTTTTGGTTCCATATGAACTGTAAAGTAGTTTTTTCCAATTCTGTGAAGAAAGTCATTATTAGCTTGATGGGGATGGCATTGAATCTATAAATTGCCTTGGGCAGTATGGCCATTTTCATGATATTGATTCTTCCTACCCATGAGCATGGAATGTTCTTCCATTTCTTTGTATCCTCTTTTATTTCATTGAGCAGTGGTTTGTAGTTCTCCTTGAAGAGGTCCTCCCAGTCCCTTGTAAGTTGGATTCCTAGATATTCTATTCTCTTTGAAGCAATTGTGAATGGGAATTCACTCATGATTTGGCTCTCTGTTTGTCTGTTACTGATGTATAAGAATGCTTGTGATTTTTGTACATTGATTTTGTATCCCGAGACTTTGCTGAAGTTGCTTATCAGCTTAAGGAGATTTTGGGTTGAGACAGTGGGGTTTTCTAGATATACAATCATGTCATCTGCAAACACGGACAATTTGACTTCCTCTTTTCCTAATTGAATACTCTTTATTTCCTTCTCCTGCCTGATTGCCCTGGCCAGAACTTCCAACACTATGTTGAATAGGAGTGGTGAGAGAGGGCATCCCTGTCTTTTGCCAGTTTTCAAAGGGAATGCTTCCAGTTTTTGCCCATTCAGTATGATATTGGCTGTGGTTTTGTCATAGATAGCTCTTATTATTTTGAGATACGTACCAGCAATACCTAATTTATTGAGAGTTTTTCGCATGAAGGGTTGTTGAATATTGTCAAAGACCTTTTCTGCCTCTATTGAGATAATCATGTGGTTTTTGTCTTTGGTTCTGTTTATATGCTGGACTACATTTATTGATTTGCATATGTTGAACCAGCCTTGCCTCCCAGGGATGAAGCCCACTTGATCATGGTGGATAAGCTTTTTGATGTGCTGCTGGATTTGGTTTGCCAGTATTTTATTGTGGATTTTTGCATCAATGTTCATCAAGGATACTCGTCTAAAATTCTCTTTTTTGGTTGTGTCTCTGCCCAGCTTTGGTATCAGGATGATGCTGGCCTCATAAAACGAGTTAGGGAGGATTCCTTCTTTTTCTATTGATTGGAATAGTTTCAGAAGGAATGGTACCAGTTCCTCCTTGTACCTCTGGTAGAATTTGGCTGTGAATCCACCTGGTCCTGGACTCTTTTTGGTTGGTAAGCTATTGATTATTTCCACAATTTCAGAGCCTGTTATTGGTCTATTCAGAGATTCAACTCCTTCCTGGTTTAGTCTTGGGAGGGTGTATTGGTCATGGAATTTATCCATTTATTCTAGATTTTCTAGTTTATTTGCATAGAGGTGTTTGTAGTATTCTCTGATGGTAGTTTTTATTTCTGTGGGATCAGTGGTGATATCCCCTTTATCATTTTTTATTGTGTCTATTTGATTTTCCTCTCTTTTCTTCTTTATTAGTCTTGCTAGTGGTCTATCAATTTTGTTGATACTTTCAAAAAACCAGCTCCCGGATTTATTAATTTTTGAAGGGTTTTTTTGTGTCTCTATTTCTTTCAGTTTGGCTCTGATTTTAGTTATTTCTTGCCTTCTGCTAGCTTTCAATATGTTTGGTCTTGCTTTTCTAGTTCTTTTAATTGTGATGTTAGGTTGTCAATTTTACACCTTTCCTGCTTTCTCTTGTGGGCATTTAGTGCTATAAATTTCCCTCTACACACTGCTTTGAATGTGTCCCAGAGATTCTGGTATGTTGTGTCTTTGCTCTTGTTGGTTTCAAAGAACATCTTTATTTCTGCCTTCATTTCGTTATGTACCCCGTAGTCATTCAGGAGCAGGTTGTCCAGTTTCCATGTAGTTGAGCAGTTTTGAGTGAGTTTCTTAATCCTGAGTTCTAGTTTTACTGCACTGTGGTCTCAGAGACAGTTTGTTATAATTTCTGTTCTTTTACATTTGCTGAGGAGAGCTTTACTTCCAACTATGTGGTCAATTTTGGAATAGGTGTGGTGCTGAAGAAAATGTATATTCTGTTGATTTGGGGTGAAGAGTTCTGTAGATGTCTATTAGGTCTGCTTGGTGCAGAGCTGAGTTCAATTCCTGGGTATCCTTGTTAATTTTCTGTCACGTTGATCTGTCTACTGTTGACAGTTGGGTGTAAAATCTCCCATTATTATTGTGTGGGAATCTAATTCTCTTTGTATGTCACTCAGGGCTTGCTTTATGAATCTGGGTGCTCCTGTATTGGGTACATATATATTTAGGATAGTTAGCTCTTCTTGTTGAATTGATCCCTTTACCATTATGTAATGGCCTTCTTTGTCTCTTTTGATTTCTGTTGGTTTAAAGTCTGTTTTATCAGAGACTAGGATTGCAACCCCTGCTGTTTTTTGTTTTACATTTGCTTGGTAGATCTTTCTCCATCCTTTTATTTTGAGCCTATATGTGTCTCTGCACATGAGATGGGTTTCCTGAATACAGCGTACTGATGGGTCTTGACTCTTTATCCAATTTGCAAGTCTGTGACTTTTAATTGGAGCATTTAGTCCATTTACATTTGAAGTTAATATTGTTATGTGTGAATCTGATCCTGTAATGATGTTAGCTGGTTATTTTGCAGGTTAGTTGATGCAGTTTCTTCCTAGCCTTGATGGTCTTTACAATTTGGCATGATTTTGCAGTGGCTGGTACCGGTTTTTCCTTTCCACATTTAGGGCTTCCTTCAGGACCTCTTTTAGGGCAGGCATGGTGGTGACAAAATCTCTCAGCATTTTCTTGTCTGTAAAGTATTTTATTTCTCCTTCACTTATGAAGCTTAGTTTGGCTGGATATGAAATCTGGGTTGAAAATTCTTTTCTTTAGGAATGTTGAATATTGGCCCCTACTTTCTTCTGGCTTATAGAGTTTCTGCCGAGAGATCCGCTGTTAGTCTGATGGGCTTTCCTTTGTGGGTAACCAGACCTTTCTCTCTGGCTGCCCTTAACATTTTTTCCTGGTGAATCTGACAATTATGTGTCTTGGAGTTGCTCTTCTCGAGGAGCATCTTTGTGGCATTCTCTGTATTTCCTGAATCTGAATGTTGGCCTGCCTTGCTAGATTGGGGAAGTTCTCCTGGATAATATCCTGCAGAGTGTTTTCCAACTTGGTTCCATTCTCCCCGTCACTTTCCGGTACACCAATCAGAGGTAGATTTGATCTTTTCACATAGTCCCATATTTCTTGCAGGCTCTGTTCATTTCTTTTATTCTTTTTTCTCTAAATTTCCCTTCTCACTTCATTTCATTCATTTCATCTTCCATCACTAATACCCTTTCTTCCAGTTGATCTCATTGGCTTCTGAGGCTTCTGCATTCTTCCTGTAGTTCTCGAGCCTTGGCTTTCAGCTCCATCAGCTCCTTTAAGCACTTCTCTGTATTGTTTATTCTAGTTATATATTCGTCTAAATTTTTTTCAGAGTTTTTAACTTCTTTGCCTTTGGTTTTAATTTCCTCCTGTAGCTGGGAGTAGTTTGATCATCTGAAGACTTCTTCTCTCAACTCGTCAAAGTTATTCTCCGTCCAGCTTTCTTCCATTGCTGGTGAGGAACTGCGTTCCTTTGGAGAAGAAGAGGTGCTCTGCAGAGTTTCCAGTTTTTCTGCTCTGGTTTTTCCCCACCTTTGTGGTTTTATCTACTTTTGGTCTTTGATGATGGTGATGTACAGATGGGTTTTTGGTGTGGATGTCCTTTCTGTTTGTTAGTTTTCCTTCTAACAGACAGGTCCCTCAGCTTCAGGTCTGTTGGAGTACCCTGCCGTGTGAGGTGTCAGTCTGCCCCTGCTTTGGGGTGCCTCCCAGTTAGGCTGCTCAGGGTCAGGGGTTAGGGACCCACTTGAGGAGGCAGTCTGCCCTTTCTCAGATCTCCAGCTGCATGCTGGGAGAACCACTGCTCTCTTCAAAGCTGTCAGACAGGGACATTGAAGTCTGCAGAGGTTACTGCTGTCTTTTTTTTTTGTCTGTTCCCTGTCCCCAGAGGTGAAGCCTACAGAGGCAAGCAGGCCTCCTTGAGCTGTGGTGGGCTCCACTCAGTTTGAACTTCCTGGCTGCTTTGTTTACCTAAGCAAGCCTGTGCAATGGCGGTCGCCCCTCCCCCAGCCTCGCTGCCACCTTGCAGTTTGATCTCAGACTGCTGTGCTAGCAATCGGTGAGATTCCGTGGGTGTAGGACCCTCCAAGCCATGTGCGGGATATAATTTCCTGGTGTGCCATTTTTTAAGCCTGTCAGAAAAGCACAGTATTAGGGTGGGAGTGACCCAATTTTCCAGGTGCTGTCTTTCACCTCTTTCTTTGACTAGGAAAGGGAACTGCCTGACACCTCACCCTGCTTTGGCTCACGCACGGTGCGCTGCACCCACTGTCCTGCACCCACTGTCTGGCACTCCCTAGTGAGATGAACCCAGTACCTCAGATGGAAATGCAGAAATCACACGTCTTCTGCGTCACTCACGCTGGGAGTTGTAGACCAGAGGTCTTCCTATTCAGCCATCTTGGCTGTCTCCTCTCCCAAATATTTCAATAGCTTAGACACCACCTAAAAGTTTAGCTCAATAGAGTAACTTTGTATTTTTTACGGCAGAAATGAGGCTTCCTTTGACACACCATATTTCTGCAACATTGTTAAAGGGTGGCTTTCTATAGCAGCATAATTTATGGCCTGCCTCTAGGAAGGACCACGTTTGGTGTAGGATATTAAAAACAAGAGTATCTTATTTTTAAGTAAGAAAAAACAATTATGATACTTGGAGTCTTATTTTGTTTTAATTAAATCCCCCTTTCCTGTAACCATGATCAATTTCAGTTATCCAGTACTGATCTTGGCCAAGACTGGAAGAGAGCTTGAGGCCAGAAGTTCAAGACTAGTCTGGGCAACATAGCAAGACCTCACCTCTAAAAAAAAAAAAAAAAAAAAAAGAAAGAAAGAAAGAAAGAAAGAAGGAAAGAAAGAAAGAAAGAAAGAAAGATGGCTGGGCATGGTGGCATGTACCTCTAGTCCCATGTACTTGGGAGGATGAGGCAGGAGGATCACTTGAGCCCAGAAGGTCGAGGCTTCAGTGACCTACGGTTGCATCACTGCACTCTAGCTTTGATGTCAGAGCAGGACCTTGTCTCTAAAAAAATTTTTTTTTAAATACTGATCTTAAGACAGCAATTTCATTTCCCATGTTCTTATATCATATAGCGAATTTTGTTGACAAATGAAAATAAAAAAAGCCAGATTCAAAAAGTGAAAGTCTAGTTTGTGTCCCAGAAAATGGGTATTCCATCTTGATTCTGGGGAGTCATTGAAAGACATTCTCCCCACTTGGGGAAGGAAGGAAATCCTCTGTCCCTTGTCTCTCCCCTTCAGATCACTTTTCACCATTGGGGGCTTTTCCTGGTCTAATTCTCTTGCCTGCCCACTTCCCCTCTTACTTCTTCCTTCCTTTCAACTTTATTTGGGATCTCATAAAGGACTGAGTCTTTCTTGAGAGGAATTTGAAAAGAACCAAGCACTATGACTGCCATTTCAGGATTGAAAAAGTATTTCAGGGCACACCCTGCATCTCCATAGAACTCTGCCTACCATGTTGCTTTCTCTTCCCCTCGTGGTTCATGTGAACGCTGGTTTGGGAAGGGAGCCAAGCCAGTCTTTTGTTCTTATTTTTAACTTATAATAACAACATATTTTCAGTCCACAGACTTCTGCAGATTGTGTGATTAATAATAAGGGTTGAGGCCAAAGAAGTGCTAACAACAAGGCTATAATTACATTATGAGTTTTTAGTGACAACAAAATAAACCATGGGAGAAAGCTCAAGGGACATAGGACATCTTAAGCACACTTACCCAAATTATATAGCCACGTCAAACTTCCAGTTTTTAAATGCCTTGTAACAAGAGATGATAGGGATGTAGTGTTTTTAATCAAAGAAAGAAAATCCTCAAGTTAAACCCTCACCCTTAAAAAATAATTGTATGCCCCTCATTTTGATGGCAACAACCTAATGGTATCCATGGCTTCAATTTCTCATGTAGCTGTTAACTGATGTTTAATGCAAAACACAATTTTACACTTTATTCATTTCTTTAAAATTCAAGCAATCTTATTTTGCTCATCACCAATTCCATGTGTTTTATTGTTTGCAATCTTGAAAGCTCCCCTTCTTAGCCTAGTTAGATACCTAGAACTAAAGCAAGTATATTTTCATTTGGGAATTATCTATTTCCTGGTTATTTAATGGTATTATTATTATTATATATGAATTAATTCATTCTGATGAAAAATTTTCTTTCATTGAAGTCTGTGAGATACCAGTTGCCTCATGCAATACAGTATTTTTTTTTAATCCAAATTGCTAAATGCCCTTCTTTTCAGCAGACCTGTATTTCATGAATAAATCATTCTCTTTGGTAAGGCAAAGGAAAATAAAATTGTGTTTTGGAGAAGCAATAGGAAGAATAAGAGTGTGAATGCCAGATCAGCCAGATTTCAATCCCATCAGTTCTTTCTTGTCCCATGACCTTGAGCAAATTACTTAACCTTTGTGTGCCTATATTTTCTCATCTGGTCAATGGGGACAACAGTAGTTCCAGCTCATGGTGCTCTTTGCACATGTAGTAAGATAATGCATGGACACAGGCATTATTGCACAAGGCACCCAGTTGGAGTTAGTCTTCTTTGTATTAATTACAGCTGGAGCCCTCTCATGCTCTTGTTGTTCAGAAGGACATTTGAGAACACAGGACTGATTCACCACTTGATGCCTGGCTGTTTATCCCTCAGGATCATTGATGGACATGATCTGATGCCCCTACTTGAAGGAAAATACCAGTACTCTGATCATGAGTTTCTCTTCCGTTACTGAAATGCCCACTTAAACGCTGGTGCCCTTGGAACAGTGAGTAAACTGACCTTTCCATGCTTCTCATGCTTCATGCAACCTATGCCATGGGAATACATAAAACTAAAATGCAGCTCTGCTTGATAGAGGCCAACAGGTTCCTCAGTGTGTGACCATACTTTGCTTTGTCCTGTTCTCCCTCTTCCTCCTCTCTTCTCCTTCTTGTTCAGGTATGATGATGTCAGGGGTGCTGTGTTATTCACCCACCTGAACGACACCCACAGCTCCTCTTTACCAGCAGAGGAAGTCCCAAGTTCTCAACAGGGTACTGTGGCTGGTCATTTATTGCATGCACAACTGCCCAGCCTCACTACCTGGCACTCCTCTCACGCTGAGGCCAGCAGCCCCTGTACTCTGTGCATTGCTGTGCTTATACTTGCAGGTTCTTCTCCTAGAAGGTCTCCTCACCTTGTCCTTCTTGGAGGGTCCTACTCAATGCCCCCCAGTCCCTGCTGAAATGCCTCCTCTGCCTGCCCTCAAAGCATTTCCCTCACTCTTTTAGCACAGCACTAAAAGCTTGAGAATGAATGAGTATATGGCATTTAAATGTTTACCTGACTGACTTTCGCAGCCTAAAGATGATGGATCATGACTCACTGCATCTGTATTTTGTGCATCATGCATATTTGCTATATTTAGATATTTAAAGCAAAGTTAAAATGTTCTTCAGTGCTATCACATTTCTTGAACTGGGAGTTTCTTTAATTGTGCAATCAAACAGGATCTCATGTTGCTTTTCTAATACTCGTTTTATAGTGGCTTTTCCAATTAGCAAACAGGAACAAATGGTTTATAATCTTAAGTGTGGTTATTCATTTCAGACCTTTCTTTCATATTTTTAAAACTTAGAATTACAGTAATATTCCTATCACTAAGATACCTGACAGTCGATGGAAAGTGGTGAGCAATTTACACAACTATCATATGTTCCAGAGGTACCTGTTGAGGTTGGAATTTCAGTTCCTTCTTTGGAGGTAAAATAAAATTCCCCTTTTCTCTAAGGGGCTTTGGAGCTCTGTTTCTCGAACCTAGGACTGACCCCCGATGGGGAGGGAATGTAATAACATCCTAGCTGCTAACTTCTTCTTAAACTCAGGATGATTCCATTCCATTTTCCAACAAATCTTTGTCTCTTCCTCAATCAGATAGCCAATTTAACCAAGACTAATTTAAGGAACAACCTCTTTTTTATTTATACAACCTTTTTATGAAGTTACACCCCTAATAAGGCGGTGAAATCACACCAGTTTTATGCTTCATAGTTTCTCCTTTAAGTCTGGGCAGTTTCCTCATGATATGTTCTAGAAGACAAAAAACAACAGAAACATGGGCTTGCGATTTTACTTCTGGAAGCATTTTATTCACATATCTCATCCATGTGGCCAGAATTCCTAGTTTCCATAAGCACACTGCTTCTTTTTTTAGATCAGTTTATAGCATCGACTTCTGAGCTTTGTAATAAATGAGAGCTCAAGGACTCTTAATTTCTTTTTATATGGCGCCAGCAAGGAATGTGAAGAACAAAGTCTCTGTGACTACTGCATGTCCGAATAAGACTGTATCATGTCCTGAACCTTGCAAAATTGTATTTTAATAGAGCCAAATCCCCAGTTAGAGAAGTTGGAAGGAACATATTGGATCAGAGGCTGGAGGAACACATTATGTGGAGGAGTAAAGAGAAAGGGGACAGGAAGAGATAGAAAATAGGAGTAAGAAAAACAAGACCCAGTTTCTCATATGCAACTGGTCCCAGGATAAAATTTGCTTCTTACGCACAAGTAACATTTCCTGTGAATGCTATTCGTTCAACTCTCCTGCCTTGAACAGGTAACAAAAGAAAAAAAAAGGAGAAATAAAAGTATCTCGGCTGGGCGCGGTGGCTCACGCCTGTAATCCCAGCACTTTGGGAGGCCGAGGCGGGCGGATCACGAGGTCAGCAGAGTTTGAGACCATCCTGGCTAACACGGTGAAACCCCGTCTCCGCTAAAAATACAAAAAATTAGCCGGGCGTGGTGGCGGGTGCCTGTAGTCCCAGCTACTCGGGAGGCTGAGGCAGGAGAATGGCGTGAACCCGGGAGGCGGAGCTTGCAGTAAGCCGAGATCCAGCCACTGCACTACAGCCTGGGTGACAGAGCGACACTCCGTCTCAAAAAAAAAAAAAAAAAAAAAAAGAAAAGTATCTCAAGGCTAGACTCAGTCATCAAGATAAAGAACGTCAAGAAAACCTGATGTTTATGAATCATTTATTATGTATTTTTCAGATGCTATTTGAAACTTGTAAACATGTTTGCTGTCTTTGGTTTCATGTATGGCTTCATGTTTACTCATTTCGTATTTTATCTATTCATTTTTCTCTAGAAATATGTATTGAGCCCGTACTGTGTGGAATGTACTGTGTTTGTGCTGACATCTGTCAGGAAGCAAAACAAAGTTCTCTACTGACGAGTACCTTACATTTTAGGGAATGAGGCACTGCTAGTTGTGCAATGTGCTGGAAATACAGGGATGCGTAAGGAAAATGTGACTATCATTCACTGGAGCTTTCTGTCACCTGGGGAAGACAGATGTTAAACTAGTACTAGTTGAGTGAGTCTCCATAGCTCATCTCAGGTGGACTTTGGTAACAGCTTGTCAATAATCACTAGCTTATGGAACACATTTCATAAATCTTAGGGATAAGAGGGGTTGTCACCTGACCTCAGAATACTTTATTAGAGAAGAAAAAGAAATGTAGGATTAGGGTTCAGTAGCAGGCAGTGGTATGTAGGAGTCAGCTTTTGATTTTTCAGGAATCTTGCCAGCTGCTTGTGAAATTATTGCTCATTTTCATTTGGCTCTGTTGGGGGTGTTTACAATATGGCAATTGGAAAACACAACAAATCCAGGCTGGCTTCCTCTCTCAGAGCCCTAGATTAACAACAGTTTGTTTGTATCAGTAGAACTGATTGCAAATATTTTTAAGATGCTCTTACTATTTATCTTGATTGCTTGGAAGACTAAATGTTATTCCAAACTCATGAAATACTGATTTTTAAAAATTCTAGAGCTAGGATGTAATTTCCACCCTTTAAAAACATGAATCACTTTTAAGTTTTGTATATAATATCTTCTCTATAATTTAGTTTTCTCAGCAAATTAAATGACAATTTAATTATGATCTGATATCATTATTCCTATTACATGTTAAAAGAACTCATGGAAAGCATGATTATAACATGGATAACTTTTCTCACGCCAAGTGGGAATTTTGAGTTAAAATTTACAATTCAATGGGTATGAAAAATCTTGACTTTAATGTTTGATATTATGAATTAATATTATTAAAATTAAACACAATGTCAACTTGATTTTATAGATGGAATTTATCTTAGAGGGTAGATGGATATTTGGCTCCAGAATTTTCAAGCTGATGACTGTAGTCTGTGAGATAAATACTCACATTAATGGAGAGTCCCCAAACCAGGTGGTCACACTAAAATCCATGGGATAGCTGTAGGTATATTCTATAATGCAATGCAACATAGTACACAATTAATAGCTTAAAGCATTTTGTACAGACATATATGGAACCTTAGTATCATGTGGAAAAAAAAGGTGACATTTATTTGAAATGTCACCCTTTAGTCAGGAAATGGGATCTCTATGAAGCTATCAAAATTAATGCAAAGGAACAAGGCACTCATACCATCCTTTCTCTGGGAGAAGGATGTAGACATCCTCACACTGAACTAGCAGAGTCTCATAAATCTTGCTCCATTTTCAATTCAAGTTTGTTGGAACCTTTTGTTTTCCTTTGATTAAAAAAATACCTTTATTTTAAAAATGACAACATGAGGAACATTTGAATGACTCTTTTTTAGCTATTGTGAGATATATAGTCAATTAATGTTAACTGGTGATAGATATCCCAGTTTCCCTGATTTGAGTATAAGAGTGTTTCAAATGGTCACAGGTACCTTGAAAATATATACATCAAATATGAATCAATAAAAAATAAGTAAATAAAATTATTACAGCAATATGATAATGAAATTTATTCTTAAGGAATGTGTTCTTATCCAACTTTCTGAAGGACACCTTTCTTTCAAAATAGGAGCTCAGTAATGGTTTAAAATGAAAACCAATGTTTCTATGGTAATGCAAAAAAATGCTTTCATTACTCACTGTCCAACATTTTCATTTAACTAAAAATTAATTTTGCCTCTAAAATATACCTAATAAAATAGAAGAGATTTTCATAACAGCCACATATGAGTTAACAGCTTCAGAATGCCAGCACTTGGCTTTTGCTTTCTTTAGTAATTTTGGTGAGTATTTGCCAGATGCCCTTCCTTGTCTGATCCTCAGAATTAGGATCTAAAGTGTCAGAAATAACACATTGAGAGCTGAAACTGACCTAATGTGAAATGGAGCATTGCCAAATTTAAGCTCACCAAATACAGTCCAGTGTTTCAGCTTACCTTATAAAAGGACATATTCTCATCCTAATCTGTAACTGTAGCAATTAAGAAAAAGCACATATATGTAAATCATTTCAAGGTTATCTTTTATGTCTCAAGTTTTTTTTTTTCTTTTCCTGTGAACACCTCAAATGCTGCATTGCCACAAGGTTTTAATAGTTCAGACATGTAGCCATTATTTCACTCATGTGCCTGTGAAGCTTAGTAACAAGGTGCAACATTTGTACTCATAATTGTAGCAGCACAGGATTATGGTGTCCTGGGATGAACAGAATTTGCTTCAGAGACCTAGAAGAAGTAGTAACTTAAGAAGTTAGAAGAGTTTCCTTAGACTTCTAATATTTTTATTGAATTTATTGCATATTGTTATGATCCAGACACATCAGTAACAGGCTTAACTTCCCCAAACATTCATTTCTTTTAGTGGTAAAAGAACACACATGAATAGATTTTGTGTTTTTCAACACAGTCTATTAAACTTATATTCTCTTATGGAACTTCATATTACCTTATAGACAGTATGAGACAGTATATGACATAAACTCACTTTTCCTCCAAAGTTGTAATCTGTTTAATCGAACAATACACTAATACTGTGGAAGAAACAGTCCTGGTCATTGCTTTTGATAATTTGCTACACTACAAACTTACCTCCTTATAGAGACAAAGTAAATCAAAATTGAATTTCTTTCTTGAATTCCAATAAATATATAAATAAATCCTACAAAAAAACTTGGTGTGTCTGAAAGTTCAAACGCCTTTTACCATCTAAGCTCGGCACCCAGCTAATTCTGATTTTTTTTGCAAGAGGTCACTTTGATCTCTTCTCCTTGCATTCTCTGTTCTACCATTTCATTGATTTTCTGCAGTATTTTGCATATCTCTTTTCTCTGACTTCAACATGGGGCATCTCTCAGTTATCCCGGAATGTCTGTTTATGTTTCTAACCCACTGCCAGATTTGCTTTTATATGCTGTCAGACCTGGTGTTTTCTACATAGACATTTTAGTTCTAACCAGGACATGGAATATTTAGCAGCTTTTTGCATCTTCCTTACTTTTGTATGTTCTATACAAAAAATGTTTTGTAGGTGGTTATAGACATTTGCCTTGTTAATCTCATAATCTTGAAATTTCTCATCTCTTTTATTGATTATTGTGCATCTTTTGGAGACATGCTTGACAACAGTAAACATTGATGTTTGTTGCATATTTACTGTCTGCTAGGCACTTTGTCGATGACTTTGCATTTGATATCTCATTTAATCCCCTGAATTAAAAGAGATAATGATAATGTTAGTTTCATGTTTGGTTTTAGTAGAAAACAAACAAAAAATAATAGTTTACATTAGAGAGAAGTTCATATCTCCATCTCACAGGTGAAGTCTAGGGCTGAATGGTCCACAAAGTCTCTTAGAATCACCTAAGTGGCTTCTCCACCTACTGTAGAATGCGGCAGTTTCATCTTCTTGGTGAATGATTGTCTCTACCCTAAGTGCATACAGTGGTGGAGTGGATGGGAAAGATGGGAAGAAAAAAGGCCACGGGTACTACTTCCCAAGGAAGATAGTCAGACTCTTCTCAGAGGCCGGAAGTTGGTCACCTGTTCACATCTAGCTTCACAGGATGCTGTGAAGGAGACTTTTGTTATGGGTGTCTATGTACCCAGAGGAACATTCAATGACTGTGGGAGGCTGCGGGAACAGCTAGCTGTCTGTCCTCCCAGTGTAAAACCCCATCTCTCATAAAAATACCAAAACTAGCCAGGTGCCTGTATTAAAGCTATTAATACAGGCAGGTGCCTGTAATCCCAGCTTCTCAGGAGGCTGTAACAGGACAATTGCTTGACCCTGGGTGGCAGAAGTTGTAGTAAGCCAAGATCGTGCCACTGTACTCCAGTCTGAGTGACAGAGCAAGATTCCATCTCAGAAAAAAAATCATTATTATATTTCTAGCATTACATACATGTTAAAAGTTAAGCAAATTGATTACTGAGGTATACGTAGGCATCACTTTACAAGGTCAGCAACCCTGCAGGAAAAGCAAAGTTGCAATCTACATATCATTGTTACTAAGGAGGTCTTTTTTTTTTTCCAATAAAGAAGCTCAGTTCTTAGAATTTTCTGAAGGCACACAATGAAGAATGGAGGGGAAAAAGCACACACCAAACAAATATTTCACTTATTGCAGGAATCTGATTGCATCCAGGGAAATGTTTACTTAGAATATGTTAATGCAAAGTTAAAATAAAATGTTCCTTGGCAATTAAAAATGCTGTGCACTAATACATGCTTTCTAATGTGATTCAATTCAACAATGTAGTGAATGCTTACTACATTTTCAGCTTGATGTCAAGCAATGGGGAATACAAGTTCCAGTTCTGCAAAGATTCATCAACTTTCTTAGCTCAAGAGAGAGGCTGAGAAATGCAGGGAGGAATAAGACATAAAATACCTCCAACCTCCATGATCCGAGAGTGGGGAAAGGCCTGATTATAACCCATCAGGCACACTTCCTAATGCCTTTTTAGGGCCTACAAAAATGTTTTAATTTCTTTTATAATCAGAAGAAGAGAAAATGAACATTGGGGATTGGAGATCATATTGTCATTTGGAGCAACATTGTCATAAAATGTAATGTTAATATGTTTTTATATAATATATTTTGATATTAAAATATATTAATATATTTTGCCTTTGTGACCCACGGAAGTCTTACTGGGCCCTGGGGACAGGACCCTATCCTGGTGAAGCAGCTGCTTTGCTCTACAAACACCTGGGGCAGAAATTTGGTTTGAGAAATATTGTTCTGTCTTTACTTTTCTTTCAATCAGATTCCTTAGGAAGACCAAGCCAGTGTCAGAACAAACCTCTGAAGCAGTAAGAAGCTGGAGTGACAAGAGCATACTATGCATACTAGGATCAGCTCTGGATTGACTGAGCAAATTTAATAAAATGTCAAAACATGTCCATAAAGGTGCTGCTGGTGCGTGCATGCCCATAGGGAGCTAATATGCTCAGGAAGAAAGGTGTTGATCCCATGGAGACTTTTAAAAGCTAAAGCCTTGTTGCCTTCTCTTTAGCGCCCAGAGAATGTGGTATGTGATGCGAATGCTCAAAACCTCTTAAATCATAGCTGTCTAACCTCTGTGTAACTCACCTCTATCCCAGGCTTCATGAACAAAGATTCACCACTTGACCAAATGTTAGCCAAGCTCCTCAACCTTTTCCCAGGCCCATCTGTGCACTTCCTTGTAAAATCCAATTTTAGCAAGAAGCTTGTTAGAAAAACATGATCGTCTCCATGTATAAATAATTTAATTTGAAACCTTGGATTCTCAAATCCTCAGTGAAGCAAATTTTATATCCCAAACCTCGATATAAAAGTGACTGTGTTTGCTTACATAGTAAGCTCCTCAGCCTCCTCTGCCCTCCAGGGGATGTGTGGTCACCTGGTCAGCCTTCTAGAATCCTGTTAGGTCAGTTCAGCTGTAATCCTGCTGGACTTTGGTGTTTCCTCTTGGTAGTTTCCATCCACTGATGGGCACCCTGCTCCCTGGCTATGAATCCCCACTTTCCCATGATGTATTAAGAGCTGAGCCCAATCTCTTCCCCCACTGTAAGCCCCCACTGCTGCAGTTGTCATGATGGTCCTGAATGAAGTCTTCCTTACTGTGTTTTAATAACTAGCACTGAATATTTTTTTCTTTAACATCATCCATGAGAACTTAAAACCTGCTGGGACGGCATAACTCTGTGGTGTCTTTAGAGCTCAGCTTTGTTTGTCCCTGAGCATTCTTGGTTTTCTGACACCGTGAACCTGTTTAATGTTGTGAGAGATCACTTGAGCCAATGTTACTTAATACCATCTCTTTGTGACTTTGAATAAGGTAATTGTAATGTACCAATATTTTACTTTGTCAAGTATTATCTTAATGGAAGCCTTCCCAATGAAGGAAACAACAGCTTTCCCAGTTAGAACGTAAGCAGTTTAAAAACTACCCAAGTCTTTCTGAAAAGGAAACATTCCCATGTAACTATCAGTTTTCTAAGAACTTCAAGGGCCTTTCATATAGAAGACATTCAAGTTCGGGGGTTCATTAGACAATGGTTCTACTTATTAAGTTCAAATCCTCTAAATGATTTTTCAGTAAGTTTATCTTCTTTTTTTTTTTTTTTTTTTTTTTGACAGAATCTCACTCTGTCACCCAGGCTGCAGTGCAATGGTGTGATCTCGGTTCACTGCAACTTCCACCTCTCTGATTCAAGAGATTCTCCCATCTCCGCCTCCTGAGTAGCTGGGACTACAGGTGTGCACCATGACTCCATGCACACTTTTGTATTTTCAGTAGAGATAGGGTTTCATCATGTTGGCCAGGCTGGTCTCAAACTCCTGACCTCAGGTGATCTGCTCGACTCAGCCACCCAAAGTGCTGGGATTACAGACATGAGCCACAGAACCTGACCATGATAAGTTTGTCTTACCTGGCAAATACATCACATCTTCAAAGTAGCAAATTGTACAATTTCTTATATATATTTTACATAGTAAGCAAACGCAATCACTTTTATATAGTGGTTTGGGATATAAAATTTGCTTTACTGAGCATATGAGAATCCAAGGTTTCAAATTAAATTATTTATACATAGAGATGATCATGTTTTTCTAAAGAAAATATTGTAAATGAGCATGTTTTTATAAATATGTGCTTTGAATTGCTAAAATTTATACAAATTTTACAATGTATACAAAAATAAATACATCAAAGTACTGTATTTACAAAGATACACATATTTTCCAGTGGCAACGCCCCAGTGGTGATTACATTTGGAATAGAAGCTATCTCATGAATCAAATATACAGATTTATCCCAGTGAGTTCTGAGCAAGATGATATTTTCCTATTTCTCTTATAGTAATGTTGGCACCATATGAACCACTTGGGCCTGACCATAACTTTCCGTGATAATCCACTATGATGGGGCTCCCCAGTCCCTACACCATAGACTCCTGCCAGTCTGTGGCCTGTTAGGAACTGGACCACTAAGTGGGAAATGAGCAGAGGGCAAGTGAGCAAAGCTTCACCTGTATTTACAGCTGTTCCCAATCACTCACATTACCACCTGCACTCAGCCTCCTGTCAGATGAACGACTGCATTAGATTCTCATAGGAACATGAAGCCTATTGTTACCTGCAAATATGAGGGAGCTAGGTTGTGCACTACTTATGAGAATCCAATGCCTAATAATCTGTCACTGTCTCCTATCACCCCCAGATGGGACTGACTAGATGCAGGAAAACTAGCTCAGGGCTGCCACTGATTCTACATTATGGTAAGTTGTATATTTATTTTATTATATATTACAATGTAATTACAAATGTAATGTGCTTGAATTAACCTGAAACCATCCCTCACCCCTACCACCCCTCGTTCATGGAAAAATTGTTTTCCATGAAATCAGTCCCTGTTGCCAAAAAATGTGGGGGCTGCTACTCTTTGGGTACTCTCTGCTTGTTGCCACTGAAAATCCAGATAAGAGATCAGAGGAAGAGGCCCTAATGAATGAATTGTGATATATTACTCCATTCTCATTCTGCTAATAAAGACATACTTGAGAAATTTATAAAGGAAAGAGGTTTAATTGATCAGTTTAGCATGGCTGCAGAGGCCTCAGGAAACTTACGATTATGGCAGAAGGAGAAGCAAACACATCCATCTTCACATGGCAGCAGGAAGGAGAAGTGCAGTGCAAAGGTGGGGAAAAGCCCACTGTAAAACCATCACATCTCATGAAAACTCACTCACTATCATGAGAACAGCAGGGGCATATCTGCCCCCATGATTCAATTACCTCCCACCAGGCCCCTCCCACAACATGGGGATTATGGGAACTACAATTCAAGATGAGATTTGGGTGGGAACACATCATTCTGCCCCTGGCACCTGACAAGTGTCATGTCCTTTCATTTCAAAACACAATCATGTCTTCCCAAAAGTCCTCCAAAGTCTTAACTAATTCCGGCATTAATTCAGAACTCCAAGTCCAAAGCCTCATATCAGACAAGACAAAGTCCTTCTGCCTATAAGCCCGTAATATTACTTTCTACATAAAATGGGGATACAGGGATTGGATAAATATACCCATTTCAAATGGGAGAAATTAGCCAAAATAAAGAGGCTACAGGCCCCATGCAAGTCCAAAATTCAGTAGGGCAGTAATTAAATCTTAAAATTCCAAAATAATCTCCTTTGACTCCATTGTCTCACATCTGGGTCACACCAATGCAAGATATCGGCTTCCATGATATTGAGCAGCTCCACCCTTGTGACTTTGCAGGGTACAGCCCCTGTCTTGGCTGCTTTCATACACTGGTGTGGAATGTCTATGGCTTTTCCAGGTGCATGGTGCAAGCTGCTAGTGGATGTACCATTCTGAGGTCTGGAGGATGGTTGCCTCTTTTCACAGCTCTACTAGGCAGTGTTCCAATGGGGACTCTGTTTGGGGGCTCCCACCCCACATTTCCCTTATGCACGACCCTAGCAGAGGTTCTCCATGAGGGCTTTGCTACTGCATCACACCTCTGCCTGGATATCCAGGGCTTTTCATACATCTTCTGAAATCTAGGTGGAGGTTCTGAAACCTCAATTCTTGCATTCTATTCACCTGCAGGACTGACACCACATGGAGGCTTGAGACTTACACCCTCTGAAGCCATGGCCCAAGCTGTACTTTTGCTCCTTTTTACCACAGTTGAAACAGCACAAGTTGGAACAAAGCACCAAGTCCAGAGGCAGCACAAAGCAGTGGGAAAAGCATTTTTTTCCTCCTATACCTCCAGACCTGTGATGGGAAGACTACCATCAAGGTTGCTGAGATGGCCTGGAGACATTTTCACCATTGGCTCCTCATTAATTTTGCAAATTTCATCAATGAGTTTGAATTTCTTCCCAGAAAATGGTTTTCTTTCTTTTCTACTGCATCATCAGGCTTCAAATTTTCTAAACTTTTATGCTCTGTTACTTCTCGAATACTTTGCTGCTTAGAAATTTCTTCTGCCAGATACCCTTAAATTTTCTCTCTTAATTTCAAAGTTCCAAAGATCTCTAGGGCAGGGGCAGAAAGCTGCCAGTCTCCTTGCTAAAGTACAGCAAGAGTCACCTTTACTCAAGTTCCCAACAAATTCTTCATCTCCATCTGAGACCACCTCAGCCTGAATATTATTGTCCATATTACTATCAGCATTTTGGTCAAAGCCATTCAGCAAGTCGCTAGGAGGCTCTAAACTTTCTCACATCTTCCTGTCTTCCAAACCCTCCAATTCTCTAGGCAGTTCCAAAGTTTCCCACATCTTCTTGTTTCCTTAGCCCTCCAAGTCTCTAGGAAGTTCCAAGGCTATCCCACATTTTTCTGTCTTCTTCTGAGCCCTGAAAACTGTTCCAACCTCTGCTTCTTACCCACTTCCAAAGTCACTTCCATATTTTTGGGTACCTTTACAGCAGCACCCCACTACCAGCTACTAATTTATTGTATTATTCAGTTCTCATGCTGATAATAAAGACATACCCAAGACAGGGTAATTTATAAAGGAAAGAAGTTTAATAGACTCACAGTTCCTTAAGGATGGGGAGGCTTCAGGAATCTTATGATCATGGCAGAATGGGAAGCAAACATGTCCTTCACATGGCAGCAACAAGGAGAAGTGCAGAGCAAAGGTAGGACAAAGCACCTTATAAAAACATAGATCTTGTGAGAACTCACTATAATGTGAGCAACGTGGAGATAAACACTCTCATAATTCAATTATTCCCACTGGGTCTCTTTCATGACATGTGGGAATTATGGGGACTACAATTCAATATGAGATTTGGATGGGGACACAGCAAAAACATATCACCATAAGAGGGCATAAGACAGCCTGGTTCCCTGTGTCACCACCAGGAGCAGCTCCAGAGAGTTGCCTGCTCAACAGGTGGCTGTAACCTGAATGAGAACTAAACTGTTTTTAAATATGAGGAACTGAGATTTGGAGGTTGTTAAGTATAACATCAGCAGGAGATAATTACCTTGACTAATACAAGAGGTCAGCCATACTAGATAAACCTAACATTTTATGATAATTCTTTGGATTTCAAAAAGATGCTTTGATTTACTGGTACTCTTTAAATGGAAGTTATGTGCATTATCTTTAAAGGCTATCAGCTATGTGAAAGTGATAATTGAATAAAATTAAAGATAAAAATATAGTGGAGTCTACTACCAATTGACCATGGCCCTGAATTGATTGTAAGTGATTCTGCTATTCCAGTATAAATGAGCGGAGAGGCAGAGTTGATTAATTTCCACAACAAATGTAATTATTACTTAAATGTTGAGGTTCTTTTTGAAACATTTCATTTTGCTTCACTGGATTCTATGAGAATAATAGATTTCAAAATATATTACACTTATTGGGGAATGATGTTATTTTTAGTGGCAGTTGCAACTTTAAAATTTTTCAATGAATATATATATTACATATTTCATAGTATTATAAATACATACATTTTTTAAGATGGAGTTTCACTCTTGTCACCCAGGCTGGAATCCCATGGCACAATCTTGGCTCACTGCAACCTCCTCCTCTTGAGTTCAAGTGATTCTCTTGCCTCAATCTCCCGAAGAGCTGGGTTTACAGGCACCCGCCACCATGCCCAGCTATACAGGCACACACCACCATGCCCAGGTTTTTTTTTTTTTTTTTTTTATTTTTAGTACAGTCAGGATTTCACCATGTGGGCCAGGCTGGTCTTGAACTTCTGACCTTAGGTGATCTGCCCACCTCGGCCTCCCAAAGTGCTGTGATTACAGGCATGAGCCACTGCACCCAGCCCCAGTGGATATATTTTTTGTAATGTATTATTGAATTCCCTATAAACTTTGTCACGTTGAAATACTTTTTAAAATACTTCCCGTGCCTACATAGTAGTTCAGTAAATGCAATATTTTAGTTTCGTTAATGACATCTTGGTCTTAGGAAAAGATGAAACAATGACATAATATTTTAAGCCAAGCTATTTCTGCAATCTTTGAAATAATACCATTGAACTTGTGTTTAATATTTCCAATTAGTTCATGTGATTCTTGCATTTTGTGCTTTTTCTTCATGTGAATTAATAATTCCAATAATTAATTGGAATTATTTCCAATTAATTTATGTGATTCTTGCATTTTCTTTCAAAGTCAGATGGTTAACTATGTCATTAATGCAAAGTGTAGGCTCTGTGTTGAAATCTGAAGACACTCTGCAGCAAGGTTTGCACATACTCTTGTCTACTGCCTCAGGCTGATGTGTGTGAAAGTCAGAAGTTCTATAGGAAGAAGCTGGAAAAATTCAAAGCTTGAAATAATTCAGGAAAGGGCACTGGTGGCATTTTATCTACAAGGGCAGTGCATCTGGTCTGTAACTGCTAAGAGAAAGCCGGATCAAACAGTCCATCCATTAGAGCTTGTATCAAGGTGAGCTGTTCACATTGTTACATCAGGGGCAGAGACAAAGAGAGCTCTGTAGCATATCCCATTGCACTGAAGGGGAGTAGAGGGCAGCATCTTGGGGCCACATGCAGGTGCTACAGGTGGGGATGTGGGATGGTGTTTGGTAAGTTACATGGATCCCAGACATGATTCTAAGTGCTTTAATATATACATCTATTTAATCTTCACTGCACATCTGCCAGATAGCTGTTATTATTTTCCTGTTACACATGAGGACCCAGGCAAAAAACTACATAAATTGCTTTATGGTTTGATTTATGGAATGATCTTTTGGTTAATATCAAAAGAAATGGATAGATTCATGACCTTCATATATGACTGTGAATGCTATGTACTGCACAACTCCAGAGGCAGCATTAACATAATCCACAGTGGGAAGAACATTTTCTAAATTTGTGCAGTGCACAACCTGTGTCACCATATGTATCAATATCCATTAGATAATCTTGTTGCAAAAATAGATGCCTATGTAAGTTGGACACAACTGACTACCATAGTTTGTATAGCAAAGGACACAGGAGTATGCTGTGTAAAACCCATGGATAAGTCTGTGAGTTAGTATATCAACATAAGACATTCTGAGTGGAAAAAGCAATCCAAGTGTACTGCTCATTAAAATAGAGCTCATATTAACAAAGAGTTGATATATTACATTAAGAAAAAATGCACAAGATTTTGTTGGTTTACTTTTCTCTGGGCATTACCATGCTGTCTGCTAAAGATTTCCAGCTCACTCTGCTGCTCAGGCACATGATAGGGCTGAACTCTGGCCTTTAGTGAACAGTAAGGAGAGATGTCACAGTCTATTTCAGAGCTACGACATCTGTTGCCAGCACTTTCTTAAAATCCCACACAGAGGCTGGTCCCTCAGGGTGGTCTCTGAATTAAGATGACACCAAACAGAGTTCCAGATAACTCAAGAGGAATACACAGTGTGAGCAAGAAAGAAAGCTTTGTTTCTGAAGCCACTGAAACTTGGATATTGTCCATGTAGTCTAGATACATTCATCCTGAGCAACTTAGGTTACCATCCTGTTTCTGCAAAGGAATGAGTTTCGTTTTGCAAAATATTTCATTTCCTATTTTTATCCCTTAGGGAGTTTATAGCTAAGGAATGCTGGGATATTTTGGACCATGAAATATCTGAGGCTTAAACTGACTTAGAAAGATAATTTAGACAGAAGAAAGGAAAAATGAGGATGGCTTCCAGCCAGGTAAAAACAAAACCAAATGAAACTAATGTTGAGATTCACTGTATCTTCAAAAGTATACACATTTACTAACTTTTACAGAGTGAATATTAGGGAAGTTGATGGCACTTCATTTGGTAACATATTAAGCCACATGAAAATTTAATGATTGTACAACTTCAAATCCCTTTGTTTTAACAAGTATAGCAAGACCTGCCTTTTAATGTCACTTATGTGTTTAAAATGTTTAATCCTACTTAATTGTATGTTAATTATTTGACAATTCTTTTAAAGTAAAAAGACTACCTAGTAGTAACAATAATATTCATGTGCATGCTACTTATTAGTGCTTTGAATACAACTAAATGGTCTTTTGACCCTTTCTTGTTTAAATTGTTTGCCTTTTTTAATCTCAATCATGCTAAGTGAATTCTGCTGTTTAAAAATTATATAGTGCTATTATCTTTCTTTTTTTATTATATTTTAAGTTTTAGTGTACATGTGCACAATGTGCAGGTTAGTTATGTATGTATACATGTGCCATGTTATTGTGCTGCACCCATTAGCTCATCATTTAACATTAGGTATATCTCCTAATGCTATCCCTCCCCCCTCCCCCCACCCCACAACAGGCCTCAGTGTGTGATGCTCCCCTTCCTGTGTCCATGTGTTCTCATTCTTCAATTCCTACCTATGAGTGAGAACATGCGGTGTTTGTTTTTTTATAGTGCTATTATTTTTCAAGACAATGTTTTAAGGGTAATTTATGTAAGCAAAAATATTTAAAATTGTATTGTATTATTCCATCACACCAAGACAATGTTAAAGCATTTCCAGGGCTATAATGGTTTCTTTCATGTAGAGTTCATTAAATTCAACAATGATGACCCTTAGAAGAGAGCTACCAACCCCAAATGAGACAAGGACTTCGGTGTAAATATGGGAGAAGGGAATGGCAAGGCAAGAGAAAGGTGAGTAGGAGACATAGAGGCAAACCTTAGTTATCCCATGTCTGTTTACGGTGCAGTTTTCTTAAAGGTGTGAAATAGAGGGCGAGAGAACCAACATGCTATCAGTCTCAGGGTGACAGTTACCCTGTAATAGTCTATCTTCAATTATCTTAGATAGTGCTTGAATGATTCCATTCTAATGACTATTTAATCTCCAGGGCAGAGAAAAGAACCAGAATTTCATATCCTCACCCCTCACTGTCTTGTATGTCTAAAATATGCAGCGGTCTAATGTCACCTAATCACTTACCATGGCATGAAAAAATACATATTTCTCTGCAGAAGATCATTTCAGTGCTTCCCTGCTCCACAGAAGCTTTCTAAGAATAAGATAAATCCCTTTTGGAGATGCAGACATTTATTCTAGGAAATGACAGTGCTCTTGAATTATCTTTCAATGGGATCTGGCAAGAGAAAGGTGAGTAGGAGACATAGAGGCAAGACATAGCTGTCCCTAAAAGCTAAATGGCTTGATTTCCTTTCTAGAATTTAATGGCAATGACAAATCTATTTTTTGCTTCAGCCCAGGCAGCTATGTTAATGGGTACTCTGTGAGTGACAAAGACACTTAGCACTACCCATCCATTTTCAAACCTTTAGTAAGCAGCCTGGAGTTAGATCTGTCCACTTTCCTTCTGTTGTACATCAAGACTAACCTCAATGGCTAAGCTTCCAATCTCACCCTTTTGCATTATAACTGTAGAAAAATGCATACAATGGAAGAAAAAAGATTACACTCTGTGAATTCACATTGCCCTACATCTCCAACTTTGACGATTAAGATTCAACACAAAATAATTCAGTTCTGGGGGATCTGGCAAGATGGACAAATAGGAACAGCTCCAGTCTGCAGCTCCCAGTGAGATCAATGAAGAAGGTGGGTTATTTCCACAATTCCAACTGAGGTACTTGGTTCATCTCACTGGGACTGGTTACACAGTGGATGCAGCCCATGGAGGGTGAGCAGAAGCAGGATGGGGTGTCGCCTCTCCCAGGAAGTGCAAGGAGTGTGGGGAACTCCCTTTCCCAGCAATGGGAAGCCATGAGGGACTGTGCTATCCAGCCCAGATTCTAAGCTTTTCCCATGGTTTTTACAACCAGAAGATCACGAGAGTCCCTCGTGTGCCTACATCACCAGGGCCCTTGGTTTGAAGAACGAAACTAGGTGCGTTTGGACGCACACCAAGCTAGCTACAGGAGTTTTTTTCCATACACCAGTGGCATCTGCAACCCCAGCAAGACAGAACAATTCACTCCACTGGAAAGAGGACTGAAACCGAAGAACCAAGTGGTCTTGTTCAGCAGATCCCACTCCCACAGAGCCCAGCAAGCTAAGAACCACTGGCTTGAAATTCTTGCTACTGGGGGTGGAGCCAAGATGACCAAACAGGAACAGCTCCAGTCTACAGCTCCTAGCATGAGTTATGCAGAAGACAAGCAATTTCTGCATTTCCAACTGAGGTAATGGGCTCATCTCACTGGGGAGTGACGGACACAGTGGGTGCATCACACTGTGTGTGAGCCAAAGCAAGGCAAGGCATTGCCTCCCTGGGAAGTGCAAGGGATCAGGGAATTCCCTTTCCTGGCCAAAGAAAGGGGTGAGAGAAGGCACATGGGAAATCAATTCACTCCCACCCTAATATGGCCCTTTTCCAATGGTCTCAGCACATGGCACACCAGGAGATTATATCCCACACATGGCTTGGAGCATCCTACACCCATGGAGCCTCACTCATTGCTACCACAGCAGTCTGAGATCAAACTGCAAGGCTGCAGCGAGTCTGAAGAAGGGGCGCCCACCATTACTGAGGCTTGAGTAGGTAAAGCAGCTGGGAAGCTCAAACTGGGTGGAGCCCACTGCAGCTCAAGGAGGCCTGCCTGCCTCTGTAAACTCCACCTCTGGGGGCAGGGCATAGCCAAACAAAAGGCAGCAGAAACCTCTGCAGACATAATTGTCCCTATCTGACAGCTTTGAAGAGAGTGGTGGTTCTTCCAGCCTGCAGCTGGAGATCTGAGAACAGACAGACTGCCTCCTCAAGTGGGACTCTGACCCTAAGTAGTCTAACTGGGAGGTACCCCCCAGTAGGGGCAGACTGACACCTCACACGGCCGTGTACTCCTCTGAGACAAAACTTCCAGAGGAATGATTAGGCAGCAACATTTGCTGTTCACCAATATCCACTGTTCTGCAGCCTCCACTGCTGATACCCAGGCAAACAGGGTCTGGAGTGGACCTCCAGCAAATTCCAACAGACCTGCAGCTGAGGGTCCTGACTGTTAGAAGGAAAACTAACAAACAGAAAGGACGTCCACACCAAACTCCCATCTGTACATCACCATCATCAAAGAAAAAAGGTACATAAAACCACAAAGATCGGGAAAAAACAGAGCAGAAAAACGAAAACTCTAAAAATCAGAGCACCTCTCCCTCTCCAAAGGAACGCAGTTCCTCACCAGCAATGCAACAAAGCTGGATGGAGAATGACTTTGATGAGTTGAGAGAAGAAGGCTTCAGATGATCAAACTACTCCGAGCTAAAGGACGAAGTTCAAACCCATGGCAAATAAGTTAAAAACATTGAAAAAAAATTACATGAATGGCTAACTAGAATAATCAATGCAGTGAAGTCCTTTTAAAGGACCTGATGGAGCTGAAAATCAGGGCACAAGAACTACGTTACGATTGCACAAGCCTCAGTAGCCAATTCAATCAAATGGAAGAAAGGGTATCAGTGATGGAAGATCAAATGAATGAAATAAAGCAGGAAGAGAAGTTTACAGAAAAAAATAAAAAGAAATGAACAAAGCCTCCAAGAAATATGGGACATGTGAAAAGACCAAATCTACATCTGATTGGTGTACCTGAAAGTGATGAGGAGAATGGAATCAAGTTGGAAAACACTCTGCAGGATATTATCCAGGAGAACTTCCCCAACCTAGCAAGGCAGGCCAACATTCAAATTCAGGAAATACAGGGAACACCACAAAGATACTCCTCAAGAAGAGCAACTCCAAGACACATAATCGTCAGATTCACCAAAGTGGAAATGAAGGAAAAAATGTTAAGAGCCGCCAGAGAGAAAGGTCTGGTTACCCACAAAGGGAAGCCCATCAGACTAACAGCTGATCTCCTGGCAGAAACTCTGCAAGCCAGAGAGAGTGGGGGCCAATATTCAACATTCTTAAAGAAAATAATTTTCAACCCAGAATTTCATATCCATCCAAATTAAGCTTCATAAGTGAAGGAGAAATAAAATACTTTACAGACAAGCAAATGCTGAGAGATTTTGTCACCACCAGGCCTGACCTAAAAGAGCTCCTGAAGGAAGCACTAAACATGGAAAGGAACAACTGGTTAACACCCACTGCAAAAACATGCCCAATTGTAAATACCGTCGAGGCTAGGAAGAAACTGCATCAACTAATGAGCAAAATAACCAGCTAACATCATAATGACAGGATCAAATTCATACATAACAATATTAACCTTAAATATAAATGGGCTAAGTGCTCCAAATAAAAGACTCAGACTAGCAAATTGGATAAAGAGTCAAGATCCATCAGTGTGCTGTATTTAGGAAACCCATCTCACCTGCAGAGACACACATAGGCTCAAAATAAAGGGATGGAGGAAGATCTACCAAGCAAATGGAAAACAAAAAAAGGCAAGGGTTGCAATCCTAGTCTCTGATAAAACAGGCTTTAAACCAACAAAGATCAAAAGAGACAAAGGAGGCCCTTACATAATGGTAAAGGCATCAAATCAATACAAGAAAAAGAGCTAACTACCCTAAATATATATGCACCCAATACAGGAGCACTCAGATTCATAAAGCAAGTCCTTAGAGACCTACAAATACACTTAGTCTCCACAATAATAATGGGAGACTTTAACACCCCACTGTCAACATTAGACAGATCAATGAGACAGAAAGTTAACAAGGATATCCAGGAACTGAACTCAGCTCTGCACCAAGTAGACCTAATAGACATCTACAGAACTGTCCACCCCAAATCAACAGAATATACATTCTTTTCAACACTACACCACACCTATTCCAAAGTTGACCACATAGTTGGAAGTAAAGCACTCCTTAGCAAATTTAAAAGAACAGAAATTATAACAAACTGTCTCTGAGACCACAGTGCAATCAAACTAGAACTCAGGATTAAGAAACTCACTCAAAAGCACTGAACTACATGGAAACTGATCAACCTGCTCCTGAATGACTATTGGGTACATAATGAAATGAAGGCAGAAATAAAGATGTTCTTTGAAATGAATGAGAACAAAGACACAACATGCCAGAATCTCTGGGACACATTCAAAGCAGTGCGTAGAGGGAAATTTATAGCACTAAATGCCCACAAGAGAAAGCAGGAAAGATCTAAAGTGGACACCCTAACATCGCAATTAAAAGAACTAGAGAAGCAAGAGCAAACACATTCAAAAGCTAGCAGAAGGCAAGAAATAACTAAGATCCCAGCAGAACTGAAGGAAATAGAGACACACAAAAACCTTCAAAAAATCAATGAATCCAGGAGCTGTTTTTTTGAAAAGATCAACAAAATTGATAGACAGCTAGCAAGACTAATAAAGAAGAAAAGAGGGAAGAATCAAACAGATGCAATAAAAAATGATAAAGGGGATATCACCACCGATCCCACAGAAATACAAACTACCATCAGAGAATACTATAAACACCTCTATGCAAATAAACTAGAAAATCTAGAAGAAATGCATAAATTCTTCACCCAAGAATCTCCCAAGTCTCTCCCAAGACTAAACAAGGAAGAAGTTGAATCTCTGAATAGACCAATAACAGACTCGGAAATTGAGGCAATAATTCATAGCTTTCCAAACAAAAAAGGTCCAGGACCAGATGAATTCACAGCCGTATTCAAACAGAGGTACAAGGAGGAGCTGGTACCAATCATTCTGAAGTTATTCTAAGCAATTAAAAAGAGGGAATCCTCCCTAACTCATTTTATGAGGCCAGTGTCATCCTGATACCAAAGCCTGGCAGAGACACAACAAAAAAAAAAAGAGAATTTTAGACCAATATCCCTGATAAACATCGATGCAAAAATCCTCAATAAAATACTGGCAAACCAAATCCAGCAGCAAATCAAAAAGCTTGTCCACCATGATCAAGTGGGCTTCATCCCTGGGATGCAAGGCTGGTTCAACATATGCAAATCAATAAATGTAATAAAGCAGATAAACAGAACCAATGACAAAAACCATATGATTATCTCAATAGATGCAGAAAAGGCCTTTGACAAAATTCAACAATGCTTCATGCTAAGAACTCTCAATAAATTAGGTATTGATGGGACCAATCTCAAAATAATAAGAGCTAGCTATGACAAACCCACAGCCAATATCATACTGAATGGGCAAAAACTGGAAGTATTCCCTTTGAAAACTGGCACAAGACAGGGTTGTCCTCTCTCACCACTCCTACTCAACATAGTGTTGGAAGTTCTGGCCAGGGCAATTAGGCAGGAGAAGGAAATAAATAGTATTCCATTAGGAAAAGAGGAAGTGAAATTGTCCCTGTTTGCAGATGAAATGATTGTATATCTAGAAAACCCCATCATCTCAGCCCAAAATCTGCTTAAGCTGATAGGTAACTTCAACAAGGGCTCAGAATACAAAATCAATGTACAAAAATCACAAGCATTCTTATACACCAGTAACAGACAAATAGAGAGCCAAATCATGAGTGAACTCACATTCACAATTGCTTCAAAGAGAATAAAATACCTAGGAATCCAACTTACAAGGGACTTGAAGGACCTCTTCAAGGAGAACTACAAACACACTGCTCAATGAAACAAAAGAGGATACAAACAAATGGAATAACATTCCATGATCATGAGTAGGAAGAATCAATATCATGAAAATGGCCTTACAGCCCCAGGTAATTTACAGATTCAATGCCATCCCCATCAAGCTACCAATGACTTTATTCACATAATTGGAAAACACTGCTTTAAAGTTCATATGGAACCACTAAAGAGCCCACATTGCCAAGTCAATCCTAAGCCAAAAGAACAAAGCTGGAGGCATCACACTACCTGACTTCAAACTATACTACAAGGCTACAGTAACCAAAACAGCATGATACTGGTACCAAAACAGAGATATAAACCAATGGAACAGAACAGAGCCCTCAGAAATAATGCCATGTATCTACAACTATCTGATCTTTGATGAACCTGGCAAAAACAATAGGGAAAGGATTCCCTATTTAATAAATGCTGCTGAGAAAACTGGCTAGCCATATGTAGAAAGCTAAAACTGGATCCCTTCCTTACATCTTATACAAAAATTAATTCAAGATGGATTAAAGACTTAAATATTGGACCTAAAACCATAAAAACCCTAGAAGAAAACCTAGGCATTACCATTCAGGACATAGGCATGGGCAAGGACTTCATGTCTAAAACACCAAAAGCAATGGCAACAAAAGCCAAAATTGACAAATGGGATGTAATTAAACTAAAGGGCTTCTGCGCAGCAGAAGAAACTACCATCAGAGTGAACAGGCAACCTACAGAATGGGAGAAAATTTTTTCAATCTACTCATCTGACAAAGGGCTAATATCCAGAATCTACAATGAACTCAAACAAATTTACAAGAATAAAACAAACAATCCCATCAAAAACTGGGCGAAGGATAGGAATAGATACTTCTCAAAAGAAGACATTTATGCAGCCAAAAAACACATGAAAAAATGCTCATCATCACTGGCCATCAGAGAAATGCAAATCAAAACCACAATGAGATACCATCTCACAACAGTTAGAATGGCGATCATTAAAAAGTCAGGAAACAACACGCGCTGGAGAGGATGTGGAGAAATAGAAACACTTTTACACTATTGGTGGACTGTAAACTAGCTCAACCACTGGGGAAGTCGGTGTGGCGATTCCTCAGGGATCTAGAACTAGGCATACCATTTGACCCAGCCATCCCATTACTGAGTATATACTCAAAGGATTAAAAATCATGCTGCTGTAAAGAAAGATGCACATGTATGTTTATTGCGGCACTATTCACAATAGCAAAGACCTGGAACCAAGTCAAATGTCCAACAATGATAGACTGGATTAAGAAAATGTGGCACATATACACCGTGGAATGCTATGGAGTCATAAAAAATGATGAGTTCATGCCCTTTGTAGGGACATGGATGAAGCGGAAACCATCATTCTCAGCAAACTATCGCAAGGACAAAAAACCAAACATCGCATATTCTCACTCCTAGGTGGGAATTGAACAATGAGAACACATGGACACAGGAAGGGGAACATCACACACTAGGGCCTGTTGCAGGGTGCAGGGAGTGGGGAGGGATAGCATTAGGAGATATACCTAAGGTTAAATGACGAGTTAATGGGTGCAGCACACCAATATGGCCCGTGTATATGTACAAAAATCCTGCATGTTTTGTACATTTACCCTAAAACTTAAAGTATATTAAATATATATATCTATATATTGCAACCAGCACAACAGTCTGAAGTCCAGATGGGACTATCATGCTTCGTGCAGGGAGGGGTATCCACCACTACTTAGGATTCAGTAGGTGGTTTTTCCCTCATAGTGTTAAGGAAGGTGCAAGAAAGTTCAGCCTGGGTGGAACTCACTGCAGCACAGCAAAGTGGCTATGGCCGGAGTGCCTCTCTAGATTTCTCCTCACTAGGTGGGACATCTCTGGAAAAAATGCAGCAGCCCCAGTCAGGTGCTTATAGATAAAATCCTATCTCCTTGGGACAGAGAATCTGGAGGAAGGTGTGACTGTGGGCACATCTTCAGCAAACTTAAAAGGTTGATGCCTGCAGGCTCTGAAGAGAGTAGCAGATCTACCTGCACAGCACTTGAGTTCTACTGAGGGACAAAGTGCCTCTTCAAGTTGGTCCCTGACCCCCGTGCCTCCTGACTGGGAGACATCTCACAGGGGAAGTCAACAGACACCTTATACAGGAGAGCTCTGGCTGGCATCTGATGGATGCCCCTTTGGGGTGAAGAGTCCAGAGGAAGGAGCAGGCAGCAATCTTTGTTGTTCTACAGCCTCTGCTGGTGATACCCATGCAAACGGGGTTTGGAGTGGACCTCCAGCAGACTTGCAGAAGAGGGACCTGACTGTTATAAAGAAAACTAAAATTCAAAGCAATCACAACAACATCAAGAGAAAGGACGTCCCCACAAAAACCACATCCAAAGGTCATCAGCATCAAATATCAGAGGTGGCTAAATCCATGAAGATGAGGAAAAACCAGTGCAAAGTGCTGAAAATTCTAAAAACCAGAATGCCTCTTCTGCAAATGATCACAACCCCTCTTCAGCAATGGCACAAAACTGCATGGAGAATGAGCTTCAGGGATTGACAGAAGTTGGCTTCAGATGTTGGATAATGATAAACTCTGCTGTACTAAAGGAGCATGTTCTAACCCAATGAAAGGAAACTAAGAACCTTGATAAAAGGTTAAAGGAACTGCTAACTAAAACAGCCAGTTTAGAGAAGAACATAAATTACCTGATGAAGCTGAAAAACACACAATGAGAACTTCATGAACCATACACAAGTATCAATAACTGAATCAATCAAGTGGAAGAAAGGATATCAGAGATTGAAGATCAACTTAATGAAACAAAGGGTGAAGACATGTTTAGAGAAAAAACAAAGAAATATGAGACTATGGTAAAGACCAAACCTACAATTGATTGGTGTACCTGAAAGTGACCAGGAGATTTCCCAAGCTGGAAAACACACTTCAGGATATTATCCAGGAGAACTTCCAAAACCTAGCAGGGAAAACCCAACATTCAAATTCAGGAAACACAGAGAACACCACTAAGATGCTTCATGAGAAGAGCAACCCCAAGACATGTAATTGTCAGATTCTCCAAGAATGAAATGAAGGAAAAAAATATTAAGGGCAGCCAGAGAGAAAGGTCAGGTTACCATAAAGAGAAGCCCATCAGAATAACTGTGAATTTCTCTGCAGGAACCCTACAAGCCAGAAAAGAGTAGGGGCCAATATTCAGCATTCTTAAAGAAAACAATTTTCAACCCAAAATTTCATATCCAGCCAAATTAAGCCTCATAAGTGAAGGAGAAACAAAATCCTTTCTAGACAAGCAAATGCTGAGGGATTTTTTCACCACCAGGCCTACCTTACAAGAGCTCCTGAAGGAACCACCAAATATGGAAAGGAAAAACCAGTACCAGCCACTGCAAAAACATACCGAAATATAAACAGCAAAGACACTATGAAGAAACTGCAACAACTAATGTCCGAAATCTAAACAGCAATGACACTATGAAGAAATAGCATCAACTAATGTCCAAAATAATCAGCTAGCATCATGATGACAGGATCAAATTCACACATAACAATATTAACCTTAAATGTCAATGGGCTAAATGCCCCAATTAAAAGACACATACTGGCAACTTTTTTTTAAAAAAGTCGAGATGAATTGGTGTTCTGTAATTTGGAGACCCATCTCATCTGGAAAGATGTAGATAGGCTCAAAATAAAGGGATGCAAGAGTATTTACCAAGAAAATGGAAAGGCAAAAAAAAAAAAAAAAAAAAAAAAAAAAAAAAAAATCAGACGTTGCAAACCTCATCTCTGATAAAACAGAGTTTAAAGTAAAAAGATCGAAAAAGACAAAGAAGGGCATCACATAATGGTGAAGAGATCGATGCACCAAGAAGAGCTAACTATTCTAAATATATATGCATGCAATACAGGAGCACCCAAATTCATAAAACAAGTTTTTAGAGACCTACAAAGAGACTTAGACTCCCATATAATAATAGCGGAAGACTTTAACACCCCATTGTCAATATTAGACAGATCAAAGAGACAGAAAATTAACAAGGATATTCAGGACTTGCATTCAGTTCTGACCTAGTGGACCTAATAGACATTTACAGAACTCTCCACGCGAAATGAACAGAATATACATTCTTCTTAGTACCATATCGCACTTATTCTAAAATCAACCACATAATAGGAAGTAAAACATTCTTTGGCAAATTCAGAATGCAAAGCATAACAAATAGTGACTCAAACCACATAACTGAAGCAGATAGAGACCAAAAATCCCTTAAAAAGATCAATGAATCCAGAAGCTGGTTTTTTGAAAAGATGAACTAAATAGATAGAATGCTAGCTAGACTAATAAAAAAGAAAAGAGGGAAGAGTCAAATATACACACTAAAAAATGATGAAGGGATATCACTACTTATCTCCCAGAAATACAAACTACCATCAGATTGTACTATAAACACCTCCATGCAAATGAACTAGAAAATCTGGAAGACATTGATGAATTTCTGTACACATACACCCTCCCAGGAAGAAGTGGAATCCCTGAATAGACCCATAACAAGTTCTGAAATTGAGACAGCAATTAATAGCTTACCAACCAAAAAAAGACCAGGTCCAGAAGAATTCAGTCCAATTCTACCAGAGGTTCAAAGAGGAATAGGTACCTTTTCTTCTGAAACCATTCCAAGCGATAGAAAAAAAAAAAGGGAATACTCCCTAACTCATATTATGAGGCCAGTGTCATTCTGTTACCAAAATCTGGCAGAGATACAACAAAAAAAGAAATTTTCTGGCCAATGTCCCTGATGAATATTGATGCAAAAATCCTCAATAAAATACTGGCAAACTTAATCTAGCAGCACATCAAAAAGTTTATCCACCACAATCAATTTGGCTTCATCCCGGGGATGCAAGCCTGGTTCAACATCTACAAATCAAAAAATGTAATCAATTACATAAATTGAACCAATGACAAAAATCACATGACTATTTCAATAGATGCAGAAAAGGCCTTCAATAAAATTCAACAGCTCCTCATGCTAAAAACACTCAGTAAACTAGGAATTGAGGGAAGATATCTCAATATAATGGGAGCTATTCATGACAAACTCATATTCAATAGCACACAGAACAGACAAAAGCTGGAAGCATTCCTTTTGAAAACAGGTACATATAAAACCATAACAACCCTAGAAGAAAACCTGGGCAATACCATTCAGGACATAGGCATGGGCAAGGACTTCATGTCTAAAACACCAAAAGCCAAAATTAACAAATGGCATCTAATTAAACTAAGGAGTTTCTGCACAGCAAAATAAACTACCATCAGAGTGAACAGACAACCTATGGAATGGGAGAAAATTTTTGCAATCTACTCTTCTGACAAAGGGCTAATATCCAGAGTCTACAAAGAACTCAAACAAATTTACGAGAAAAAAACAAACAACCCTATCAACAAGTGGGCAAAGTATATGAACAAACATTTCTCAAAAGAAGACATTTATGCAGCCAACAGACACATGAAAAAAATGCTCATCATTGCTCGCCATCAGAGAAATGCAAATCAAAACTGCAATGAGATATCATCTCACACCAGTTAGAATGACGATCATTAAAAGTCAGGAAACAGCAGGTGCTGGAGAGGATGTGGAGAAGTAGGAACACTTTTACGTTGTTCGTAGGACTAGGCAAACTAGTTCAACAATTGTGGAAGACAGTGTGGTGATTCCTCAAGGATCTATAACTAGAAATACCATTTGGCTCAGCCATCCCATTACTGGGTATATATCCAAAGAATTATAAATCATGCTGCTATAAAGGCACACATACACGTATATTTATTGTGGCACTATTCACAGTAGTAAAGACTTGGAACCAACCCAAGTGTCCATCAATGATAGACTGGATTAAGAAAATGTGGCACATATACACCATGGAATACTATGCAGCCATAAAAAAGGATGAATTCATGTCCATTGTAGGGACATGGATGAAGCTGGAAACCGTCATTCTCAGCAAACTATAGCAAGAACAAAAAACCAAACACCACATGTTCTCACTCATAGGTGGGAATTAAACAGTGAGAACACTTGGACACAGGAAGGGGAACCTCACACACTGGAGCCTTTTGTGGGGTGGGAGAAGGGGGGAGAGAAAGCATTAGGAGATACACCTAATGTAAATGACAAGTTAATGGGTGCAGCACACCAACTTGGCCCATGTATACATATGTAACAAACCTGCACGTTGTGCACATGTACCATAGAACTTGAAGTATAATAAATAAATAAATAAATAAATAAATAAATAAATAAATAAATAAAATTGAAAATCAAGAATTAAAAAAAAGAAAACAGGTATATGACAAGGATGCCTACTCTCAAAATTCCTATTCAACATAGAATTGGAAGTTCTGGTCAGAGCAATCAGGCAAGAGAAAGAAGGGTATTCAAATAGGAAGACAGGAAGTTAAATTGTCTTTGTTTGCAGACAACATGATTTTGTATTTAGAAAACCCCATCATCTCAGCCTCCAAACTCCTTAGCTGATAAACAACTTCAGCAAAGTCTCAGGATACATAATCAATGTGCAAAAATCACAAGCATTCCTATACTCCAACAATAAACAGAGTCAAATCATGAGTGAACTCCCATTCACAACTGTTACAAAGACAATGAAATACTTTAGAATACAACTTACAAGGGAGGTGAAGGAACTCTTCAAGGAGAATTGCAAACCACTGCTTGAGGAAATAAGGGAGGACAAAAAAAAAATGAAAAAAAAAAATCCATGCTCACGGATAAGAAGAATCAATATCACGAAAATGGCCACAGTTCTGAAAGTATTCATAGATTCAATGCTATCCCCATCAAACTACCACTGACTTTCTTTACTGAATTAGAAAAACCTACTTTAAGTTTCATATGGAACCAAAAAAGACCCCATATAGCCAAGACAGTCCTAAGCAAAAAGGACAAAGCTGGAGGCATCATGCTACCTGACGTCAAACTATATTACAAGGCTACAGTAACTGAAACAGCATGGTACTGGTACCAAAACAGATATATAGACCAATGGAGCAGAACAGAGGCCTCAGAAACAACACCACACAACCACAGCCATCTGATCTTCAACAAACCTTTGACAAAAACAAGTGATGGGGAAAGAATTCTCTATTTAATAAATGATGCTGGTAAAACTGGCTAGCCATATGCAGAAAACACAAACTGGACCCCTTCCTTGCACTTTATACAAAAATTAACCCAAGAGACTTAAACATAAAATGTAAAACCATAAAAACTCTAGAAGAAAACCTAGACAATACCATTCATGAAACAGGCATGGGCAAAGACTTCATGACTGAAACACCAAAAGCAATGACAACAAAGGCCACATTGACCAATAGGATCTCCTTAAACTAAAGAGCTTCTGCACAGCAAAAGAAACTATTATCAGAGTTAAAGGCAGCCTCTGGAATTTGAGAAATTTTTTGCAATATATTTATCTGACAAAAGTGTAATTTCCAGAACCTACAAGGAACTTAAACAAATTTACAAGAAAAAGTCAAAAACCCCCATCAAAAATGGATGAAAGATATGAACAAACACTTCTCAATAGAAGACATTTATGTGGCCAACAAACATATGAAAAAAAGCTCATCATCACTGGTTATTACAGAAATGCAAATCAAAACCACGGTGAGATACCATCTCTCACCAGTTAGAATGGTGATCTTTAAAAAGTCAGGAAACAACAGATGCTGGAGAGGATTTGGAGAAATAGGAATGCTGTTACACTGTTGATGGGAGTGGAAATTATTTCAGCCATTGTGGAAGACAGTGTGGCAATTCCTCAAGGATCTAGAACCAGAAATACCATTTGACCCAGCAATCTCTTCACTGGTTGTATAACCAAATGATTATAAATCATTCTATTATAAAGACTTATGTGCATGTATGTTTATTGCAGCACTATTCACAATAGCAAAGACTTGGAACCAACCCAAATGTCCATCAATGATAGACTGGTTAAAAAAAAAGTGACATATTTACACCATGGGGTGCTATGCAGCCATGAAAAAGAATAAGTTAATGTCCTTTGTAGGGACATGGATGAAGCTGGAAACCATTATTCTCAGCAAACTATCACAAGAACAGAAAACCAAACACCACATGTTCTCACTCATAAGTGGGAGATGAACATTGAGAACACAAGGACACAGGGAGAGGAACATCATATACGGGGGCCTGTCAGTGGTTGGGGGCAAGGGGAGGGAGAGCATTAGGACAAATATCTGATGCATGTGGCGCTTAAAACCTAAATGACAGGTAGATAGTTGCAGCAAACCACCATGGCACATGCAACCCTATGTAACAAACCTGCAGATTCTGTACATGTATCCTAGAATTGAAAGAGTAATGAATAAAAAATAAATAATTCAGTTTTATAACAAAACAACAAAAGTCACTCTAGTGTCTGAAGTGTGTTATGATTAAATGCAATTTTTTACATAACACATTTTAATTATGCCAATAAGAGAGGATTACCCAATTAGAAAATGTCATCAGCAGGACCATATTAACACCCATATGATGAATTTTTCCTCCTGTTTTAACTGTAGTGTGTAAGAATAAATGTAAATTTAAGTAGTACTCTACTTAATTTAAGTAGTACTCTACTTAATTTAAGTAGTACTCTACTTAAGTACTCTGATTACAAAGTAATAAGAGAACCGAGTTACATGCTGAAAATAACTTTGTTCCTCTACCAAGACAAAAGAAAATCTAGGGCAATGTATCACATTGCTATGACAATGTGTTTCTTCAGATTGTATATGTTTTCATAAAGGTAAATAGTAAAGGAGGTACAGTTGGTAAAGACAGAAACCATATTAGTGTCTTCTGTGTGTCATACCATCTCAAAATTTAGAGGCATAATGCTATACCTGTATGTTTAAGTGCTGATCTTTTGGGCTGACATTTTGACTCAGATGAGTATTTTTTCTGAGATGACTTTGGCTGAGCTTGCTTCAAAGTCTGCCATTGGTTGATGAACAACTGAGGTACCTGGTTTATGATGACCTTGTCTGAGAAGGCAGGAACACCTGGGGCCTCTCTGCATGTGGTTTTCTCATTCTCCAGCCTGTCCTCAAGGCTATAATTCTAGTGGTTCCAAGATCAGCAGGAGAGGACAAGCCCAGTGTGCAGATACCTTGCAAGTCTATGCTTGTTTCTACTTGCTCTAGAGCCCAAACAAGGCATCTGGCTAAGCCCAGCTGCAAGGGCAGGTCTAAAGACAATGCTTAAAGGAAATAGCCACAACAGCACATTGCAAAATAAAATAAATTAAATTAAATAAACACATATACAAGGGAGGGAAGTATCTGTGGCCAGTTTTACAATCTACTTTATAAAGGTGAAAGTCTTATCAAAAAGAGGTGAAGTTGACATAGCAATAAGGACTTCCAAAAACTCTCTTCTCTATGCAATCAGTAATAAAGTGATAGAGAAAGTTGCCAGAAATAACTTTTACAGAACTCTAGAAATTAGCCAAAGTCTTGTTGCAACCCTGGGGAAATTTATTCAAGGAAAACAGTGGGATCTCAATAAGAAGAGTGTGACAGTTATCTTTTGAGCTTACCCCAGTGCTAGCCTGCATTCTCCTGCTGAATGGTGGCTGCAAAAGCTACAGGCCACAGGTTCTCTACCAGGCAGCAGAGGGAGCAGCGTGTGGCTGGAGCTCTAGGAAATCTTCGTTCCTAATGTTTGTGTATTTATCTGTGTTTGACCTGATATGGAGTTGCCTAGTACAAAGAAATATTTTCTCAAAGGGAATGAAGCCCTGATACTTACAGTATATGGATGAACATGGAAAACAACACTCAGTAAAAGAAGCTTGATATGAGGAAACACAACATCTAGGATCCATTTATCTGAAATGTCCAGAACAGGCAAACCCACAGAAACAGAAAGGAGAGATAGCTGTTGTCAGGGGCTAAAGGAAGGAAGGAAAAGGAGCGACCTCTCGTGGGTAAAGGGTTTCTTTTTCCAGGGATGAAAATATTCTGAAATTAGGTGTTGGTGCTGGTTGCACAATTTTGTGATAGAAAACCACTGAATTGTCCAGGTTAAGATGATAAATATTATGGGATGGGAATTCTATCTCATTGTTTAAAAAATGAAATCCACTATTTCAATAAATTTTTGAAGAAAATATAAAGAAGGCTGGGCATGGTGGCTCATACCTGTAATCCTAACACTTAGGAGGCTGAGGCAGGCAGAATTCTTGAGCCTAGAAGTTCAAGACCAGCCTAGGCAATATGGAGAAACACTGTCTCTATAACAAAAAAAAAAAAAAGAAAAAGAAAAAGAAAAAGAAAAATTATGCCGGGCACATGGGTCTTACCTCTAATCCAATCATTTTGGGAGGCCGGAGCATGTGGATTACATGAGGTCAGGAGTTCAAGATCAGCCTGGTTAATGTGGCACAAAAATACAAAAATATGGCAGGCGCCTCTAATTCCAACTACTCAGGAAGTGGAGGTTGCAGTGAGCCAAGATGGTGCCACTGTACTCCAGCCTGGGTGACAGAGCAAGACTTCATCTCAAAAAAAAAGAAAAAAAAAAGGAAAAGAAAAATTTGGCAGTTGTGATGACATGTACCTATAGTTCCAACTACTCAGGAGGCTGAAGAAGGAGGATCACTTGATCCTGGAAGGTTGACCCTGCAGGAAGCTGAGATTGTGACCCTGCACTCCAACCCCGGGCAACAAAATGAGACCCTGTCTCTAAAAAAGAAAATTAATTAATTTTAGAAAGTAAATTTCTTTAGCTATCAGTTCTTCAAAATGGACTGTCTAGAGTGACATTATTGCAAAATTGTCCAACTTCTATGCTATCTTTAGGTTGGATTCCTGGGGTATTGACAGCACTTTCTTTAGTTTGCCCTGTTGGATGAGTTCCCATGTCTATATTCCAGTTACCCTTCCTGCTTTGAATGCTCCATTCTCTATCTGTCTAGACACATTCCCAAAATTATGCACCACAATTTATCTTAGAGGTCTCAGCTCCATCATCTCCTCTCTATAAAACTTGTTTCCACCTTGGAACTCATTATTGCTGCTGTTCTATCTTTTGCAACAGATGATTTCAACTAGATTTGTTTTAGACTGCCAACTCATTTAGAAAGGGACCAATTTCTATTCATTTTTGTATCCAAAGTGCATAGCATAGTGCCTGGCACCTTAGCAGGAATCTTTAGTCTTCTCTGGGTACAGTGAAGGTTTTGTCCCCACGACCTCTGCAGCATTCAGTTCAGACCAGCACTCACTGTTCATTTTTCCTTCTTTGCCGAGATTGTAAAAGTAAGTTAAAATTGTAGTTGTCTGTCCCAAAGGATTTGAAAACTTATTTCCACAAAAAAACCTCACCATGTACATTTATAGCAATCTTATTCACAATTGATAATGCTTGGAAGCAACAAAGATGTCCTTCAGTAGATGAATGGATAAACAAACTAGTACCTCCAGACAAATGAGTATTATTCAGCACCAAAAAGAAATAAACCATCAGGCTATGAGAAGGCATGGAGGAAACATAAATGCATATCGCCAAGTGAAAAAAGCCTATCTGAAAAGGCTCATACTGTAGCATTTAACTATAGGACATTCTGGAAAAGGGAAGACTATGAGAACAGTAAAAAAACATCAGTGGGTGCCAGGGGGAAGAAGGAGGGATGAATAGGTGGAGCACAGAAGATTTTTAGGGTGAAACACAATGAACCTACCCTGTGTCACATTATATAATGGTGGGTCCATGCCATTATACATTTGTCCAAACCCATAGAATGTACAACACCCAGAGTGAACCCTAATGTAGACGGTGGTAATGATGATGTGTCAATGTAGGTTCATCAGTTGTAACAAATGCACTGCTCTGATACATGAAGTTGATAATGGGGGAGACTGTGCATGAGTTGGGGAAGGGATATAGAGGAAATGTCTATACTTTTCACACAGTTTCTCTATGAATGTAAAATTGATCTAAAATACACACATAAAAATAAGGTTTTAACTCATAATACACATACACACCAAGTGGCGACACTTGAGCTGTAAGCTGGCCACCTAGGTGGACTCGTTCAGCTTTTCCTGGGTTCTATGACGTAGAGTATATTCTTCTATCCAGAATGTGCTTTCTGTATCTGACTTGAACCTAAACCCAGACGGAAAGCCACCCCAAGTCCAGTGGGCCTGTTTTACTTTGCTCATGTGAACAATGCTCTACTATGGGGTCCACCATTTAAGCAATATGAGCGATGCTCCCAGGACTTGTGTACTATAGCCATCCCCTTCTCCAAACGATTCCTTTGCTTGGAATTTCTTCCCAACTCTATCCTATCCAGCTGATATGGATTGGCTGTGTCACCACTCAAATCTCATCTTGAATTGCAACTCCCAGGAGTCCCACATGCCCTGGGAGGAACCTGGCAGGGGGTGATTGAATAATGGCGACAGATCTTTCCCATGCTGTTCCCATGATAGTGAATAAGTCTCATGAGATCTGATGGTTTTAAAAATGGGAGTTTCCCTCCACAAGCTGTCTTTTTATGCCTGCCACCGTCCATGTAAGATGTGACTTTCTCTTCCTTGCCTTTCATCTTCCCCCATGGTTGTGAGGTCCCCCCAGCCACATGGAACTGTAAGTCCAATAAACCTCTTTCACTTGTAAATTGCCCAGTCTTGGGTATGTCTTTATCAACAACATTAAAACAAACTAATACAATAAATTGGTGCCAGTAAGGTAGGTGCTGCTGAAAAGATATCCAAAAATTTGAAAGTGACTCTGGAACTGGGCTACAGGCAGAGATTGGAACAGTTTGGAAGGCTCAAAAGAAGACAGGAAAATGTGGGAGAGTGTGGAACTCCCTAAAGAGTTGTTGAATGGCTTTGACCAAAATGCTGATAATGATATGGACAATGAAATCCAAGCTGAGGGGGTCCCAAATGCAGATGAGGGACTTGTTGTGAACTTGAGCAAAGTTGACCCTTGTGATGTTTTAGCAAAAGACTGGCAGCATTTTGTCCCTGCCCCAGAGATTTGAGGAACTTAGAACTTGAGAGAGATGATTTAGGATATCTGGCAAGGGAAACTTCTAAGAAGCAAAGCATTCGAGAGCTGACTTGGGTGCTGTTAAAGGCATTCAGTTTTATAAAGGAAGTAGAGCATAAAAGCTCCTAAAATTTGCAACCTGACAATATAATAGAAAAGAAAATCCCATTTTCTGAGGAGAAATTCAAGCCAGCTGCAGAAATTTTCATAGCTAAAGAAGACTTGAAAGTTCATCCTCAAGAAAATGGGAAAAGTATCTCCAGGGCATGTCGGAGGTCTTCATGTCAGCCACTCCCATGTCAGGCCCAAAGGCCTAGGAGGAAGTAGTGGATCTGTGGGCTGAGCCCACACCCCCCATGCTGTGTGCAGCCTTGGGACTTAGAGCCCTGTGTCCCAACTGCTCCAGTCATGCCTGAAAGGGGACAACATAGAGCTCCTTCCATAGCTTCAGAGGGTGGAAGCCCCAAGCCTTAGCAGCTTCCACATGGCATTGAGTTTGTGAGTGAACAGAAGTCAAGAACTGAGGTTTGGGAATCTCTGCCTAGATTTCAGAAGATGTATGGAAACACCAGGATGCTCAGGCAGAAGTTTTCTGTAGGACTGGGACCCTCATGGGGAATATCTGCTAGGGGAGTGGAGAAGGCAAAAGTGGGGTCAGAGACTTCACACAGAGTCTCTCCTGGGGCACTGCCTACTGGAGCTGTGAGAAGAGGGTCACTGTCTTCCAGACCTCAGAGTGGTAGATCTACTGACACCTTGCACCGTGTTCCTGGAAAAGCCACAGACACTCAGTGCTAGTCTGTGAAAGCAGCCAGGAGAGTGGCTGTACCCTGTAAAGCCACAGGGGCAGAGCTTCTCAAGACTATGGGAACCTACCTCTTGCATCAGCAGGACCTGGATGTGAGACATGGAGTCAAGGAAGATCATTTTGGAGCTTTAAGATTTGCCCTGCTAGATTTCAGACTTGTGTGGGGTCTATAGCTTCTTTGTTTGACCAATTTCTCCCATTTGGAATGGCTGTGTTTACCCAATACCTGTATCACCATTGCATCTAGGAAGTGGCTAACTTGCTTTTGATTTTACAGGCTCATAGGGGGAATGGACTGGCCTTGTCTCAGATCAGACTTTGGACTGTGGACATTTGAGTTAATATTGAAATGAGTTGAGAATTTAGGGGACTGTTGGGAGGGCATGATTGGCTTTGAAATGTCAGGACATGAGATTTGGAGGTGTCAGGGGTGGAATAATATGCCTTGGCTCTCTCCCCTCTCAAAATTCATCTTGAATTTCAATTCTTACCGTTCCTATGAGTCATGAAAGGAACCTGGTGGGAGGTAATTGAATCATGGAGTCAGATCCTTCTCATACTATTCTCGTGATAATAAATAAATCTCATGATATTTGTTGGTTTTAAAAATGGGAGTTTCCATGCACAAACACACTCTCTTTGCCTGCTGGCAACAGTATAAGATGTGACTTGCTCCTCCTTGCCTTCTGCCATGATTGTGAGGCCTTCTCAGCCATGTGGAAGTGTAAGTCCATTAAACCTCTTTTTTTCTCCAGTCTTGGATATATATTTATTAGCAGCATGAAAACAGAGTAATATACCAGCTTATCCCAGCTCTAACTGACAACCTCAAATATAGAGATTTCTGGTCACTCTTCTTTGGGGGCTTCTTCTCAACCAGGCTCTGAATAATTAACTTCATTCTTAAACTTTCAACACAAACTTTACTTATCTCCTCTGGTTTGGCTGATAGTTTAAACTCATCTGAGACCTTTCCCCACTGCTCATAGTTTTACTTGGCCCTTTGAATGGAAATTAATCTCCTGTATTCATTCTTACTAGCTCCAGTAACTCTGTTTGCCCCCATTTCTACATGGGTATTTATCAGAAACTCCTTATGTCTTTTAACTAAGATGCAATTACTTCTGCAAAACAATCTAGATAACATTATTCAAAAATTGAGTTGCCAACCTGATCTTTCAAAGAAGCATGCATTTTGAACTCTCTCTTTTCTGAGGTACAGATCACTCCAGACACCGTTACTGAGCTCGGCTACCATTCTGAATTACCTGAATAAAAATGACTACCTTTTAAGAAGTTATTCCATAAGAATCATCATGGTCTAAATGTATCTATCCAATATATTTGTATAATTTTTCATTGACCTAAAAATGTCACTTTATAAGTGACTATTTTCATGTCATGAACATTTGTATGCACTTCTCTTTTTAGAGGTCAATGTCTTATCTTTCTTTAGGCTATTCTGAAATAAACAAAATAGCTCATGGAATTTCCTATGTTAGAAGATTGCAAGATTTCCACATGTTCTAGACTTCAAGTGATACACTGGTATATTTGGAAAGGTATATTTCTAGTAACAAAAAAGAAATGAAAATGCAGACATACCTAGTTCTGGGAATAAAAATACTGGATCCACAAGGGAAAATGTAATTTTTTTCTTGGAGATAGTACAGGCTTAGAATAACTTTAATCCATGTTAGAGGATAAGCATAGGAACAGAGTCTTGGCCTAACTAAAATTATTTATCCCAAAAAATATATAACATAGTTTTCAATTATTCAAGACATCACATACTTGGTGGTTTGTCAATGATAAATAAACTTTAGCTATATAATTAAATCCTTAAAAAGGACAAAATAATTTGTGTGTGTTTGCTCTTATTCCTCATTCAAGTTGATTATTTCCTTGTTATCTGAACAGTTTGACATTTTGCCAACAGTTTTCCCAAGCTTGATGTCTGAAGAAGGTATAGATATTCAAGGTGAAGTACAGAATAAATGTGAGCTAATTTATTGATGCTGGCATCAGGAATTAAATAACTAGTTGTTACTGACTTACTAGACTGCTAGACATGCCACAGAGGATCTCAACTCTATATAATTCTTAAATGAAAGAATGACGATTTTGGGGACTCAAAATGCAGTCAAATTTCTTAGTCACATTATTTACTTATGTAAGCATTTACACAAATTAGTATTTAGTTTTAAAACTATTTTTGAATATATAGAGTTTGATGGATCTCTTTCAGAACCAACTTTTACTTTCATGGGTTTATTTTTATTCTGTTGTTATTTCTTCATTTGAACACAGTTTATTGGTGGCCTTTTTAGTCTTCACCTCTTTAATGATAGTGCTTTCTTCTGTTCAATCCCATGAGCAAGATGACCACCAGCATCAGCCTTCAGAGGAGCCTGTGGACTCTGGCTGAGGTCCCACAGGATTTGGCTTGGAAATGACCATGTATCAGTCAGCTGTTTCCATAATAATGCTACATAACAAGCTAGCCTCTAATGCAGTGTATACAAACACACATTTATTCTCATGCTCATTTTTCTGAGGGTTATCTGTTGTGGTTTTACTCCACGTGTTATATTTAGAGCCAAACTTGGAGGCACAGGACAGAGCACCCAGAGGGAAGCAAACTGCTTTGCAGAAGTAACACAAGCGGTCTTTCAGATTTAAGCCTGTAAGTGTCATTTCTGTCTACATTTGTTTTGTCAGACCATGCAGCAGTGTCTGGAGTTTGAGGGAGATTATACTAGTTTTTTATTGCTGTGTAATAAATTACCACAAACATAGTAGTCTAAAACCATACAATTTATTATCTCAGCTCCATAGGCCAGAAATGCAAGACAGCTAAGATGGTATCTCAGCTCCAAGTCTTACCAGAATGAAATTTATGAATCATCTGTGACTTCTGATCTCACCTGGAGCTGGAGGTTCTCTGCCAAGATCAATAATTATTCGTAGAATTATTTTTCTTCTCACACTACTCACATGGTTTCCTCCATCTTTTTTTTACTTAAGAAAGGATCTCACTCTGTCACCCAGACTGAAGTGCAGTGGTATGATCATGGCTCACTGCAGCCTTGACCTCCCTGTGCTCAGGTGATCCTCCCATTTCAACCTCTCGAGTAGCTAGGACTACAGGTGTCCACCACCATGCCAGGCCAATGCATTATTTTTTCGCATTTTTTGTAGAAATGTTTTTTTTTTCCATCTTGCCCAGGCTGATCTTAGACTCCTGGGATCAAAAAATCCTCAGCCCCTCAAAGTAGCCACCACAACAGACCAGGGTCTTCGATCTCTAAAACAGCAATGGCAGGTCAAATACTTCCCACACTTCAAATCTCTCTGATGTTATCCTCTTTCTTTTTTTACTTCTAAGAGCTCATGTTATTACACTGAATCCATCAGGTAATTCAGGATAATCTCCAATTGAGTAGGAATCTTCTTAAGTGAGCTTGAATAATCTTATTCAGTGAGAAGATAAGTTCAACTCATTTAGCTGAAGTTATTCCACTTATTATAACTGGGAAGATACATTCAACTGATTACTGACTTTAATTACATCTGCAGAGTCCCTTTTACTAGGTAACCTACTTGTATCCACAGGCACATCACCAGGAAGTAAAACAGTCATGATGGTGAAAATTCTACCTACCCCTGAAACAGAAGAAAATATTTGCTGAACAATCTCCTAGCACTACTTTGACCTAAAACACCACCATGACCCCATCAGTGTTCTTTTTCCACGTTAGCAACTTTGGGAAATGAGGCTATTTCAACTTTTTAAAATATCTTATTGGTTACCACCCTGGGAAACGTGTGAGACCATGTCTCTACAAAAATATTCAAAAGTTAGCTGGTGTGATGGCACATGCCTATATTCCTAGCTACTCAGGAGGCTTAGGTGGGAGGATGACTTAAGCATAGGAGTTTGAGGCTTCAGTTACCTATGATCACACAACTACACTGTGTCTTGGGTGACAGAGAGAGACTCTGTCTCTAAAAAATAAAATAAAATATACAAAATAAAATATTTCACTGGCTAGAATGTAGTCACATGACCAAGCCATAGAGAAGTCTGGGAAATGTAGTCTTTAGCCGACTAGCTACATGCTCAGATAAAAAAAAATTATAATTGTGAAAGACATGCAGAATAAATCTTGGCTTAACACTGCAAGTAGTAAAGTCTGCTGGTGTTAATCTAATATCTGTTGTAATGACTTACTTACATTCTAGTATGTCACCAGCCTTGTTTGCATTAGATCATTTTATTCTTATACTATATCCTTGAGGGAGTGACAGTTTTCTCAATTAACAACTGAGAAAAACCTGTGACATTTGAGGGTATCAGTGCTGAGTGGGTGGGTAAAGTAGGGAAGAAATTCCAGGCAGAAGGTGGAAGGGGAAACGAGGAAGACAGGGTAAAATATTATTCTACAGTTCAGCAATTGTTCCTTTAATGTTCTTGGGCCTATGTCTGTGCATGTATCTGAATTTGTGTGTGTTTATGTGTCAGTGTATGTGAGTATGCTTTTGTATGTATTAATTATGAGGGCTGAAAATGAGAGCTATGGTTCAAGAGGATAGCAATGTAAGGTTTTAAGAAGGGGCTAAAATGTTTCTCAGAAATTAAACTTTGGAGCTGTTTCTTTGTTGCACCTTTGGTGCCTACAGAACCTATATGAAACACCTGGGTGAAAGGTGGTATACATAAAAGTGATGGTGGCTCACCCCTGTAATCAGAGCACTTTTGGAGGTCAAGGTGGAAGGATTGCTTGAGCCCAGGAGTCTGAGATCTGCAACCCAGTAAGACCTTGTCTTTACAAAAAAACAAAACAAATTATGCAGCTGGGCATAATTGTGCATGTCTTTAATTCCAACTACTTGGGAGGCTGAGAAGGAAGGATCAATTGAGCCTATGAATTTGAGGCTTCAGTGAGCCATCATGATGTGACTGCACTCCAGCTTGGGCAACAAAGTGAAACCCTGTCTCAGAAAAAAGTATGGTTAATTAAAACAAGTCACTCAATATATCACTGCCTAGACAAGGGATACCCAAAACTATATATCTGAAGGGAAAAAAATACTTTCTTCTGTATGATGTTATATAAAACTGCAGAAATGCTTCCTTATGTTTCTGCAATTTACACTCCTGTAATCCAAAGAGGAAAAGTAATGAATATGCATGGAGTTTTCCTTCCAGAATTGAAAGGATCCTTTTTGCAAAGGGCTCATGTTTATTCTGGGATAAATAAGGATGATAGAACTCTTCTGCGGAGGGCCTCAGCCCTGTTTCTCCCCACTTCTTGCCTCCTTCATTTGCATGGAATGTCTTTGGAAGAGCCTCCAACATCATGTCACAAGGCAAATGTAAGTCGCATTAGGACTATAAATGAATTGGAGAAGTAGCAGATTTAATAAACTGGTTACTGTCTTGAGATATGACATCTGTACCAACCAATATATCTCCTTCCTCCTTATTTACTCTGAGGCACTGTATAAAATGTTCCACCATCAAATAAATGATGGCAGAATAGAAAGCAGAGGTGCTATAAATTTCATGCTTGGCAGCTTGCACTAGATGTATTTCAATGTAATGAGTCAACCTAGAACTCTTTTCTAGAATGACCCCTGTTGAAGCCCCTATTTAGAAGCTGTGCTTGCTTCTGAATGAGGTGATGAGAAGCTTGGAATAGGATTAGATAATGGATATATGTGCAGGCTGCTAAGATGTATATGGCCTGTGGGGTTTGCTGTTAATGCAGGAGCTGGGCTAGTCCAATTTCTTGCCAGCAATTTTAAATTGGGAACTTCAGAAACAGAGTCACGTATCTGGGAGAATGCAAACCAAAACATTGTGATTCTGCGAAGATATGGCTTGTTAGTTCCTTGGGTGCTGGGTTCTTCCTGGTTTCCTTTCTCTGGATTTCCTGAAGTTTCCATGGCCTCTTATAATAACATGCTCTACTTGCCCAACATGGGTTTTCTCAAGAGGGTATCTGATTTTACAAGAAAAACAAAAACAAAAAAAACAACATTCATTCTTTATGCAAAAATTAATTAATATGCACTGACTCTTTGCTAGGCACCAGGCAGTATTCTAAAAGCTTGATGGATATTGACTCTGTTATTTCTCAAAGGACATTATTAGGTATTTTAACTACATTTTAAAATGTAGAAACTTATGCCAAGAAAGGCATATTCTTCAGTGAGACTCGGACACCACAACCTTAGCCTGTATATTATGACACCAATCAGAGAGGTTCATTGGAAAGAGTTAAGTTATATATTATACTGAAGGAAATGTGAATTCTATACCTGGTGTATTTTATGTACTAGTTGATTTATTTATAATATAAGGATCTCCACTTTCCTGGAATACCCACTGGACTGAGTACATTAAAATATAAGTGGATCCCAAGCCAAGGATTTCAGTTAATTCAACTGATGACTGCTGTTGGATATTCCTGAAGAGAGGGTGGAGCTAGAGGAAAAAAAAAGAGAAAGCTGTGAGTATCAGGGAACAATGATGATGACAACTGTTGCAATAATAATGTAATGACAACAGTTGCAATAATAATGTAAGGAACAGTATTAAGTGACCAAGGAAAATTGCCCAGTAGACTATAACTGGATAAGGAGTGGGTTTGAATGAGTTGAGTGAAAGAGTAAGAGTAAAAGGTGAGGGCAGAACTCACTCCTGTGAGTACCAGGGGCAAAAGCCTCACTCACATTCTTACCCTCATACTTCTCCAAGTCTTCCTTCCCTGGGCAAGATCTCCCCCACTCTCTCGCCTCACACTGAGGCAGAGAACATAGTCCTTGAAGCTTCACAAACCTACATTTAAAACTCCATGTCTGGACTGGATGCAGTGGTACACACATGTAATCTACCATTTTGGAAGGTCAAGGAGAGAGCATCACTTGAAGCCCGGAGTTCAAGCCTGCAGTGAGTTGGATTGCACCACTGCACTACAGCCTGGGTGACAAAGCAAGACCCTGTTTCTAAAAATATATATGAAAAAAATTAAAAATTCCATGGCTGCCAGTTTTGTGATTTTGTTCTCAGTTTCTCTTTTGTAACATGGATGTATGGACATCAGTTACCTTGGAGGTTCACACTGTAACATAATGAATACACACACATATATAAAAGTGTTTGCAGTATCTATAATGTATGCCTAACACTCATTTCTCAACATGCATTGTAATCCACCTATACAGGTGTCACGGAATACTTGGAGTGTTGTTTCACTAGCCAGAAACATCTGGGGCTGACGGGACCTTCTGCTTGGGTGTTGCTTGCACGCACTGAGCTTATTCCACCAACTCAGCCATGCAGGCGGCATTTGGCTCATGATACCAGCACAGTTCCCACAATTGCCAAGCATGAGCCAGGCGCAGAGTGGTTAAGGGCGTGTGGGTGAAAGAGCGCAGGGTCCAGCTATTGCACACAGCCAGGCATGTTCACTGCTGCGGAGGGGCAGGCAGCTTAAGGCATTGACACAGGTGGCAGCTTTTTGAGAGTTTGTGCTGAACCAGACATACAGCACAAAGCTTCCACTGTGGGCACCTGCATCTGGACAAGGGGAACACAGTGGCACCTGGAAGCTTAGAGACGCCAGGAAGTGCAGAACCCCAAAGAGGTTGTCACAGCCGTGGCTCAGGGAGCCTCTAGGTTGGGCTCCAAAAAAGAATGCAGCTCTTCTTTCCTTCTCATCAGCTGTAACATGTTGATTGGGGCACATGTTTCAGTCCTGTTTGTGTTACAGCTCTTTTAGTCCTGCCATTCAGTGGGTCCTGCATTCTTGTCCCGTGTCCAGAAAGAATAAAGTATGTGGACCTGCAAGGCAGAGAGGAGCTTCGCTGAGTGGCAGAACAGTTCTAGGGAGACCCAGAGTGGGAAGCTTCTTTTCACAGGCAGGTCGTCCCAATGTCTGTGCCACTCTCAGCAGAGAAGATACTTGCAGTGGGTAGGTCCCCTTTGGAAGTAGGTCATCCTAATGTCTGTGCAGCCCTCAGTGGAGAAGAGACCTAGAGTGGGTAACTTCTATTTGCAGACAGGTCATCCTGCCTTCCTTGCAGCTCTCAGTGGAGAGGAGACCCAGAATGGGTAGCTCCTATCTGCAACAGGTTATTCCTTTGTCTGCCTGAATCTGGCTGAGTCTGGGGTCTTTGTGGGTTTCAGAGGGGAGGAAGTATTTGCTGATTGGTCCATGGACTGCCATGGCCAGGCCCAAAAAAAGCACCTTCAGTTCTCACTCTGGTCTAGTCAGCCCAGGGCCCAGGCTTCAGGCACTCCATGGCTTGAAGGTGGAGCTTCAAATGGGACCTGCCCCTTTCCAACTAGGAGGTGTCTGCCTTCTGCTGCCATCAACTTGCCATCCATGGTGCCCACAGCAACCAGACTGTTCATGCCTACAGACATCTGCAGGCCCACACCAAGAACCCTGAGCCCCACCCATTGGCCTCCTCCTGTGCTCATCAGTGCCTAAAGCCCAGAGGGGGCTGAGGCAGCAGAAGGCTGGTATATCATTGCGGTCCCAAGCATGCACACACACAGCTGGGTCATGATAGTGTCTGACCTTGGCCTCAACCTTGCTGCCAAATCAGAGTGGATGCTGGTAGTGGTGAGAGGCCAGGCAGTTGGAACAGGCACTTTCGAGCCTGTACAGGAAGGAGGGCTTCCCAGCTGATATGGTTGGTCTAGGTCATCACCCAAATCTCATCTTGAATAGTAACTCTCACAATTCCCATGTGTCATGGGAAGAATCCAGTGGGAAGTGATTGAATTATGGAGGCAGGTCTTTCCTGCACTGTTCTTTCAATAGTGAATGAGTCTTACATGATCTGATGGTTTTAAAAGTGGGAGTTTTTCTGCAGAAGCTCTCTTTTGCCTGCCACCATCCATGTAAGATGTGACTTGCTCCTCCTTGTTTTCTGCCCTAATTGTGAGTTCTCTCCAGCCCCATGGAACTAAAAGTCCATTAAATGGACTTTTTTTTTTTCTGTATAAATTACCTAGTCTTGGTTGGTAATTTTTCCTGTATAAATTACCTAGTCTTGGTTGTGTCTTTATCAGTGGCATGAAAACAGACTATTCCATCAGCCCCTGAGAGCACAAGAATGCCCAGTTCTTCAGCCATGTCTGGGTGGCAGCATCTGTGCCCATGAGGGTGGGGCTCCACCCCTCCAACTTGAAAAGCAGTGGGGCTCCCAAGTGTTTCTAGCTCCCATCTTCTCAATGGAGTGCATGGCCCTGGCCATGCTTCCCCCACTGTAGCCAGCGTCACGGCAGTGGCCACTCCAGATGGGTCACTGTTGCCATCACAAGTACCCTTTGCCCATGCTCAGATGTTCTTTTCATCCATATAATGCATGTTTTATTCTATTCTAGATAACAGCTGTTCATACTGTGCTCACTGTTTTTGTAGTCCTGTATGCTGTCTCTCTCTCTGGATTTCTACTGCACTTAGAAGATGGAATTCCCTTAGCTAACTCATTTTCAGGTTTTCTGTCACCTCAAATATTCTCCATGTCATTATGTTTTATTTCATTTCTTTGTTGTTTTGTTTATTTGTTTGTTTTTGAGACAGGGTCTATGTCACCCAAGCTGGAATGCAATAGTGCAATCATAGCTTACTGTAACGCTGACCTGCCAGGCTCAAGTGATCCTCCTACTTCAGTATCCCTAGTAGCTGGGACTGCAGGTGTGCATGACCACACCCAGCTAATTTTTCTGATTTTCAATAGAGAAAAGATCTCGCTATGTTTCCCAGAGTGGTCTTGAACTCCTGAGCTCAGCAATTCTCCCACCTTGGCCTCCCAGAGTGTTAGGATTAAAAGTATGAGACACTGCCCCTGGCCATTTATTTCTGTCTCAGCAGACTTCTTTGCAAGTCTTACCTGTTGTTCTGGGCTCTCAAACTCTTGAAATCATCCACTGTCCTCTCTCTATGAACTTTTTCCATCTGAAATTTTCTTTTGTAACATCAACCTCTTTCTCTCCACCCTCCCCTCCCACCCTGTGTCCCTCTTAGGAAGATTTCCTTCAAACCTCCTTCCGTGATACACTAATGCTTCATTACATTCGTAGTTGCACTCAAGATTTTGCCACATCTTAACACAGTAGTGCATGTCATTGATTTGACTTCTACCTTTCCAGCTTGCCCTTCAACCATTGAACATGCCTTCTTACACAGTTTTCCATTTGGAGCTCTTCTTTCCAAATTCTCTAGTAGTCTTCTAGTTGCCTACTTAACTGGTCTCTATTCATGTTCCTTCTAATGGAATGCTCAGTGCAATTTGACACTGCTAACCAATGCTTCTTTTTTCCATCTACCCCTTTTAAAAATGTTTTAGATTCAGTGGGCACATGTGGAGGTTTGTTACATGGGAAATTTCGTAGTGTTGGGGTTTAGACTTCTATTGAACTTATCATCCAAATAGTGAACATAGCACCCAATAGATTATTTTTAGCCCTCGTACCCCTTTTGGAGTCCCCATTGTGAATTGTGCCATTTTTATGTCCATGTGTAACCATAGTTTAGCTACCGCATTTTGTTGCTGTTCTTTGAGGTGAAGTTTTTCTCTATTGCCCCACCTGGAGTGCAATGGCTTGATCTTCGTTCACCTCAATCTCCACCTCCTAGGTGCAAGCAATTCTCCTGCTTCAGCCTCCCGAGTAGTCACAGACATGTGAAAACATGCCCAGCTAATTATTTAATTTTTAGTAGAGACAGGGTTTCACCATGTTGTCCAGGCTAGTCTTGAAATCCTGACCTCAAATGATTCACTGGCTTTGGCCTCCCAAAGTGCAGGGATTACAGGCATGAGCCACTGCACTTTGCCACTTTAGCTCCCACTTCTAAGTGAGAACAAGTGGCATTTGACTTTCTATTTCTGCATTAATTCACTTAGAATAATGACCTCTATCAGCATCCATGTTGCTGCAAAGGACATGATTCATTCTTTTTTATGGTTGTATAGTGCTCCATGGTGTGTATGTGCCACTTTTTCTTTATCCAACACACCATTGAGGACCCTTAAGTTAATTCCATGACTTTGATAGTGTCAATAGTGTTGCAATAAACATGTGCACACAGGTGTCTTTTTTATGAAATGATTTGTTTTCCTTCGGGCAGATACTCAGCAGCTGGTCAATCTTTCTTGTTGTGTCTAGAACACTACACATTCTAAGTTGTCTTCTTATCTCATGAGATCATTCAGTTTCCTTTGCTGAATTATCTGTTTCCCCACTATTCCTCCATTATCCTATCCCTGCTGCCTTTATATTAAGTATAGGGATTTTTCCTTTCCTATTCTTGCTACCTTTACATTAAGTTTAGGTATTTCTCCTTTGACATTTTTCTCCCCTCAGCTGATACTGTCTCCTGATTGTAACTATTTTCATAAAAATGACTTTCAATTCCTTTCCCTCCACTAGCTTCCACCTTTACCTAGAGTTTCCCTCAGTATTATAAATTCCTTGTTAGACACTTTAACTCAACACATTCCAAACAAAATGAATTAACTTTCCTTTCTCTGAGGGGGAGGAAACAGATACATTCCCCCTCTATCTTATGGTTCATTGTATTACCATCTTTCAATTTATTTAGTCTCAAAATGTGGAAGTCACCTTTTATTTCCTTCTCAATGTTTCTTTCAATTTTTATCAAGTTGTGTTCATTTTACTTTAGAAATATCTCTTGAACTTGTAATCTTTTATTGATTCCAAATGGCAGTCTCTTAGTTCAGGGTCTTGTCATCTCTGATCTAGATTAGTTCTGATTGATCATTTTTCCTGCAGCTTCCTGCTCACACTAATCTATTCTACAGACAAATGCAAGAACTATATTTCTCAACACTCATTCTCCAACTTTATCTTTTTCATCTTCATTGGCTCTTGTCTCTGTATTTCTTAATCTCTGGCTTTATCAGATAACTTGCCATTTCCTCTTTTTGTTTGTGGCCATCTATGTTGGTTCATGTTAGTCTGGAATGACTTTTCTTCCCCACTACAAGTCTGTATTTGTTTTCTGTAAGTCCCATAACAAATTACCACAAACATAACAGCTTAAAATATCACACCTTTATTATCTCACGGTGATGTACATCAGAAGTTGAGATGGGCTTGGCTTGTTTCTCTGCTGGAATCCCTCGGATGGCAGGAATCAAGGTGGTCAGTAACCTGACCTCTTATCTGGAGATTCTGAAGAGAGCCCACTTTCCAGATCACTCTGGTGTTTGGAAGATTTAGCCATCAGACTGAGATCCCCTTTTTTCACTGGCTGTCAGCCAGGAGCGATTCTCAGAAACTTATGGCTACCCGCGTTCCCTGTCATGATACCCACTCCATCTCCAAACAAGCAACAATGCATTGAGTCTTTCCCATGCTTGGAATCTCTCTCTGACTATTCCTTCTACCACATCTTCCACTTCAGCAGGGGAAATTTCTCTACTTTTTAGGGTGCATGTGACTAGATAGGGTCCACCACAATAAGTCAGGATTATGTCCATCTCTTAAACTCTGTAATCTTAGCTCCAAATGCAAATGTAATTCTTATGTAACTTTGCATATTCATAAGTTCCAGGGATTAGAGTGTGGACATTATTGAGATGGAGAGTGGGGAGGGCATTTTGCCTACCACAAAATTGCAGTGATTTTTCAGAATATGAACTCTATCTCTATAGAATAATTTTCACTTAGTTGCATCCTTCAAGGTATTACCCTGACCTTGTACTTGTTAATGTCCTCTGACAATTATGTTATGCAGTATTTTATTGAAGGAACCTATTTACATATATGTCTCCCATCATCAATATTAAATTACATGAAGTCAAAAAACATACCCTAATCACTTTGACATCCATGTGCAGAATCTCATAGTGTCTTATCTGTTTTTGTCAAATAAACTGAGTATGTTCCATCACAATTTGTTGAAAGCTTATTAAACCTTTGTTTTATCTGAAGTATTGTTATCTTTAGATGATAAGCAATTTGAAGACATCAGGTAATGCTAAACATAATGGGTGAAACTTCATCAGTGTTACATCAAGGAACATTGATGTATGTAGAAAAATAAATACCCCACATATTCATTGTATTAATTGCATATTGCCACATAACAAAATGCCACAAATTTAGGGACTTAAAATGACACATATTTATTATTTTACAGCTACTAAATGTTAGGAATCCAGGTATGCATTCACTGCATCTTCTGTTTCAAAGTCTCCCACAAAGCTATTATACAATCATAAGCCAGGGCTGGGGTCTTACCTGAAAGTTTGGGTGAGGAAGGAGTTTTCTCTACACTGATGTGGTTTTTGGCAGATCCACTTCCTTCTCAGGTATTTGGAGAAGCCTCCATTAGTTCTTTATCAGGTGGCCAGCTCCAACATAGCAGATTGTACCCACCAAGTATGAAATTTGAGATGGTAAGAAGATTTTAAAACAAGGCAGGAGTTAAAATATTTTGCAACCTAATAATTAAAGTGATACATCATCATCTTTGTCATATTTTATTTGTTAGAATCAGGTTACTAAAGCAGCCACACAGAAGGGAAGGAGTTACACAGGTTGTGGGTTGTCAGGAGGCAGAACCACTAGAGGCCATGTGCGCATCAGCTTGTCATATACACCTATTCAGAGACACAGATACATAAGCAGATTATTTAGTAGACAAAAAACCATGTGCGTTGGAAGGAGAGAATGAAAGCAACTGATTATAGAGTTTGGTGGTATTGTGACCAAGTACTTAAGTGCAGGTGCTGATATTTTGAGGAAAATGATTTAGGAGTCAGAGAGAAAATGAATGGAACTTTTATTTATAAGATCTCCTTCCCAAGCCTAAAGTTAGTGGTCTTCACGTAAATGATCAAGTCATGTCTTAGTGGTTAACAACCCTGTCTGCCCACTTCTAAACATATAAAAGTATAACACATTTCTGGGTGCAGAAATGAATATGTTTCTAGAATGGTAGTTCTCAGCTATTTTGGTCTTAGGACTTCTTTTCAGTCTTAAAAGTTACTGAGGAACTGAGAGATTTCACTTTATGTGGGTATATCTATTGATGTTTACTAAATTAGAGGTTAAAATTGAGACATTAACAATGTTTATGAATTTATGTCAAAGTAACAGCAATAAACTTATTCCAGGTTAACATAAAAACAGGTTTGTAAAAAAAAAAAAAAAAACTATATTTCCCAAAGCAAAAGAAAATTGTGAGATAGAAAATGTTCTAGATTTTTGAAAATCTTTTCAATGTTCGGTTATAACAGAAAGCTGGATCCCCATATCAGCTGACGTGCTTAATCTGCTGCAATATATTGTTTTAATTTGTGTGTATGAAGAAAATTTGGCCTCTCACAGAGATATAGTAATAAAACAATTAGATAATTGTGGATATTCTTCTTTAATACTACACCAAAACTCAAAACTCAACACTGATAGTTTCTTAAATGTTAATTAAAAAGTGTAAGTGGAACCCATATCAAAACCTTTCTGTTCCCTTAATATTAAAACTTGTTGTTTTATCTTACATTTAGAATATATCTTGACCCATGCATGTTTTGGAAAATATTGATTCACTAAGTTATACACAACTTGCAAATATTCATACATTCATTACACAAGATAAAAAATTTACATTTATTGACAGCACCATTCATTTGACTAGGGAATAATTTAAGTGTTGGGAAGTCCTGGCATCAGATGTAAGATTTCTATGATTTTATTTTTTTCTTGAAATCTTGAATCATATCCTCAACAGCAAATACTGTCAGTTGTTTTTCATGAAGTGAAAGTCTTACTTTGTTCATGTTTCAAAAAATGTCTGCCAAATAGCCAGGTCTGAATTTCCATAGATTGACTGTTAGTCTTTGAAATATAAATGGTAGCTGCTATTTCACTTCACCACTGAAATAGTGGAATATGTTCTTTTACTGGAGACAACATCTAGCTTCATCGTGTAGCAGAAGAGCTTTGTGTGTACTTCCCATCTCATCAGGCAGAATATTAAAAAGACAGGTATTCTGGAGATGGTCAAGAAAATTAATTTTTTATGTGAAACTAGCATCCGTTGACTGAAACCACATGGTGGTGGTGAATAAGTAGTAGTACCATATGGGGTCACTGCCTTGTCTAATGTCTAATATGCCAACCATTTTGACTACTGCTTGTGCACCATCAGTGCAATTGTTAGCAAGGTAAAAACAAAACAAAACAAAACAAAACTCTGTGACATCTCAGCATTATGATGAAACTAGATGTGTTCTCCAGTATCTCTTGAAACATCTTCTGAATTCCCAAGGGTCTGAGATTTAAACTTTACTATTTACTGCCCTGCACTACAGCAAGCTGCATGTTTCAGTGGTTTTCTTTTTTTTTTTCTTTTATTATTATACTTTATGTTTTAGGGTACATGTGCACATTGTGCAGGTTAGTTACATATGTATACATGTGCCACACTGGTGTGCTGCACCCACTAACTGGTCATCTAGCATTAGGTATATCTCCCAGTGCTATCCGTCCCCCCTCCCCCCACCCCAAAACAGTCCCCAGAGTGTGATGTTCCCCTTCCTGTGTCCATGTGATCTCATTGTTCAATTCCCACCTATGAGTGAGAATATGTGGTGTTTGGTTTTTTGTTCTTGAGATAGTTTACTGAGAATGATGATTTCCAATTTCATCCATGTCCCTACAAAGGACATTAACTCATCATTTTTTATGGCTGCATAGTATTCCATGGCGTATATGTGCCACATTTTCTTAATCCAGTCTATCATTGTTGGACATTTGGGTTGGTTCCAAGTCTTTGCTATTGTGAATAGTGCCACAATAAACGTATGTGTGCATGTGTCTTTATAGTAGCATGATTTATAATCCTTTGGGTATATACCCAGTAATGGGATGGCTGGGTCAAATGGTATTTCTAGTTCTAGATCCCTGAGGAATCGCCACACTGATTTCCACAATGGTTAAACTAGTTTACAGTCCCACCAACAGTGTCAAAGTGTTCCTATTTCTCCACAGCCTCTCCAGCACCTGTTGTTTCCTGACTTTTTCATGATTGCCATTCTAACTGGTGTGAGATGGTATCTCATTGTGGTTTTGATTTGCATTTTTCTGATGGCCAGTGATGATGAGCATTTTTTCATGTGTTTTTTGGCTGCATAAATGTCTTCTTTTGAGAAGTGCCTGTGCATGTCCTTTGCCCACTTTTTGATGGTGTTGTTTGTTTTTTTCTTGTAAATTTGTTTGAGTTCATTGTAGATTCTGGATATTAGCCCTTTGTCAGATGAGTAGGTTGCAAAAATTTTCTCCCATTTTGTAGGTTGCCTGTTCACTCTGATGGTAGTTTCTTTTGCTGTACAGAAGCTCTTTAGTTTAATTAGATCCCATTTGTCAATTTTGTCTTTTGTTGTCATTGCTTTTGGTGTTTTAGACATGAAGTCCTTGCCCATGCCTATGTCCTGAATGGTATTGCCTAGGTTTTCTTCTGTTTAATAAATGGTGCTGGGAAAACTGGCTAGCCATATGTAGAAAGCTGAAACTGGATCCCTTCCTTACACCTTATACAAAAATCAATTCAAGATGGATTAAAGACTTAAACATTAGACCTAAAACCATTTCAGTGGTTTTCTAAAAGGAGATTACAAATGTTAAGATCTACTTAACTTAGAACTACACTGTGATCCCTACTATCAGCTCTTCAGCTACAGTTCAGCTAAACATTGTCTTCCTCTCGTATCACTTCTCTGGACACCAAAATGAAGCAAAAGTTCTCAACTTAGGAAGAAATTCAATACTGGGTATTTCTATTTGAGCCAAAATTAGATGTTCAGAGCCTCCTGCTTTGTTGTTGTTTGTTTTTGGTTTTGATCAATTGACTTGATTTTATTCATTTGTTGTAGTTTGATGAATGTCTGTCTAATGAGACCCAATACCTCTTTGAGAATATTGTGCCTTTCCTAATTAGTTATACCACTCTTTGAAATATTAAACACTTTAAAGATCTTTGTTAAAAATAAAGAAATATGTATGATTTAATCAAATGATGGAGAAAATAACGATATAGTTTAGTCTCTAAATCCCATAGAGAATACAGCTGTTTTTTTTCTGTAACAGCAAAATGGCAAATTGGAAATAAAGGCAAATTGACACAAACTTTCAATTCCATCTTCTAAAACACACCTTGAAAAGCTCATTGAAATATGTAACAGAGGCAACATTAGCAATTATGAATTAAAGCAGTTAGAGGGAGAGAGAAATAGAAGTTAAAATGAAAATTGATTGAATAATAACCTAACTCTTAAAAGTGAGTGTTCTATAATTGCTCTTAATCAATCCAGTTTGCACAGTGAAAATAGCTTAACACGGAGTGGGGATTCTCAATGTTCATCGCCCAGCAGCATTTCCATTTTAAAGCTTGTTTGGCACAATGTAGGTCAGGAATTTGTATAAATGCTTTGATTATGGACAATTTTCTATCCCAGGTGTTATCACTTCACACCTGCCAAATATCTGATTTCCCAGGTTGTGTCAGTATGCCTTTCCATCATGAAGCACCAACTTGTATATCTTCTCCACAGCATGATGGAGATGACAGAGTTTTGGGTTCTACTAACAAGGATCTGGCAATGATAATGGGGAATTCCTTCATATTCCTCTGAGCCTCAGTTCACTTTTCTGTGAACTGTGAAAAAAAATCTTCAAGATGTTGTAAAAGTTAGAAATCATATATGTGGAACACTTTTCACACAGCAGACACTCAATAAGCCTAAGTATTGTTTTTATTTTGTGGAGCACTATGAAGGCAACACTCAATAAACATAAGTATTATTTTATTTTAGTTTATTTATTCATTTATTTTGAGACAAGTTTTCTCTTTATTGCTCAGCCTGGAGTGCAGTAGTGTGATTACAGCTCACTGCAGCCTTAACCTCTTAGGATCAAGCGATTCTTCCACCTCAGCCTGCCAAGTGCCTACGACCACAGGTGTGCACCAACATGCCTGGCTGATTTTTAAATTTTTTGTAGATATGGGGTCCTACTACATTGCCCAGGCTGGTCAAAAACTCCTGAGCTCAAGTGATCCTCCTGTCTTGATCCCCCAAAATGCTGGGATTATAGGCATAAGCCACCATGCCTGGCTAACTGTTGCTTTCATAAGGGCTATTCTGTATTATAACATAGCCAGTTTCCCATTTCACTGATGGCTGAGAAAAGTATTTGAAAAAATAATTCAATTATCCTCGCAATTCACCTCCTACAAAACACATTCTCCAAGGCATTTTATTTATCACTGACAAACCAGCTTTTACTCTTAATTTGTTTATTCACCATGCCTTGGTGAATGATGAGTAAGTGGTAGTGCAGTGTGAGGTCACTGCCTTGATCAAGTCTAAGATGCCAGCATTTTTGCCTGTGCACCATCAGTGCAATTGTTAGCAAGGTAAAAAGAAAAGCCAGTGACATCTCAGTATTATGATAAAAATAGATGTGTTTTTCATAATACCTTGAAGCATCTCTCTCACTCTCAGTGGTGTCAAGCCTGAGCTTTTCAGGTTTGTAATGGTCACCTTTTCATGATAAACTCTGGACAAATGTCCTCCATGTCCGATGTCCTTGTTGATGATTTTTGTAGTCCGCATATCTAGAACCCTCAGAGCAAGTGGGGTTTGCTAACATGACTATCATAATTCTTTCATTTGCTACTGTCGTGGCAGCTTTTAGGTTCCAGGATAAATTTGCTATGACTTGGTGATCCTCCAGAGAGTCTACTTTGAATAATCATTACCAAGACCTGCTTCAAAATAATCAGCCCACTCTTGCCTTACCTTTGTGTTCAGCATTCTGAGAAGAGATAAAAGAGAGGAACACAAGAATGCCTTAGTTACTATCTGTGGTTCTTATGCATTATTAATTTTCTTAATAAAAAAGCCATATGCATGTCAAGATTGATTAGAATCCTGAATGGCATATTTAATTTTACAAGGGCCATACCATAACTTCCAGCAAACAGAAGTGATGGTTGAGAAGGAATGACTCACCATCCTACTAGCTATACTAACAGTTACACATGAATATCATGTCTAATGATGTCAATCAAGCTGTCTCATAACTTTATGTATACACATCCTTTTTTTTTTTTTTGAGATGGAGTTTCACATTGTTGCCTGGGCTGGAGTGCAATGGCTAGATCTCAATCTCAGCTCACTGCAACCTCTGCCTCCTTGGTTCAAGCAATTCTCCTGCCTCAGCCTTCTGAGTAGTTGGGATTACAGGCAACTGCCATCACACTGGCTAATTGTTTTTATTTTTAGTAGAAATGGGATTTCACCATGTTGGCCAGGCTAGTCTCCAACTCCTGACCTTAGGTGATCTGCCCACCTTTGTCTCTGAAACTGCTGGGATTACAGGTGTGAGTCACCATGGCTGGCCTGTCTACACTTGTTTTTCCTAATTGAAATTAATTGGAGTCAATGTATATCAAACAGTTCAACTTATTCATCTAATTTAAATAAAGTCATTCAGTTATTTTTCCTCCTAATGAGCCTGGCTTTTTTTTCTTCTTCTTATCAATCTGCCCTTTGATAGGCCTTTCTATCACAATGAATTTTTCATATCCCAGGCTCTCAACAGCCTCATAAGTCAGGTGAGATTCAGGATCTGCCTGATAATGGGGAAATAGTTGGTCAGTTCAGTCACATTGTGAAAGCAGTTAAGGCAGGGAGGAGTCAAATTCTTCAAACTTAGTGGCAGCAAATATTTGTTCCACACAGTAATTATTTTATAGATGCTGAAAAAATATGCCTGAAATAAAGATAACTGTTAGATTGGAATTTTTTGACCTTGTCATTCTGTATTCACAACTGTGGACAACTAAATAGTCTCAGAATATTTTGAGAGCTTTTTCCACATAAGTGACTTATTCATAGGGAAGGCTGTATTACCATCTCTTTACAAAATCTGTAATTGACAATGACCTTGGAATTAGTAGGTATGATTACTACATGAGGTGTTTAGAGCAATGTCCTGTATTTTCTAAAAACTACATGTTATGAGTATCATTTGGGATAACCTCCATGGTCATCTAGAGATGTAACATCCAGAGTTTGGAATGCATCACATGACAGGATCAGATTCTTCTTCTACAATGTTGTGTGCTCATATAAATCAGTTCTTCATAGTGCCAAAATTTCCAAAGGTTGATTGCCAAGGAAACTAAGAAACAAGTTGTGTGCTGAGGGGGCCATCTTGAAACCAACATATTCTTCCCTCATTAGCACTCATGTAGATTAATTTAAAAATACAATCCTCATGTTGGTAATTCTATCTGAATGTCATTTGTTATTAATGTTATTATTGAGTAAATCATGCAGATTTAAACATGGTAATTAAAATTTTTCACATATTATATGGAGAGATGCATGGCTGATGACATGGAAAGGTCATAGCTCTCACAGATCTTCCTGGTGATGATGGACATACCAGCATAGGATGTCCCTAAGTGCCAGCTTTAAAGACTCAGCCTGGTCTCAGGAAAACTAGAATCTAATTAGATACTTTAAGTGTCTTTGAATGGAGCTGTCAGCATATACATCTTGCAGCTGTGAACATTCAGACATGTATATGGCTACAGTTAAAGAAATGAGTGCTAAACATTTGTGTAATTGTTGATATATGCATCTAGGTGAAAATCAGCTAGTGGAAAATTTACAGAAATAGTCCAAGCCGAATAGAAAACCAGGGCAGTTTTGTCAGTCATCTGAGTAAGTGCCGTGATTCTCTTACTCTCTTTTGCTCAGGATTCAGTCTGTTGGATGAATTTATAAAAACAAACACCTACCACAAGGAAAAGAAAAACTTGTTGCAATAGCCACAGACTTCCAGACCAGGTAATGAATACATGTCAAAATATTTCACACTGCATTTTATGTGGGTGGAAAAACAAGGAACTTGTATTATTGTTTGTGTTGCTTCATATTACTCTATTTCCTCAGCTGATGGGGCAGACAAAAAGCTCAAGCTTCAACTTGCCAGTCAGGATAAAAATCTTCTCTGATCTTATATTTTGGGTAAATATTCAGTCAACTCAGAATTCAAACTTCATCAGGTTTGAGCCCTTCTCCACTTCATCTCAAAAGCTGCCTCCCAGCCTCATCAAAAAATGGTGTCTGGGTTCAGGAGAAACCTCTGTAAGTTTGTAGAGGTCAGAGTATGACCTGTGTATTTTCTCTCCCTTCATCTTTCTTTTCGCCCTGATGAAACACTGGCAGCTGGCAGAGCTTGGAGGCAGTTCTCCGAGTGAAAGAGATCCTTCCAATTGCTGTCATGGCGCTGCCAGTGGGACCCTCAATTTGGCTCTCCCTGGTCCTATTGCTCATGGATTCTCTCTCTTCTTTCTATTGGTCTCTTGTTTTGGGCATCCCATTTTGCAGTCCTCCAATATGGAGTAACTTCTCTCTCCATCCAAAAGAAAGGTAAGCTAAACAATATCTCCAGCTGTCTTCTAGGAAGGAACTACTGGCTCTCACATCAGATGAGTATAGGATTTACATAAGAGTCAATGACAGATGTTTAGGGTGTTCTCCTGGAATTATTTGTCAGGAGACCTTTCTTTCCCCAGGCAAGGGAAGCTACTTATTCTCTACTTGGATTCCTCTGGCTAGACTTCAGGAGTCTCCTTCTTTTTGAGGTTCTCAGCTTAAAGAACTTAACCTGCCTACATCTCAACTCTCTGGCTTTCCCTCTCCTTCTTCTTATCTTTAGTTCATCCTCCCAAAATCGAATAACCTATTATTTCATCTTTATATCTAGTGAGAACTTTTTTTTAAATTAGATTCTAAATTCTAGGGTACATGAGCACAACGTGTGGGTTTGTTTCATGTGTACACATGTGCCATGTTGGTGTGTTGCACCCATTAACTTGTCATTTACATTAGGTATATCTCCTAATGCTATCCCTCCCCGCTGCCCCCACCCTATGACAGGCCCCAGTGTGTGATGTTCCCCATCCTGTGTCCAAGTGTTCTCATTGTTGGACTTTCTTTATATGTTAATATCTGCACTTCTTTGTCTAATTGCTTACAGAAAAATGCCAGGATTATACTTGCAGGTTTTCCTCTTGGTTTATCAAGAAAAATATTATGGACTTAGAAAGTCTTTTCCTTTGCTGTCAATACTGTGCATGCAAAACTAGACCATCTCTGAAGATTGAGACAGATCCACTTTGCAAGCCCAAAATGGAGTAATGAGATCTTCATTCTAGGCATGGGTGATTTTTTCTGAAGGAATTAGTTATCCTGGCTCAGTGGATGCAATGGGCAGAGTGTCATGAACTAGCGAGAAGAAAATGTATTTTCGTTTACTGTTTCAAATCCACTATAAGCTTTATATTTTAATATGCGTGTATTTTCTATTGAATCCCTGATTTCTCATTTACTGCTAGTTATTAAAGTAAGCTAGTTTATATATTTATAATTAGGAACAGTAGCGATTATAAATTGTAATACCATAAAGGATAGCATGATTTGAGAGCATAAACTGTAAAGATCAGAAGTTGCAGACCAGGGGCAGTTGTTTGTGCCTGTAATCCCAGAACTTTGGGAGGCTGAGGTGGGTGTATCACTTGAGCTCAGGAGTTCAGGACCAGTGTGGGCAACATGGTGAGACCTCATCTCCTCCAAAAAGTACAAAAATTAGTCAGGCATAGTGGTACACACCTGTAGTCCCAGTTACTGGGGATGCTGAGGCAGGAGGATAATTTTAGCTTAGAAGCCACAGGTGGCAGTAAGCCATGATCACACCACTGCACTCCAGTCCAGTCTGGGCGACAGCATGAGACTCTGTCTCAAACAAATTAATTAATTAATTAATTAATTAATTAATAATCAGAAGTTGCCGATTTCTTCCTTGAAGACAATGGGTAGAATCTCTTTACAGCTTATGTTGGGCTCAAGTCCTCATCCCCAAATTCCAGTCTTTATCTAGGCCCTTCCAGCCATTTGCTCTTGGAGACATGTTGTTATTGAGCCAGTCCAGGGTTTGTCAACCTAGGAGAGAAATGAAATATACTCCACCAACAATCACCCATCAAGTCTTGGTAGGAAAGAGAAGAGCAGTGTGGGTCTGTTAACTCTGGAGATCCTAGTTTGTTTCTACATTGGGCCTCATTCTCCACTCTGCTGTGATCCTGGTGTTGCCTTGACCCTCACTTTGCATCCTAGTCCCTGCATTTCTGTTGGGCTAGAATGTTCCTACTCCAGTTCTCTGCACTTTTAGCAGGGTAGGTACTAGGAGGTGGGTTATCAGTAATTGTGGGGGGAAAATAGATGGTGTAACATCACACACTCACATGCTCAACTCCCTCTGGCACTGCCATTGTGCCACAAGACATGTATCTATTGACCCACCCACATAGGCTTAGGAAGGGCTTCTGCTCCCCAAAAGAGCATAAAAGAGCAAAGGTAGCATAAAAGAGACTGAGCTTTGGAATCTTTGGTTCAGATTCCTAGCTGGTCATACACAAGCTGTGTGACCCTGGAAAAATTACTCCATCTGTCAAAATTTCACCTTCCTCATCTACAAAATCTGAATAATTTTCACCTGCCTACATGACAGAATTCATAGGAGTAAATATTGCATGACAAAGTGCCTAGGACATAGTACACTCTCAGTAAATGCTTATTTTTTTCCTTTTTATCTGGAAGCTTACCTGCAAAAAACTATTCTCAGCTGCCCCTTTACCCCTGACCTCAGCTGCATGTTGAGATTCAAAGTGTCTTTCTATGGTACAGATGCTGAAATCCAGAGGCTGACATGCAAATTGGGCTGAATGATATTTGTATTTTTTTCCATGTTTATTTCAATTTCAGTCTCCTTAATGTTCACGGTTTTCAAGGTCAGTGGAAAATCATATTGATTCGTATGACTCTGGATGATTACAGTGTTGACTTCATCACTTGTAGCTGCTTAATGGCTGCAGAATTAACAAAGGAGAAAATAATGTGAACATGGCCAAGGAACAGTGATTAGTGTATGATTGAAAACTTTGATATGTTTGGGGAAAAATCCATCTACTATTTTGTCCTTTAATGCCAGGCAGTTTTGCTCATATGCTTGAGTACAGTGCAATTTCTACCAGTAGAATTTGCTTTTTATTCAGATGGAAAAAATACATGTGTCATAGTAGGATCTGGGAGTTGGAATTTAAAACGTATAATCTAATGAGTGGGTAAAGAGGTAAAGACAAAGACCCAAAGAGAAATGCTTGAGGGTGAATGGAGAGGAGAAAAGGGCAGGAGGAGATGGGGGCCAGGGTGAGGGAGAGAGAGAGAAAGGAAGAGAGCTTAAAAAAGTATTTTTATCTGGTATTGCTTACTGGGAACCAAACTGATTCAACTACTGTGTACCCAGCCTTAATCTTAAGCTTTTGCCTTAATCCAATCCACTGAGACAAAATCACTGATTAGCTTTGAAATATATTTTCTAATTGTATTTCTTCATTGTTTTGCAAACATCTAGGTGTCCTAGCTTCAATGAGAAGCCAAGAATATCTGCCATCACAGCCAAACACTCTTTGTTGTGAATTCCAGTCCTTCTGATATTGTGAGCCTTTCAGATGTTGGGAAAGAGCTTGTTTTGCAACATACTCTGTTGAAATGTTATACACAGCTCATGAAAAATATGCCATTTGATAGACTTCATAAATTCATCTGCTATAATAGCCTCTATGATAAAGGTCAACCATGGAGTATGAGGGCAGTTCCTAATCCCCTCCATTTTCACTCATTTTAATCCTCTCAGAATTAATCCCTAAACTTTGCTGTACTTATGTGAGGAAACACTATGTGCTGCTGAAGCAGAAAGGTTAGAGCTAGAGGAGATTTTTATTATAAAATAAGGCCCAAGAGAAAAGCAATCTTAGTTGAGCTGGATTTTTCTTAAGATAACTTCTTAGTGAGTGATAGGAAGTAAGGGAGCTACCTGGAGTATCCCAGCTGGGGGCTTCATCTCCCTGGATAGTAATTCAGAGATAAAAAACTATAGGTCTATTCTGAAGCTAATAATTCTTTCTTATGGTACCTTCCATGCCCTTTTCCTAATCTCTCTATAATCTCCTCAATTTTGGATAATCCCAAGCGTATTCATCAAGTTTTCAAGAAAAATTACTTAAAAAAAGATTTCTTCTTTATTGTAGGCTCACACTTTATGTCACACACATAGGAATCTACATTTTCTATCCATCAAAGTGAGCTGGGTGGTAGAGAGGAATGGAGGGAAAAAGTACACCTGGTTGTGCTAATCAATTTCAAGCACTTTCCTGTTTTTGCTTTTTGTTTTCCCATGGTGGGAATCCAGAAGCCTTTCTAAAATGATATGAGAAGGCATGATACTGGGAAAATTCCTCAAACATCAGTGTGAGAGTGTTGACTAAGCCCAGGAAGACAGATATTACCTGTTATGGATAGGGGTTCTATGTTTTGCTAATAAGAAATCAGGAGGAAAGATGAAAAAGAAGAAGTGAGGAGGAAAGACAATGCCATAGGAATTGAAGAATAGATGAAGACATTCTTTTTCCTGTATTTTATATTTCTCACATGTAATTTCATTGCACTTAATTCTTCTATTATCTTGAGCATACACAAAGTCTGTGATATCTATTGGAATTATCTATGAAAAGTTTATCTTCTAATTTGAGGTAAAATTTGTTTTCTCAGTCAAAAATAAAGGCAATTTTCTTTCAGTCTCTTTCACAAGTGTCCGGAACAAATCAATATGTTCAACAAATACAATAAATTGCCACAAGCCAATTGGGAATATGTTTGCTCACATTTTCCCAAAGGCAGATGTTCAAAACTAAGCACAATTCTCCATGGAATTTCCACTTGGTAAGAGCTTGACAAATGAAATAAATCCACGTGCTGATAAGAGAAATAAAATGTTTCTTATAGGGAAGCTGTATACACATATGTGTGTATACATATATAAATCCACAAATTTTAACTAAGGTAGTATATTGGCATTGCTTTGCTGTTATTCTAGAGTATTGCAAAATGCAGTGGATTCCCCACATGGCATGTAGCTTACATATTGTTGGGAAAACACACAGGGAGGGCTCTAAAAATTCTTCCTCTAACCTGTTATGACAATAATAATGATGATGTCTAACATTCCTTAAGCACTTGTGATGAGCTTGTATTTAGTAATTAACAGACTCTATAATATTTTCTTATTGATAGAAGCAGTTGTCTTTCTCATTTTTCAAATTAGGATGTTCATAGGACTAATTTCTTTCAAATGATAATTCTAGACAGAGGACTCCAACTTAAGCCAAGAAGACTTTAAGCTAGTAACTAATTTCTATTAGGATATTAGGTAATTAATTCACTAATTCACTCATTCAGTGATGCATCCATTTCTTTAGGTATCTAGAACAGTGTCTGGCACAGAATGGTCACTCAATAAATATTTGTTGCATGAGTGAATGAATGAATGATTGAATGAGTAACTCTCATGTGTAATCAGCTAGGCTTACAGAGATTGGAAAGAAAAGTTGACCCAAATAGGACTGATATCCTCAACTTGCAACTAAATGACAGCAATTGAAGGCAGTTATAGCATATTAAAAGGGAATTCTGGCGAAAAATATAACTTAAGGTGTGATAAAAAAAGGTTAGTGGAAGAGAGAGGATTTGACCCTCAGTATAGAAATCAAGAAGCCAGGAATCACAAAAGGGAATGAGAACAAAGGAAGAAAAAAAATTTGTAAATTCACAATAGGAAGAATTGCAAATAGAAGGCCAGGCCATGGCAAGTGGAAATTGATTGTGTTATCTAAGTGCAGAAAATAGTCCCTCAAAATATATTAGATGAAAACTTTGGAAATTCCCATTAACCCAAGTGTGGTGGGTAGAATAACTCCTCTACCCACCCTAAAGATGTCCATGTTTTAATACTTAAAATCTTTGAATATGTTACTTTATGTGACCAAAGGGACTGTGACTCTGCAGATGTGGTGAAGTCAAGGAACTTGAGAGGTAAAGATTATCTTGAATTATTCAGGTGGGCTTAATATAGTCACAAGCGTTTCTATAATTGAAAGAGGAAGCTTTAGCCTCTTGGAACCCATTTCAGTCTTATGACTGCAAGAACAGTAAGCAGTGCATGTATGTGTTGTTTTAAGCCCAAGTTTATGATAATTTATTACAGCAGCAAGAGGAAACTGATACAATGAGCTAATCTAGAAAGGAAAGCATTGTCTTCTCAATTTCTTTTTTTTTCTTTTCTGAGTAACTTCACTCAGCGTAATAAACACCCTTGGTAGCTCAAGAACATTAAAAGCTGTGTACTGGTTCACATGGACATACCTGAGAAACCTAGCAAAGTGGTGTTTAAGGTATTTAAAATGTTGAAGGTAGCCTCACCCTTTGAATTCAACCTTCACTTGACCTGTGCTACAGCATCCAAATAAAATGATTCAAATGCTTTTCCCACCCTAAGAGCAAAATCATCAGCTCACATGTTTGAAGGAAGATCCACCACTTGTCATCTTTATTCTGGGGAAATACAAATGTGCACACTATTTTTTTTCCAGAAGTTTGGCTATCAGCAAAGCCTCTCAACGAGTTTTCTAAACATATGGAAGGAAACAGTCTGGAATGCACCACTTCTTTACATTGAGTCTGTAAACCTTTGCATTGCCAAACTTTCCCTTCCTCTTTTCACAGAGAAACTGATGAATTTTATCCACAGAAACATAATAGACATTACCTCACAAGACAGCGTGTATTTTCCTTTTTTAAATAAGCTACTTTTGATCACAGCGTGTATTTTCTTATCTTTCTGCAGCATCCGTGATGAACAATGACTGTTAGATCATTATCAGTAATTATGACATTTTCTGAGTTGTATAAAAACTCACTACCAAATGGATAACCTTCAAGGATTCTCCAGAAAACATGCGTTATATACTGGAGGTTTTCTCTTGTTCTTTTTGCTTTTTAAAAGTGAAACATACACAGTTTGATTTTTTGGTGGCTTGACTATGGAAACATCACAGGTTCTTTAGATTTCTGTGAAATGAGGGACATCCAACTGTGTTTCAAACTTAATGAAAAGCTGTCAGGGTTTCTTTCCCCTAATTTCAACCCTGTGTGAACTTGCATATACAAAAAGGTGTATCAGAGTCTATTACTGATTTCAAACTAGGACTTCTGATAGAATAGAAATAGGCGTATCATGACTGAGTTCAACCTTCTTGATCATGGGGCATAAATCAAACCCTAAAATCCAGACAATCTTATTTTTTTTATTTTTATTTTTTTGAGACCGAGTCTCGTTCTGGCTCTGTCGTCCAGGCTGGAGTGCAGTGGCGCGATCTCAGCTCACTGCAAGATCCTCCTCCTTCCTGCCTCAGCCTCCTGAGCAGCTGGGATTACAGGCGGATGCAACAAATCCCGGCTAATTTGTTGTATTTTCAGTAGAGACAGGGTTTCACCATGTTAGCCAGGATGGTCTGGATCCCCTGACCTCGTGGTCCGCCCTCCTCAGCCTCCCAAAGTGCTGGGATTACAGGCGTGAGCAACCGCGTCCGGCCCTGACAGTCTTATCTTTAATTAACTTTACAACCCAAAAGAGATGAGTTAGTTTTGATCTAACAGAATTCCTATTTTCCAAGCCCACAAAGAAATTTTGTCCAGACCTATGTGAGTTTTAATACGTGCTAAAATTTATATTATTTCACTTTTCATAATTGTCCACAAAGACAATCAAGGTAGGATACAGGTGACTGTTTCAAATACAGTGGCTGGTCTTGGCTCACGCCTGTAATCCCAGCATTTTGGGAGGCCAAGGCGGGGGGATCACGAGGTCAGGAGATCGAGACCATCCTGGCTAACACGGTGAAACACCATCTCTACTAAAAATACAAAAAATTAGCCGGGCGTGGAGGCGGGCACCTGTAGTCCCAACTACTGGGGTGGCTGAGGCAGGAGAATGGCATGAACCCGGGAGGCGGAGCTTGCAGTGAGCCGAGATTGCGCCACTGCACTCCAGCCTGGGCAACAGAGCGAGACTCCATCTCAAAAAATAAATAAATAAATAAATAAATAAACAAATAAAAAATAAAATCAGCAGGTATCCACATAATGAAATGAGTTTACCTAGCTTTTATTTGCTCACTTGTTCAACCAATATGATTTAGAATTAAAGACTTAAAGACCTCAAACCTGAACTTTCTTCTTTTTCCTTTTTTTAAAGTGACAGGTCCCACTCTGTCACTCAGGGTGGAGTGCAGTGGCATGATCACAGGTCACAGCAGCTTCAAACTTCTGGGCTCAAGCAATCCTCTGCAAGCAGGTGCAGAGCACCATGCTCAGCTAATTTTTTTTTAAGAGATCAAATTTTACCATGTTGCCAAGGCAGGTCCCAAACTTTTGGGCCAAGCAGTCCTCCCACCTGGCCTTCCAAAGTACTAGATTTACAAATGTGGGCTCCTGAAACCAGCCACAAACCTGAAGTTTCCAAGAAAACATTACTAAAAGTCATGTATTTTTTGGTTAAATAACGACAAAAGAAAGACTAAGTAGGACAACATAGAATAATATCAAGTGCAACTCAGAGATCCAATGTGAAGGGAAAGGCATTAAGAAGAGATGCTTTTCATGGTCTATTAAATGCCTACTAGGGCCCTAGATCATTGGTAGGAGTTCCATGGAAACGACAAGTGAGAAGTCAGAATTGGGGTCGGGGTATTTATGTTGGATAATATCCTAGTATGAGGGGTAAGAACTTACAGGCAAGAAAGTGTCCAGGAAGTAAATGGAATAAAATATTCAGTTCTAGAAAAACCCAGTGGAAAATAAAGTGTTGGGTTGATATATTTTACAGTAGCACGATGAAGTCTGAGCTAATCTGTTATAAGGGAGAGCTAGAAAGGCAAAGTTGTTTTGGGCAAAACAGTTCAGAGAACAGGAGTCAGCTGAGTTTGACAAATCACATGACATTTTAAGATGAGAGAGAATAACAGTGAAATATGGTTTTTAATCTTATATGCAACCATCTTTGAAAATATGATGTGATTGTTCTTGCTTTTTATTTTTATTATCCAGTCCCATGATGTGCAGTCTTTCTCTCAATGTTTTGCTTTGTGATTTTAAGAGGGAAGTGTTTCCATGAGAAACGATAAGCGTCCAATGGACGTGCTAACATCACAGATGATTTTTGTTTGGCTGTAGGTAACAAGGCTCCCACAGTGGGAAAACCAGGGTTAAAATGAAGAATAAATTTATTGCTGGAGAAAAAAAAAGTGCACATCCTGCACATTTATCCCAGAACTCAAAGTATAACAATGTCCAGAATGTGCTGGAGGAGGGAGCGTGTCCTCTTTGGGCAGAGTCTGTGAGATATTTTGATAGGGTGCCTCATGAATTCACCAGGCTAGATCTTGGCTGAAGTTGTGTGCCTAGCAGTAGAGAGGAAACTTTAACACCGTATATTGCTTGCTCTAATCCTCTCATCATAGGAGGAGGGAGAACCAGCTGAAGGAACCTGTCCCCTTCACCTGTCTACTGGCAAAGTTGAGCAATGGCTATGATCATGAGCTAGAAAAGAGCATAGGTTGATCTTTTTGAAGTGGTTATATAAAGTTTTTGTTGGTCTTTCACTATGCATCCTGAAATACCCCCTACTCCCACCACACTCCCAGTGATATGAATGACTACTTCCTATTCCAAGTAGCAATACATATTCTGATTTCTGACTCAGGCTGTCTAAACTTCCATATGAGATCTTTCCTTTGCTGTCCTTGCAATGTTGGGAGGTTCCTGAACTATTCTTTAGGATTATTTGTTCTCATCTCTGAAACAGGGTGGATGGAATGATACCTCTCTCATTGACTCGTTGGGAGAATCAGAATGAAATGGTATGTGAGGAACGATTTGCACAGTGTCTGGTGTTAACAACAAGCACTAACCTGTGCTGGTCATGATGGTTATGACACATCCATGAATTCTAATACTTTGAGCCCTGCTGATGGTGAGGGATAATCTAGGAACTCCTGGAAGGACTATACATTGTTCTGTAATACAGGTGTAGAGGTCTCCTTATGACCTTCAATCATTCACTTGCTTCTCTAGAGCTTCCATTGAGTTTTCTCCTTCCCCCTTCTTCTTGCTTTGTGCCATGGGGGGATGACAAATGTGGGCTATGTCTGTGGATCCTGTGTCTCTGGCTTCAGCATGGTTTGGGCAATGATAAGCCATGTTGTTATAGGAACAACAGATTTATAAACCCACTACACAGTAATGCACCAATGCACAAAAGCAACAGTGTTTGCAGCAGAGAAAGATTTTAATAATCACAGGGTGCTGAGTGAAGAGATGGGAGGGACATTCAGATCCATCTCCTTGGAGATGGATCTTGGCTGAAGCTTTTAAGGGGATCGTGGAAGGCAAGGGGCTAGAACATTGGGGTCATTCATTGGTCAGTGTAAGGGAGATGAAATCATCAGGGTGTGCCAATGGCATTCTTTGGTGAGTCAACTCCTTGCAGGGTCCTTTAGACCAACTGGCATCAGTCATTTTATTATTGTTTGGTATGCAGGATGTGAAAGAATATCTCAAAGGAGAACTTCACTTTTCACAATGCTTAAGTTGTTGTTTATAAAGCAGTTATGGGGAGCTATAATCTAAACTCAGACAATAGATACCAAAGCACTATGAAGAAGCCAGTCGGAGAGCTAGCTGACCTAGGGATTAATGCTAAATATACTGCAAGCTTGCTTTAGTTTGTTTCTACCTCTCCATTTTTCTATGATTATTTTTGTAAAGTTATAGGGATGGTAACACTGGTGGGAAATTCAAGGAAGGGTGGAGAATAAAGATTGGTTTCTCTTTCTCTAGTGTGGTCCCTGTGAGGACGTCTAGGGCTGAGATGACCTCAACAGAGAAGACACCTAGTTATCTTCTAAAGGCTGCTAGAGGCAAACCAAGAAAGACTTCCTGCATGGTTTATGGCCTCCCTACACATGTGTCTAATTAATAAAACAACAGCACGACTCTTTCACAGAAAATCCTAATTTGAATATGCCCTTTGTTTCACTATAGGGCACCATTTTCCTAGCATGCCTTGTAGGCAGACACACTTCCGAGGTGATGAATTCCTGAATTATTCATAGAATGTGGATTTGTGAATGCTAGCATTTCAGGATAAAATGTACCAACCATTTGGTGCAGATAAGTGTATGAGATCTGTTGCACAGTAGGTTGACTATAGTTAATAGTAATGAGTTGTGTATTTCAAAATTGCTAAGACAGGAAATGTCAAATGGTCTTGACACAAAAAAATAAGTATTTGAGGTGATGGGTAGGTTAATACACTTGATTTAATTATTCCATATTATAAACATATATCAAAACATCACATTATACTCCATAAATATATATAATTATAACTTATCAACCAAAACTTTGAAAATTAAATAATTTAGTTAATTGAATAAAAGGCTTTTTAATATGAAAGCATCAGTAGATGTTGAGGTCTGGCCACAGAATCATTTTACTGAGGTGTGTTTTCAGGTTGCACATCAGGTTGATGCTCTGTAAGTACGGTATTATTTTGTTTTTGTTTTTTTGAGTCTCACTGTGTTGTCCAGGCTGGAGTGCAATGGTGCAATCTCCAGTAACTGCAACCTCCAACTCCTAGGTTCAAGCAATTCTCCTGTCTCAGCCACATGAGTGGCTGGGATTACAGACATCCATCACCATGCTTGGCTAATTTTTGAGACAGAGTTTCACCATGTTGGCCAGGTGGGTCACCAACTACTAACCTCAAGTGATCCACCTACCTTGGCCTTCTAAAGTGCTGGAATCACAGGCATGAGCCACCGCAACTGCCCAAGTATGGTTTTTGAACATGAACATAGTCAGCAACTCCTGACTTTATTATTTATTATTACTTTATTATTATTTGAAGAGGCATAGTCTCTCTGTCTGTCATCCACTGGAGTACAGTGGTGCAGTGATGGCTCACTGCATCCTCCACTGGTCTCAAGTGATCCTCTTACATTTGCCTTCAAATTGGCTGGGACCACAGGTATGCACCACTACACCTGACTAATTTTTTCTATTTTCTGTATAGATGATGTCTCACTATGTTACTCAGGCTGGTTTCAAACTCCTAGCCTGAAGAAATTTTCGTTTCTGGGCCTCCTAAAGAGCTGGGATTACAGGCCACCACACCTAACCTAGCATCCCTCACTTTAAATAAATACATATCAAATGCATAGTAAGAGTCTAGATATCATATGTATAGTCATAAGTCATTTGACTCTAAACCTTTTTTATTTGCATAGATGGTTCACACTCAAAATTTACCATTAATTCCAATTTATGATAGTAAGTTGTATGTCTGGCCACATAAGTATAGCAAACACACTGTTTCTGTATTTAGGTTTGCCATTTATTTATGTATTTATTTATTATACTTTAAGTTGTGGGATATAAGTGCTGAATGTGCAGGTTTGTTACATAGGTATATGCACGTAATGGTGGTTTGCTGCACCCATCAGCCCATCATCTACATTAGGTATTCCTTCTAATACTATCCCTCCCCTATGCCCCCAACCCCCAACAGGCCCCAGTGTGTGATGTTGCCCTCCCTGTGTCTACGTGTTTTCATTGCTCAACTCCCACTTACGAGTGAGAACATGCCGTGTTTGGTTTACTGTTCCTGTGTTAGTTTGCTGAAAATGATGTTTCCCAGCTTCATCCATGTCACTGCAAATGACATGAACTCCCCCTTTTTTATGGCTACATAGTATTCCATGCTGTATATGTGCCACATTTACTTTGTCCAGTTTATCGCTGATTGGCATTTGGGTTGGTTTCAAGTCTTTTCTATTGTGAACAGTGCCGCAATAAACATATGTGTGCATGTGTCTTTATAGTAGAATGATTTTTAATCCTTTAGGTATATACCCAGTAATGAGATTGCTGGGTTAAATCATATTTGTGGTTCTAGATCCTTGAGAATCACCACACTGTCTTCCATGGTGGTCAACTAATTTACACTCCCACCAACAGTGCAAAAACTTTCCTATTTCTCCACATCCTCTTCAGCATCTGTTGTTTCCTGACATTCTAATGATCACCATTCTAAGAGGTGTGAGATGATACCACATTGTGCTTTTGATCTGCATTTCTTCAATGACCAGTGATAATGAACTTTTTCTCATATGTCTGTTGGCTGCATAAATGTCTTATTTTGAGAAGTGCCTGTTCTTATCCTTTGTCCAATCTCTGATGGTGTTGTTTTTTCTTGTAAATTTGCTTAAGTTTCTTATAGATTCCGGATATTAGCCCTTTGTCAGATGGATAGAAAGCAATAATTTTCTCCCATTCTATAAATTTACTGTTCATTCTGATGATAGTTGCTTTAGCTGTGCAGCAGCTCTTTAGTTTAAATAGATTTCATTTGTCAATTTTGGCTTAGTTGCTGTTGCTTTTGGTGTTTTTGTTGTGAAGTTTTGGGCCATGCTTATGTCCTGAATGGTATTGCCTAAGTTTTTTTCTAGAGTTTTTATGGTTTTAGGTTTTATGTTTAAGTCTTTAATCCATCTTGAGTTAATTTTTGTATAAGGATTAAGGAAGGGGTCCAATTTTAATTTTCTGCATATGGCCAGCCAGTTTTCCCAACATCATTTATTTAATAGGGAATTCTTTCCTCATTCCTTGTTATTGTCAGGTTTATCAAAGAACAAATGGTTGTAGATGTGTGGTATTATTTCTGGAACCTCTGTTCTTTTCCATTGGTCTCTTTATCTGTTTTGTATCAGTATCATGCTCTTTTGGTTACTGTATCCTTGAAGTTACATAGCAGAATGCCTCCAGCTTTGTTCTTTTTGCTTAGGATTGTCTTGGGTATATGGGCTCCTTTTTAGGTTCTATATGAAATTTAAAGTAGTTTTTCCTAATTCTGTTAAGAAAGTCAATGTTATATTGATGGGGATAGCATTATATGTATACATTACTTTGGGCACTATGGCCATTTTCACAATATTGATATTTCCTATCCATGAGCATGGAAAGTTTTTCCATTTGTTTATGTCCTTTCTTATTTCCTTGAGCAGTGCTTTGTAGTTCTGCTGGAAGAGGTCCTTCATCTCCCTTGTAAGTTGTATTCCTAGCTATTTCATTCTCTGTAGCAGTTGTGAATGGGAGTTAACTCATGATTTGGCTCTCTTTCTATTATTAGCATATAGGAATGCTTGTGATTTTTGCACATTGATTTTGTATCCTGAGACTTTGCTGAAGTTGCTTATCAGGTTAAGAAGATTTGGGGCTGAGACGATGGGGTTTTCTAAATATACAATCATGTCATCTACAAACAGAGACAATTTGACTTCCTGTTTTCCTATTTGAATACCCTTTATTTCTTTCTCTTTCCTGGTTGCCCTGGCCAGAACTTTCAATACTATGTTGAATAGGAATGGTGAGAGAGGTCATTCTTGTCATGTGCCAGCTTTAAAAGGGAATGCTTCCAGTTTTTACCCATTCGGTATGATATTGGCTATGGGTTTGTTACAAATAGTCCTTATGATTTTGATGTACATTCCATCAATATCTAGTTTATTGAACATTTTTAGCATGAAAGAGATTTAAATTTTATTGAACACCTCTTCCACATTTATTGAAATAATCATGAGTTTTTTGGTCATTGTTTCTGTTTATGTGATGGATTACATTTATTGATTTGTGCATGTTGAACCTGCCTTGCATCCCAGGGATGAAGCCAACTTGATTGTCGTGGATAAGCTTTTTGATTTGCTGCTGGATTCAGTTTGCCAGTATTTTATTGAGAATTTTTCCTTTGATGTTCATCAAATATACTGGCCTGAAATTTCCTTTTTCTATTGTGTCTCTACCAGGTTTTGGTATCAGGATAATGCTGGCCTCATAAAATGAGTTAGGGAGGATTCTTGTTGTCTATTGCTTGGAATAGTTTCAGAGGGAATAGTCCTAGCTTCTCTTTGTACCTCTCATAGAATTTGGCTGTTAATATGTCTGGACCTGGGCTTTTTTTATATCTGGTAGGCTATTACTTACTGCCTCAATTTCAAAATTTGTTATTGGTCTACTCAGGGATTCAACTTCTTCCTGGTTTAGTCTTTGGAGGGTGCATGTGTCCAGGAATTTATCCATTTCTTCTAGATTTTTAGTTTATTTGTGTAGAGTTATTTTTAGTATTCTCTGACGGTATTTCTGTGGGATCAGTGGTGACATCTTTATCATTTATTAGTGTGTCTATTTCATTCTTCTTTCTTTTCTTCTTTATTAGTCTGTTTAGTGGTCTATAAATTTTATTAATATTTTCAAAAAACCAGCTCCTGGATTCGTTGGTTTATTGAATGGTTTTTTCTGTCTCTATCTACTTCTGCTAATCTTAGTTATTTCTTGTCTTCTGCTAGCTTTTTAATTTTCTTGCTATTGCTTCTCTAGTTCTTATATTTGTGATATTAGGGTGTTGATTTTAGATCTTTTCTACTTTCTCCTGTGGGCTTATAATGCTATAAATTTCCCTCTAAATGCTGCTTTAGCTATGGCCCAGAGATCCTGGTACATTTTGTCTTTGTTCTCATTTGTTTCAAATAGCTTGTTTATTTCTGCCTTAATTTTGTTATTTATCCAGTGGTCATTCAGGAGCAGGTTGTTCAGTTTCCATGTAGTCATGCAGTATTGAGTAAGTTTCTTAATCCTGAGTTTTAATTTGATGGCACTGTGGTCTGAGAGACTGTTTGTTATGACTTTCCTTAATTGAATTTGCTATGGAGTGTTTCACTTCCAGTTATGTGGTCAATTTTAGAATAAGTGTGATGTGTTGCTAAGAATGTATATTCTGTCAATTTTGGTTGGAGAGTTCTGTACATATCTATTAGGTTTTCTTCATCCAGAGCTCAAGTCCTGAATATCCTTGTTAATTTTCTTTCTCATTGTTCTGTCTAATATGACAGATAGGTGTTATTGTCTTCCACTATTATTGTATGGGGGTCTAAGTATCTTTGTAGGTCTCTAAGAACTTGCTATATGAATCTGGGTTCCCTTGTATAGGGTGCGTACATACTTAAGATTGTTAGCTCTTTTTGTTACATTGATCCTTTTACCATTATTTAATGCCATTCTTTCTTTTTATTGATCTTTGTTGGTTTAAAGTCTGTTATATCAGAGACAAGGATTGCATCTTCTGCTTTTTTTGGCTTTGCTTGGTAAATATTTCTCCATCCCTTTATTTTGAGCCTATATGTGTCTTTGCACATGAGATGGGTCTCTTGAATACAGCACACAAGTGGATCTTGACTCTATTTAATTTGCCAGTCTATGTCTTTTAATTGAGGCAGTTAGCCCATTTACATTTAATGTTAATATTATTATGTGTGAATTTGTCCCAGTCATTATGATACTAGCTGGTTATTTTGCCATATAGTACATGCAGTTTCTTCCTAGTGTCAATGGTCTTTACATTTTGGTATGTTTTAGCTGTGGCTGGTACTGGTTTTTACTTTCCACAGTTATTACTTCCTTCAGGAGCTCTTGTAAGGTAGGACTGGTGGTGGCAAAGTCTCTCAGCATTTGGTTATCTGTAAATGATTTTAGTTTTCCTCCTCTTATGAAGCTAAATTTGGCTGGATATGAAATCCTGGGTTGAAAATTCTTTTATTTAAGGCTGTTGAATATTGTACTCCACTTATTGGCTTGTAGGGTTTCTCCTAAGAGCTCTTCTGTTGGTCTGTGGGCTTGTCTTTGTGAGTAACGTGGCCTTTCTTTTGGCTGCCCTTAACATTTCTTTTCTTTCATTTTGAAAGGTGAAGCCTGGTGGGCTTCTGGGTCAGGTGGGGACTTGGAGAACTTTTATTTCTGGCTAAAGGATTGTAAATGCACCAATCAGCCCTCTGTGTCTAACTAAATGTTTGTAAATGCACCAATTAGCACTCTATCAAAATGGACCAATCAGCTCTCTTTAAAATGAACCAATCAGCAGTATGTGGGTGGGGCCAAATAAGGGAATAAAAGCTGGCTGCCTGAGCTAGCAGCAGCAATCTGCTTGGGTCCTCTTCCATACCGTGGAAGCTTTGTTCTTTCACTCTTCGCAGTAAATCTTGCTGCTGCTCATTCTTTGGGTCCACACTGCCTTTAAGAGCTGTAACGCTCACCGCGAAGGTATGCAGCTTCACTCCTGCAGCCAGTGAGACCACGAACCCACCAGGAGGAATGAACAACTCTGGATGTGCTGCCTTCATGAGCTGTAACACTCACCACAAGTGTCGTCAGCTTCATTCTTGAAGTCAGCGAGACCAAGAACCCACTGGAAGGAATTAATTCCAGACACAATTTCAACCTTCGTGAATCTGATGATTTTGTATCTTTGGGTTGCTCTTTTGAGGAGTATTTTTGTGGTGTTCTCTGTATTTCCTGAATTTGAATGCTGGCCTGTCTTTCTAGGTTGGGGAAGGTCTCCTGGATAATATCCTAAAGAGTGTTTTTCAACTTGGTTCTATTCTCCCCATCACTTTCAGGTTCACCAGTCAAACATATGTTTTGTCTTTTCACATAGTTCTGTATTTCATGGAGGCTTTCTTCATTCCTTTTTATTCTTTTTCAAGATTAGATTTGCTATTTAGTTCAGAACATTTAACTTTAAAATTTCACACAAATGGAAAAAAAGAAATTCTTTAATTTCTCCCAGCAACTGCAGGGAAAACCACACATTATTTCTGGGTTTTAAACACCACCATGAACACCACTGTATTTCTTTTCATCACAGAGGATTATTATTGATGGTGGCCCTTCTGCTGGAAATAAAAATTGTCTTCTGGTTATTTCACAGTAGCCCATGATATTAGATGTCAGTTTGGATGCTGGAATGATTGCTGATAGCTCTCTCATTCTAGCATGAGGGACAAGACAGTAGCAGTGCTGCCTTCTGTGTCTAAACTGAGCTCAATTCAGGGATCTCCTTTGAAACACTTTCTGTTAGTTCTGTTGGCCCATGGAAGAATCTACTAATATGGGTCTTTCCAGAGAACACAGATACATTACTATAGTTCATTGACAGGAAATTATCTTGGATGCAGTGAGTCTCCCAGGGCAATTTCAGAACACAAGAGTCTATTCTGAATTTACCCTTCCCTTGACCTTTCATCAGTTTGTTGAAACATCTTTATTTCCCTCAGATTTGGATAAATTAAATAACCTAGTGACAGCACTGGAGAAAACTTCTGGAAATGCAGGCAATAAAGTGTCAAATGCAAGCAGTCATCAATAGAACCAGCCATCCACCCCCAGCTTGATGCATCTAAGAGCACTGTATGTAGTTTTTGCATGTATTTAATAATATTTTTTTCCGATGTTTATCGAGGCTCCACCAATGGTAAGAAATGCCTTGGAGACTGCAGCTTTGATATTCTGCAGTTGTATTTAAGGATAACATAATATATAAATGGTATATTCCATATTAAAAGGTCTCCTTGAGTTCCATCAGACATTTTTTCAGAAGAAATAGAAGGCAGAAAAATGTTAGATGAGGAAGTTATGTGGGTGACAAGAGGCTTTCTTAGCTCTTCGTTGTTGTCTGCGAAAGAATTCCACCTAAATTAATACTGTTAAATGGATTTTCCTTTCCATTAACAGACACACTGTTAATGTAGCCTTGATAATCAAGGCACTCAAAACTGTAAGACTCTAATTACTTCTTGTTTGAAAAGGCTAATAAATGTTCTGTATTCATATTTAGAATAAAAGATTGGATTTGCACATTTTATCTTACCATTAATATAGCACAAATAAACATTTTCATTCTTTATAAATCTATGTATCAGCCCAGTTTTAGCTACTGACCTTGACTATAAGTTAATGGCTTTTAATATGTAGCATGCCAGCGTGGATTGCAAAGCTTTTTATTCCTTAGGAAAGAGTGTTTGTGAAGGAGTGGTGGGGATGGATGATGTATTAATTATCTTTTGTTGCACAACAAATAGTCAAAGAGTTAGTAACTTAAATCGTCTTTCTTTCTTTCTTTCACGGCTTCTTCAATGAAGGTGTCAGTAAGTAGTGCTCTCAAACTGAACACTTGGATGGGGAAGAAGCTGATTTCAATCTCCATTGAATTGATGGCAGAAATCATTTCCTGGTGACTGAAAAGTTCTTGGCAACTTGCACCTTCAAAGCCAGGAAGCTTGGAGATGCTGACTTCGGGGTAGTTCCAGGCCCTAATTCATTTTTTATTTTATTTTATTTTATTTTATTTTATTTTATTTTATTTTATTTTATTTTATTTTATTTTATTTTATTTTATTTTATTTTTATTTTATTATTTTTTGAGACAGAGTCTCACTCTTTTGCCCAGGTTGGAGGTCAGTGACACAACCACAGCTCACTGCAGCCTTGATTTCCTTGACTTTCTGCCTCAGTCTCCTGAGTAGTTGGGATTACAGTTGTGAGCCACCAAACCCAGCCAATTTTTGTATTTTTTGTGGAGATGAGGTTTCACTATGTTGCCTAGGCTTGTTTCAAACTCTTAGGCTCAAGCAATCCACCCACCTGCCTCTACCTCCCAAAGTGCTGGGATTAAAGATGTGAGACATCATGCCTGGCCAGGTCAGGATGGCACAAAGGCAGAGAGAGGCAGGCAGAATATGGAAGGCCCTATTTGTTTGAAGACATCTATGGAATCATGAAAACTTGAGATTTGGAGAGGATGGTCTTAAAGGGAATAGGATTAGATTTTAGGGTTAAGTCCAGACTCACTAGGGTATGATGGGAGACCTGGCTACATAAAATTGAGATCTCCAAGCATTCCACACTCCAGGTAGGACAAAAACGATGATAGAATAAATCTTTCCACATCCTCAATCCCTAAAAGACTGCAAGTTGTTTTGATGCAAAGTAGAGAGAGGTTAAATTACATTTCATAGTTCCCCCAAATCTGTAATGCAGTATTGGTCAATTCAGCACAGTTAATCTCAATAGACAAATAACAAAAACACTCAACCAAGAATGTTATCAGAGAAATACTTTAAGGCCTTGTATAATAAGAGGACATATGGAAAATTTTAAAAAAATATTTTTCTTTATTTTGAAACAAATTTTTCTTTAAAAGTTTTTGTAAAAGATGCCACGCATATCATGCAGTAACTAATTGAATGAATTCAAACATGATCTACTTTCAACCCCATTTTAAAAACAATCCTTTCTAATAGACAGTATATTTTATTTCACATCATTTTGATTCAAGAAGTCAAAAAAGTAATTAATTTCATATGAAAATAGAAATGTATACTATGAAAACTTAGGTGATAAATAAAGGTTTTCAGAATGATACTAATATGTCAAATCAACACTTGAATTCCTGAGAAAAATTTACTTTGTTAGGTTGCATTGTCGTTTTAATACACTGCTGGAAGTATTTACTAAATTTTGCTCTGTTTCTTTTCCTGTCTTTTTATTATTATTATTATACTTTAAGTTCTGGGGTACATGTGCAGAACGTGCAGGTTTGTTACATAGGTATACATGAGCCATGGTGGTTTGCTGCACTCATCAACCCGTGATGTACATTAGGTATTTCTCCTAATGCTATGCCTCCTATCCTCTCCCTTAACCCCCTACCCCCCAACAGACCTCAGTGTGTGATGTTTCCCTCTTTGTGTCCATGTGTTTTCACTGCTCAACTCCCTCTTATGAGTGAGAACATGTGGTATTTGGTTTTCTGTTCTTGTGTTCTGTCTTTTCTGAGAATGATGGTTTCCAGCTTCATCCATGTCGCTGCAAAAGACATGAACTCATCCTTTTTTATGGCTGCATAGTATTTCATGCTTTATATGTGCCACATTTTCTTTATCCTATCTATCACTCCAGGGCATTTGGGTTGGTTCCAAGTCTTTGCTATTGTGAAAAGTGCTGCATAAACCTACGTGTGCACGTGTCTTTATAGTAGCATGATTTATAATCCTGTGGGTACATACCCAGTAATGGGATGTCTGGGTCAAATGGTATTTCTAGTTCTACATCCTTGAGGAATCACCACACTGTCTTCCACAATGGTTGAACTAATTTACACTCCCACCAACTGTAAATGTGTAAAAGCTTTCCTATTTCTCCACTTTCTGTCCAGTATCTGTTGTTTTCTGACTTTTTAATGATCACTATTCTAACTGGAGTGAGATGGTATCTAATTTTGGTTTTGATTTGCATTTCTGTAATGACCAGTGATGATGAGCATTTTTTCACATATTTGTTGGGTGCATAAATGTCTTCTTCTGAGAAGTCTGTGTTCATATCCTTCGCCATTTGTTGACGGGGTTGTTTGTTTTCTTGTAAATTGTTTAAGTTATTTGTATATTCTGTTCATCAGGAATACTAGCTTGAAATTTAATTTTTTTGTTATCTCTCTGCCAGGTTTTGGTACTAGGATGATGCTGACCTCATAAAATGAGTTACGAAGGATTCCTTCTCTTTCTATTGTTTGGAATAGTTTCAGAAGGAGAGGTACCTGCTCCCCTTTGTACCTCTGGTAGAATTAGGCTCCGAATATGTCTAGACCCGCAATTTTATTGGTTGGTAGGTTACTAATTGCTGCATTAATTTCAGAACTTGTTATTGGTCCATTCAAGGATTCGACTTCTTCCTGGTTTAGTCTTGGGAGGATGCATGTGACCAGGAACTTATCCTTTTCTTCTAGGTTGTCTATTTTATTTATGCAGTGGTATTTATAGTATTATCTGATGGTAGTTTGTATTTCTGTTGGATTGGTGGTGATAACCACTTTATCATATTTTTTATTGCATCTATTTGATTCTTCTCTTTTCTTCTTCCTTATTAGCCTGGCTTGAAGTCCATCCATTTTGTTGATCTTTTCAAAAAAAAAAAAAAACACCTCCTGGATTCATTGATTTTTTTGAAGGGTGTTTTGTTTCTCTGTCTCCTTCAGGTCTTCTCTGATTTAGTTATTTGTTGCCATGTGCTGGCTTTGAATTTGTTTGCTTCTGCTTCTCTGTTTCTTTCTTTCTTTTTTTTTTTTTATTATACTTTAAGTTTTAGGGTACATGAGCACAATCTGCCGGTTAGTTACATATGTATACATGTGCCATGCTGGTGTTCTGCAACCACTAACTTGTCATTTAGCATTAGGTATATCTCCTAATGCTATGCCTCTCCCTCCCCCCACCCTACAACAGTCCCCAGAGAGTGATGTTCCCCTTTCTGTGTCCATGTGTTCTCATTGTTCAATTCCCACCTATGAGCTAGAATATGCGGTGTTTGGTTTTTTGTTCTTGTGACAGTTTACTGAGAATGATGATTTCCAATTTCATCCATGTCCCTACAAAGGACATGAACTCATCATTGTTTATGGCTGCATAGTATTCCATGGTGTATATGTGCCACATTTTCTTAATCCAGTCTATTATTATTGGACATTTGGGTTGGTTCTAAGTCTTTGCTATTGTGAATAGTGCCGCAATAAACATACGTGTGCATGTGTCTTTATAGCAGCATGATTTATAGTCCTTTGGGTATATACCCAGTAATGTGATGGCTGGGTCAAATGGTATTTCCAGTTCTAGATCCCTGAGGAATCGCCACACTGACTTCCACAATGGTTGAACTAGTTTACAGTCCCACCAACAGTGTAAAGCTGTTCCTATTTCTCCACATCCTCTCCAGTACCTGTTGTTTCCTGACTTTTCAATGATTGCTATTCTAACTGGTGTGAGATGGTATCTCATTGTGGTTTTGATTTTCATTTCTCTGATGGCCAGTGATTGTGAGCATTTTTTCATGTGTTTTTTGGCTGCATAAATGTCTTTTGAGAAGTGTCTGTTCATATCCTTCACCCACTTTTTGATGGGGTTGTTTGTTTTTTTCTTGTAAATGTGTTTGATTTCATCATAGATTCTGGATATTAGCCCTTTGTCAGATGAGTAGGTTGCAAAAATTTTCTCCCATTTTGTAGGTTGCCTGTTCACTGTGATGGTAGTTTTGTTTGCTGTGCAGAAGCTCTTCAGTTGAATTAGATCCCATTTGTCAATTTTGGCTTTTGTTGCCATTGCTTTTGGTGTTTTAGACATGAAGTCCTTGCCCATGCCTATGTCCTGAATGGTAATGCCTAGGTTTTCTTCTAGGATTTTTATGGTTTTAGTTCTAACATGTAAGTCTTTAATCCATCTTGAATTAATTTTGTATAAGGGGTAAGGAAGGGATCCAGTTTCAGCTTTCTACATATGGCTAGCCAGTTTTCCCAGCACCATTTATTAAATAGGGAATCCTTTCCCCATTTCTGTTTTTCTCAGGTTTGTCAAAGATCAGATAGTTGTAGATAAGCAGCACTATTTCTGAGGGCTCTGTTCTGTTCCATTGATCTATATCTCTGTTTTGGTACCAGTAGCATGCTGTTTTGGTTACTGTAGCCTTGTAGTATAGTTTGAAGTTAGGTAGCATGATGCCTCCAGCTTTGTTCTTTTGGCTTAGGATTCACTTGGTGATGCGGGCTCTTTTTTGGTTCCATACTAACTTTAAAGTAGCTTTTTCCAATTCTGTGAAGAAAGTCATTGGTAGCTTGATAGGGATGAAATTGAATCTATAAATTACCTTGGGCAGTATGGCCATTTTCATGACAGTGATTCTTCCTACCCATGAGCATGGAATGTTCTCCGTTTCTTTTAACTGTGATGTTATGGTGTCAATTTTAAATCTTTCCAGCTCTCTCTTGTGGGCATTTATTGCTATAAATTTCCCTCTACACACTGCTTTAATTGTGTCCCAAAACTTTTGATACATCTTGTCTTTTTTCTCATTGTTTTCAAAGAACATCTTTATTTCTGACTTCATTTCATTATTTACTTAGTAATCATTCAGGAGCAGGTTGTTCCGTTTCCATGCTGTTGTGTGGTTTTAAGTGAGTTTCATAATCCTGGGTTCTAATTTGATTGCACTGTGGTCTGAGAAACTCTTTGTTATGATTTCCATTATTTTGCACTTGCTGAGGAGTGTTTTACTTCCAATTTTATGATCAATTTGAGAATAAGTGTGATATGGTGCTGAGAAGAATGTATATTCTGTTGATTTGGCATGGAGAGTTCTATAGATGTCTATTAGCTCTGCTTTGTCAAGAGCTGAGTTCAGGCATTGGATGTCCTTTTTAGTTTTTTGTTTTGTTGATCTGTCTAATATTGACAGTGGGGTGTTAAAGTCTCCCACTATTATTGTGTGGGAGTCTAAGTTTCTTTCTAGGTCTCTAAATATCTGCTTTAGGAATCTGGGTGCTCCTGTGTTGGGTGCATATACATTTAGGACTGTTAGCTATTCTTGTTGCATTGATGCCTTTACCATTATGTAATGGCCTTCTTTGTCTTTTTTGATCTTTCTTGGTTTAAAGTCAGTTTTATCAGAGATTAAGATTGCAACTCCTGATGAATATCAATATGGAATTCTTCAATAAAATACTGTCAAACTGAACACAGCAGCATAATAAAACACTTATCCACCACAGTCAAGTCAGCTTCATTCCTGGGATGCAAGGCTGGTTCAACATACATCAACAAATAAATGTAATCCATCCCATAAACAGAACCAATGACAAAAACTGCATTATTTCAATAGATGTAGAAAAGACCTTAAATAAAATTCAACAGCCCTTCATACTAAAAGCTCTCAATAATCTAGGTATTGATGGAATGTATCTCAAAATAATAAGAGCCTTTTAAGACTAACTCACAGCCAATATCATACTGAATGGGGAAAAACTGGAAGCATTCCCTTTGAAACTCAGCATGAGACAAGGATGCCCTCTCTCACCACTCCTATTCAACATAGTTTTTGGAAGTTCTAGCCACAGCAGTCAGGCAAAAAAAAAAAAAAAAAAAGAAGAAAGAAAGGGTATTCAAATACAAAAACAGGATGTCAAATTGTCTCTGTTTGCAGATGACATGATTGTATATTTAGAACACTCCCTTGTCTCAGCCCAAAATCTCCTTAAGCTGATAAGCAACTTCAGTAAAGTCTCAGGATACAAAATCAATGTGCAAAAATCACAAGCATTTTTGTACCCCAATTATAGAGAAACAGAGAGCCAAATCATGAGTTCACCTCCATTCACAATTGCTACAATGAGGTTAAAATAATTAGGAATTCAACTTACAAGGGAGGTTAAGGACCTCTTCAAGGAGAACTATGAAGCACTTCTCAAGGATATAAGAGAGGACACAAACAAATGGAAAAATATTCCATACTCATGGATGGGAAGGATAAATATTGTGAACATGGCCACAATGCCCAAAGTAATCTATAGGTTCAATGCTATCACCATCAAACTACCACTGACTTTATTTACAGAAATAGAAAAAACTACTTTAAATTTTATATGTAATGAAAAAAGATCCCATATAGCCAAGAAAATCCTAAGCGAAAAGAACAAAGCTGCAGGCATAACGCTACCTGACTTCAAACTATACTACAAGCCTACGGTAACTGAAACAACATGGTACCTGTACCAAAACAGATATATAGACCAATGGAACAGGACAGAGGCCTCAGAAATAATAATACAAAACTACAACCACCTGATCTTTGACAAACGTGACAAAAACAAGCAATGGGGAAAGGATTCCTTATTTAATAAATGGTGTTTGGAAAACAGGACATTCATATGCAGAAAATTGAACCTGGACCCTTTCCTCACACTGTATACAAAAGTCAACTCAAGATGAATGAAAGACTTAAATGTAAGACCTAAAACTATAAACACCCTAGAAGAAAATCTAGACAATACCATTCAGGACATAGGCATGGGCAAAGAGTTCATGACTGAAACATCAAAAGCAATTGCACAAAAAGCCAACATTGATAAATGGGATATAACTAAAGTAAAAGCTTCTGCACAGCAAAAGAAACTATCATCAGAGTGAATAGGCAACCTACAGTATGGGAGAAAATTTTTGCAATCTCTCCATCTGACAAAGGTGTAATAGTCAGCATCTAGAAGGAACTTATTTACAAATTTATAAACAAATTTACAAGAAAAAAACTAACAATCCCTCAAAAAGTAAGTGAAGGATATGAACTGACACTTCTCAAAAGAAGACATTTATGTGGCCAACAAACATGAGAAAAAGCTCGTCATCACTGGTCATTAGAGAAATGCCAAGCAAAACCACAATTAGATACCATCTTATGCTAGTAAGAATGACGATCATTAAAAAGTGAGGAAACAACAGATGTTGGAGAAGATATGGAGAAACAGGAACACTTTTACATGGTTGGTGGGAGTGTAAATTAGTTCAACAATTGTGGAAGACACCGTGTTGATTCCTTAGGGATATAGAACCAGAAATATCATTTGACCCAGCAATTACATTACTGGGTATATATCCAAAGGATTACAAATCATTCTGCTGTAAAGACACATGCACACTTATGTTTATTGCAGCACTATTCACAATAACAAAGACTTGTAACCAACCCAAATGCCCATTAATAACAGACTGAATAAAGAAGAATAGAGTGAATAAAGCATAAAGAATAAGTATTTCATACACAGTATGCAATACTATGCAGCCATAAAAAATGAGTTCATGTCCTTTGCAGGGACATGGATGAAGCTAGAAACTGTCATTCTCAGCAAACTAACACAGGAACTGAAAACCAAACATCACATATTCTCATTCATAAGTGGGAGTTGAACAGTGAAAACTCATAGACACAGGATGGGGAATACCATACACTAGGGCCTGTCTAGGGGTGGGGGGTAATGGGAGGGATAGCATTAGCCAAAAAACCTAGTGTAGATGATGGGTTAATGGGTGCAGCAAACTACCATGGCACGTGTATACCTATTTAACAAACCTGCACGTTCTGCACATGTACCCCAGAACTTAAATTGTAATGAATTAAAAAAAGTAGGGGCAAAACTAATTTAAAGTCTAAGAAAAGGTGAGGGCAGGTGGAAAGTATTCCTAATATTCTTGATGATCACATAGTGCATAATAATCTGTAAATCTAATTTAACTTTGGAGATTTATCAAACAGGTAATGACATTCTTCTATGTATCAGGCTTAATGGCCGCCTTCTCAAACATATTATGTGCTTATTCAGCAGACTAATGTGCTATTTCCATCTTCAAAAATGGAGAAAGAAATTGTGAGTGATACTATTAATTAGCACAAATAGGTTTGACTTTACTGGTAACATATTTGGAAAACAATGAGGACAAATAAATGAGAAACTAAGGAATGAAAAAAAAAAAGATTAGAAATAACACTAGTAACTAAAACCAGAAAAAAATTACTAACCACTCTGATATATTTGGGACATATCTTCACCCAAATCTTGAATTGTAGCTTTTATAATTTCCAAATGTCAGAGGAGAGACCCAGTGGGAGGTAACTGACTCATGGGGCTGGGTCTTTCCAATGATGTTCTTGTGATAACCAATAAGTCTTATAAGACCTGTGGGTTTTATAAAAGGGAGTTCCCCTGCACATGCTTTCTCTCTCTTGCCTGCTGCCATATAAGATGTAACTTTGCTCCTTTTTTTTTGCTTTCCACAATGATCGTCAGGCCTTTCCACCCACGTGGAACTATGAGTCCATTAAACTTATTTTGCTTTATGAATTACCCAGTCTTGGGTATGTCTTTATTAGCGGCATGAGAACAGACCAATACCCACCTAAAACGCAATAATCTAAAAAACGTTGATAGAATACAAACTATATTATGATTTCAGGCATGTATAATTAAATCTCATTTTATAGATATACAAGGAAAATGGTATACAAAGAATGGTGACTGTTGAATAATATGCTGTTCATTACCATTAACTATTTAAGTCTCAGGTTCACATTCCAGTGCAGATATAACCCACTGGAAGACAAATTACTGAGATTAAAATTCATTCTTTCCCTTGCCTTACAAAAATAAAGAAGGAATTGGACTCAATTGTACCTTGAACATTTAATGACAAATATTAATAACAAGTTTTATTTTAACAGGCAGTAATCCATCTAGAAATAGGAACACTGATAAAGAACATGAGGATGGGCACAGTGGCTCATGCCTATAATCTCAGCACTTTGGGAGGACAAGTTGGAAGGATCACCTGAGCCCAGGAGTTACAGTCAGCCTGGACAACATAGTGTGACCTCATCTCTAAAAAAACAAAACAAAACAAAACAAAACAAAAACATAAGCATGTTGGCACATGCCTGTAAGTTCCAAATACTTTAGAGACTGAGGTGGGAGAATTGTTTGAGTAAGGAGTTTGAGGCTGCAGTGAGCCATGATAGTACCACTGCACTCCAGCCTGGGTGACAGTGAGACCCTGACTCTCAGAAAAACACACACACACACAACATGAATTATGGAAACAAAATAAAATGAGAGCATGCCTGAGGACTTGAAGGAAGTCTTCGGAGATCTATGATTATCCATCAAGATAAAGTGTGCTATCAACCAGCATTCAATGAACCTTCAGAAAGCGTCAGATTTAAACAGTGTTTGACGATGGAGAGAAAATCAGTATGAGATGTTGGAAAAGGGTTAGGAGTGTCAAGAATGACAGCAACGCACATGCTATCTAAAGGAGATGAGAGATAGAATGTACAAACCCAGGAAAGAGAGGTAAGATATTGGAACGGTTGGTTACATCTTTGGCAGGAAAACTGAAGGCGAAGAGGGAAATTCCATTCCTCGGGCATAAGACCTCTTACTGTATCTCTTGCTTACATATCGTCTGGGGATTGTGTTGGATTTAGACTCAGTAGATGAGGGTTGGGCCTGAGACCCTCCCTGTGCTGACACTGCTGGTCTGTGGACCACAGTTTGAGGAGCAAGTCATCAGGACACTCTCCTACAGTGAGAGGTGATGCTGCAATATTGATCCCTGAAGCCATGTGGATGGCTGATTGGCTCCCCTGCTCCTTGCCAGAAGCAACCATATTTATGGGCACTAGTGAGGCATAAAATGTGTGCACTGTATGCACTGGGGCAAAAAAAAAAAAAGGATTGGTATTCATACTCTCATACCATGTTATGTGTAGGATATTGGGAAATTTACAAGTTGAGGAAGAAACAAGAAGGGGAAAAAAAGAAAACCTCAAAAAACAAACAAACAAAAAACAAAGAATGGAGATGCCATTACAACTATTTAGAAAATTAAAAGATGCATAATTTTGAAAGGAAAGGCTGTTTGTTTACTATGAACTCATGTGTCCTAAGATGGTAGCTCCTCCTTGAAACTTATTCTGTTTATTTAGTTGACCATATTTTAGCATGTATTGTTCACATTTTCCTTAGCTTCTAACCTGTCACCTTGTTGTGCTTAAGGTGCAGAGTGGAAGTTCAGTTAAAGTTATTGAAGTAAATATGATTGGCAGAATTTTGGCCTCCATGACTTTTGGCCCTTTGTGTTCCTTCCATGGTTATGTGATGTTGCATGGCAAAAGAGAGTATACAGATATCATTATCATCAGTTGACCTTAAAAGAGGGAGATTTTTCTGGTTTACTAGGGTGGGACCAATGTAATCAGGAGTCCTCAATAGCTGAGAATTTTGCTGGCTCAGGAGGAAGAGATGTGGCAGCAGAGATGTCCTACTGAGACCTCAGTCCTAGAACTGCAAGGAACAAACAAAATTCTTCCAAGACCTAAATGAACCGGGAAGCATATTCTCCTCCAGAGCCTCCAGATAAGAACCCAGACTGCTTAACAACTTAATTTTAGCCTTGTGAGGAACTTCCAAGCGAAGCCCACTCCATATTCTGACCTATACAAGGGTGAGATGATAAATTAGCATCATCTTCAGTTGCCTATTTCATGGAAGTTTATTATAACAGCAATAGAACATGAATATGGAGGCCAGGCACAGTGGTACATGCCTGTAATCCCAACACTTTGGGAGGCTTAGGTGGGCAGATTACTTGAGGTCATGTGTTGGAGATGAGCCTGCCCAACACTGTGAAATCCCTTCCTACGAAAAATACAAAAATTAGCCGGACATGGCGGCGGGTGCCTGCAATCCCAGCTACTCAGGAGGCTGAGGCAGGAGAATCACTTGAACCTGGGAGGTGGAGGTTGCTGTGAGTTGAGATTTTGCCATTGCACTACAGGCTGGGTTACATAGCGAAACTCTTTCTCAAAGAAAAAAAAAAATGAATATGGTGAGCACCAGAAAGTGCAGGACTTGTGATAGAATTCTAGGAGTTGCTTGCACAGCTGGATAACGTTTTGAAGTAGGAAAGGGAACACATGATTTCAATGGAGCAAGTAAAAGATGTGAGGAGAGAAAATGAGCCTCGAGAGGAAAGGAAGAAAGCCAGGATTCCAGCTGGTGTTGAGTCCATGGAAGGAGAAAAGGATAAAGAAGTTGGAGGGGAACAAAAGGGGGAGAGAGAGCTGCAGAGGGACAGTGGATGTGTGGATCTGCAGGTCTCCTGTAAGCTGTGAGAGCCTGGTTTGTCAGGTAGTGCTAAGGTAAAGAAGATTCAAGCATGAGCTACTGTGTAGGAAGTGAGATGTGAAGATAGGCAGTCATGGCAGGTTCCACTCTTGTTTCCTTTAGAATGGTGTGAAAGTTCCAATATAGAGTGAATGGCACATCTGAGGAAGCCAGGGAAAGGGGTCGTTTTTTGAGAATAAGAGAAGCTTGCTTCTGAATTTAGACTGTGGAAAAGCTTCTGCAAAGTGGGCTTTGAAGATGCAAGACAGAGTGGAGTAAATGGGTAGAAAAAGACAGTGGAGGAAGCCTGGGAAGGGATCAAGGCATTCTGCTGTTGTTTCTTCTGACTCATTTATTCCATTTTAGTCCATGACAAAACAGACAATGGCCTGACCCACCGTCTGCTTTATAAGGCTGATATCAAAATAATCCTTTTATTTTTTTTTCTTTTATTGAGACAGGGCTTTACTCTGTTTTCCAGGTTGGAGTGCAGTGGTGTGATGTTGTATCACTGAAGCCTCTACCTCCTGAGCGCAAGCAATCCTCCCACCTCAGCCTCCCAAGTAGCTGTAACTACAGGCATGCAACACCAAGCCCAGCAAATTTTTAAATTTTTTTTGTAGACTCCAGGTCTCACTATATTGCCCAGGCTGGTCTTGAACTCCTGGGCTGAAGCAATCCTCCAGCTTCAGCCAATCAAAGTGCAGACATTACAGGAGTGAGCTACAGTGCCCAATCCCTTTAGTCTTAAATAGTTATCTTCAAGGAATTAAATTGACCATCTTTTACAATGTATTGACCACACCTCCTCTGCTTGCAAGCCTCTGGGTCAAGACTCTCAGTCCTTCTTTCTAAGATTCCCTCTTCATTGCTATTGCCCTGATTTCTGTTTGTGTTCTGCCCAGATAACCCCTTCACATCTCATTGTCATCCATACATACTCTTCAAAAATGTCAACAGAATTTGGAGACTTTGTGCTTACTACTTTCTCTGTGTTGGAGGAAAGACACATTGCTCAGTCTTTATTTTCTTCAATTCTCTTCTCAAACATCCCCTTATTAGAGAAGCTTTCCTTAAATACTCTTTATACAATGGCAATCCCAAATTCCAGCTTATTATTCCTTCTCTAATATCTATCTATCTATCTATCTATCTATCTATCTATCTATCTATCATCTATATCTACTCTCTGCATATCATCTATCACCTATATTATTATCTATAATCTGTCTACCTAATATCTATCCATCCCACCTTATTTGTTCTATCAATCTATCTAATCTAATCTATCTAATCTATCCATCCATCCATCTTATTTTTCCTATTTCCTTCCTTTCTTCCTATCTATTCATCTTATCTGTCCTATTTATTTCCTTCCTTCCTTCCTCCTTCCTTCCTTCCTTCTTTCCTTCCCTCCTCTCTCTCTCTTTCTTTCTCCCTCTGTTTCTTTCTCTTTCTTTCTTTCTTTTCTTTCTTTCTTTCTTTCTTTCTTTCTTTCTTTCTTTCTTTCTTTCTCTTTCTTTCTCTTTCTTTCTTTCTTTCTCTTTCTTTCTTTCTTTCGTTCTTTCTTTCTTTCTTTCTTTCTTTCTTTCTTTCTTTCTCTTTCTTTCTTTCCTTTTTCTTTTTTCTCATTTATCCTGTTATCTACCTATCTTCTATTTATCTATCATCTATCCTATCTATCTACCTATCTTCTATTTATCAACATCTATCTATCTTCCATTTATTGATCACCTATCTTATCTATCTTCTACATTCAATATGAATACATGGGAGTAGGACTTTGTTTCATGTTCTCAGTGGCTAGAATAGCACATAGCATATAGTAGACATTCAAAAATGTTTGTTGCAGAGTGAATGACATTTATTGGTCTACCCAGCGTGGAGTCCTGGAAGTAACATGAATTCAGAGAGAAAATACATAAAATTGTTAATCTTCTGTGCACTGGGTTTCTATCATAATGCATAGATGCTAATATGGTTTGAATATTTGTATCCTCCCAAAATTCCTATGTTGAAACCCTCATTGCCAGGGTGATGGTATTAGGAGGTGGGGCTTTGGGAGTTAATAAGCTCATAAGGGTGGAGCCCTCCTGGATGGGATTAATGCACTTATAAAAGGGACCCCAGAGAGGCCTCTCACTCCTTCCACCATGTGAGGATGCAGAGAGAAGGTGCCATCTAAAAAACAGGAACTGAGTCATTTCCAGACAGTAAATCTACCACACATTGATCGTGGACTTCCAGCATCCAAGACTGTGTGAAATACATTTCTGTTGTTTATAAGACACCCAGTTTATGGTATTTTGTTACATCAGCCTGAAAAAACTAGTTTTTCATATTTTCATCTTTGCTTTTACAGCAAAACTGAGTTTATACATTATTAAGAATAATATAATATCAACTACCAATCTTGTAAGAAGTTTTATTCTTACCAAACTGTTTTTATTATTGTTTTTGAAACCATACCCCCATCTCCCTTGAGTGTTGGTAATTATTAGATGTCAAATAGTTAACATACTTACATAATATTTAAGATATATGTATTATGGAATAATATTTTCTAATTCATTTTCCATCAAGAAAATGGAGGAAAGCTAAGAATAACAGAATTTTATTCACACAATGAATGTATAAAATCATGAAATATGTTTACCTCTTGAAATATACCACTTTGCTTAGAATAGCCTCAGAAGGAATGGTACCAGCTCTTCTTTGTACCTCTGGTAGAATTCAGCTGTAAATGCATCTGGTCCTGGACCTTTTTGGGTTGGTAGGCGATTAATTATTGCCTCAATTTCAGAACCTGTTATTGGTCTATTCAGAGATTCAACTCCTTCCTGGTTTAGTCTTGAGAGGTTGTATGTGTCCAGGAATTTATCCATTTCTTCTGGATTTTCTAATTTATTTTCATAGAGGTGTTTATAGTATTCTCTGATGGTAGTTTGTATTTCTGTGGAATTGGTGGTGTTATCTCTTTTATCATTTTTATTGCATCTATTAGATTGTTCCATCTTTTCTTCTTTGTTAGTCTGGTTAGCGGTCTATTTTGTTGATCTTTTCAAAAAACCAGCTCCTGGATTCACTGATTTATTGAAGGACTTTTATGTCTCTATCTCCTTCAGTTCTGCTCTGATCTTAGTTATTTGTTGCCTTTTGCTAGCTTTTGAATTTGTTTGCTCTTGCTTCTCTAGTTATTTTATTTGTGATGTTAGGGTGTCAGTTATAGATCTTTCCTGTTTTCTCTCATGGGCATTTAGTGCTGTAAAGTTCCCTCTACACACTGCTTTAAATGTGTCCCAGAGATTCTGGTATGCTGTGTATTTGTTCTCATTGGTTTCAAAGAACTTACTTATTTCTGCCTTAATTTCCTATTTATCCAGTAGTCATTCAGGAGCAGATTGATCAGTTTCCATGTAGTTGTGCAGTTTTGAGTTAGTTTCTTAATCCTGAATTCTAATTTTATTGCACTGTGGTCTGAGTGACAGTTTGTTGTGATTTCTGTTCCTGTCCATTTGCTGCAGCATCTTTTACTTCCAATTATGTGGCCAGTTTTAGAATAAGTGTGATGTGGTGCTGAGAAGAATGTATATTATGTTGATTTGGGGTAGAGAATTCTGTAGATGTCTATTAGGTCAGCTTGGTCCAGAGTTGAGTTCAAGTCCTGGATATCTTTATTAACTGTCAGTCTCATTGTTCTGTCTAATATTGACAGTGGGGTGTTAAAGTCTCCCACTATTATTGTGTGGGAGTCTAATTCTCTGTGTAAGTCTCTAAGGACTTGCTTTAGAATCTGGGTATTCCAGTGTTGGTTGCATATATATTTAGGATAGTTAGCTATTCTTGTTAAATTGATCCCTTTAACATTATACATTATATAATGGCCTTCTTTAGGAATCTTAGTAGTCCTCCTTAAGAATCCTCCATAACTCACTTTAGGAGGCCAACATTATCCTGATACCAAATCCTGGCCAAGACACAACAACAACACAAAATTTTTAGGCCAATATCCCTGAAGAACATCGATATGAAAATCCTCAATAAAATACTGGGAAACTGAATCCAGCAGCATATCAAAAAGCTTATCCATCACAAATAAGTCAGCTTCATCCCTGGGATGCAAGGCTGGCTCAACATACACAAATCAATAAACATAATTCATCACATAAACAGAACGAATGAGAAAAAACATATTGTTATTTCAATAGATGCAGAAAAGGCTTCGACAAAATTCAACAGCGCTTCATGCTAAAAATTCTCAATAAATTTGGTATTGACGGGATGTATCTCAAAATAATAAGTGTTGTTTATGACAAATCCACAGCCAATATTATACTGAATGCACAAAAACTGGAAACATTCTTTTTGAAAACTGGCAAAAGATGAGGATGCCCTCTCTCACCACTCCTATTCAATGTAGTGTTCTAAGTTCTGGCCAGGGCAATTAGGCAAGAGGAAGAAATAAATGGTATTCAGTTAGGAAAAGAGGATGTCACATTGGCTCTGTTTGCAGATGACATGATTGTATATTTAGAAAACCTCATTGTCTCAGCCCAAAATCTCCTTAAGCTGATAAGCAACTTCAGCAAAGTCTCAGGATACAAAGTCAATGTGAAAAAATCACAAGCATTTTTATGCACCAATTATAGAGAAACAGAGAGCCAAATCATGAGTGAACTCTCATTTACAATTAATAAAAAGAGAATAAAATACCTAGGCCTCAAACTTACAAGTGATATGAAGGACTTCCTAAAGGAGAACTACAAACCACTGCTCAATGAAATGAAAGAGGACACAAAAAAATGGAAGAACATTCCATGTTCATGGATAGGAAGAATGAATATTGTGAAAATGGCCATAATACCCAAGGTAATTTATAGATTCTATGCAATCCATCTCAAGCTACTATTGACTTTCTTCACAGAACTGGAAAAAAAAAAGTACTTTAAAGTTTATTTGGAACCAAAACAAGAGCCTGCATACACAGGACAATCCTAAGCAAAAAGAACAAAGCTGTGGGCATCACACTACCTGACTTCAAACGATATTACAAGGCTACAGTAACCAAAACAGCATGGTGCTTGTACCAAAACATATATATAGACCCATGGAACAAAACAGAGGCCTCAGAAATAATACCACACATCTACAACCACCTGATCTTTGACAAACCTGACAAAATCAAGAAATGGGGAAATGATTCACTATTTAATAAATGGTGCTGGAAAACTGGCTAGCCATATGTAGAAAGCTGAGACTGATCCCTTCCTTACACCTTATACAAAAATTAACTCAAGATGGATTAAAGACTTAAATGTAAGACATGTAACTAGAAAAATCCTAGAAGAAAACCTATGCAATACCTTTCAGGAAATAGGCATGGGCAAAGATTTCATGACTAAAATGCCAAAAGCCAAAATAGATGAATGGGGTCTAAATAAACTAAATAGCTTCTGCACAGCAAAATAAATTATCATCGGAGTGAACAGGCAACCTACAGAATGGGAGAAAATTTTTGGAATCTACACATCTGATGAAGGGCTTAATATCCAGAATTCACAAATAACTTAAACAAATGTACAATAAAAAAACAAACGACTCCCTCAAAAAGTGGGCAAAGGATATGAATAGACACTTCTCAAAAGAAGATATTTATGCAGCCAACAGACATATGAAAAAACACCCAGCATCACTGGTCATCAGAGAAATGCAAATCAAAACCCCAATGGGATATCATCTCAAAACAACAAATGCTGGAGAGGATGTGGAGAGATAGGAACACTTTTCCACTGTTGGTGGGAGTTTAAATTAGTTCAACCATTGTGGAAGACAGTGTGGTGATTCCTCAAGGATCTAGAACTAGAAATATCATTTGATTCAGCAATCCCATTACTGGCTGTATACCCAGAGGATTATAAATCATGCTACTATAAAAGATGCATGCACACATACATTTACTGTTGCACTATTCACAGTAGCAGGATAGCAGTCTTGGAACCAACCCAATGTCCATCAGTGACAGACTAGATTAAGAAAATGTGGCACATATACATCATGAATACTATGCAGCCATGAAAAAGGATGGGTTCATGTCCTTTGTGGGGACTTGGATGAAGCTGGAACCATCATTCTCAGAACCTTCACACAAGGACAGAAAACCAAACACCGCATGTTCTCACTTATATGTGGGAGTTGAACAATGAAAACACATAGACACAGCATGGGGAGCATCACACACGAAGGCCTGCTGGGGATTGTGGGGCTGAGGGAGGGATAGCATTAGGAGAAACACCTAATATGAATGATGAGTTGATGGGTGCAGCAAACCAATATGGCACATGTATACCTAGGTAACAAAGCTGCACATTCTGCACTTGTACCCTAGAACTTAAAGTATAATAATAAAAAAAGAGAAATATACCACTTTGCAAATAAAGGTAGGGCCCTATCTATTCACTATAGCCATTGAAAACCTGTAAGAGCAAAGTAAAATCTTCTTAAATTCTCAGGGCAACAAGATTAATTAGAACTAAGAAAGATAATTGAGTAGCTTTAGATTTGCATATGCAAGATCTTTTTTAATCTTATAAAAGTGTATTTTACATAACATTAATTATAGAACATATATATTCAGAAATGCATACAATTAAGAAAAAAATCAGACATGATGGAAGGACATAAACATAATGACTGAAGAAAGGCTGAGAGCTAGAGAAACATTTCACAAGTTGCTAAGTCTTTGAAATTATAATATTTCAATGAGGCAAAACTGAAAAGTTGTTTAAGTGTTCTTTCTTCCTGTCTAAACATGTACTTGGCTTGTACTTTCACAAAACAAGACATGCTAGAAACCATAAGGCAAAAATACACATAATTTTAGACAGGGCCACTAGACTGAGTCTGAGTCATTAGAGGACATTGGTCTACAAAACCAGGTACAACGTACACTCAGTCATTGTCTAAATTGCATTGGAAAATATGCCAAGTTTATGAGTTTCTAATATTAAATCCTTCGAGTAGATATTTACTTTTCTTTTCCTTCCTTCAGATAGGAATGGCACCCAAGGAGTTTTGACACAGGTTATCACTCTTTACATAAAATGATGATCTATATCAATAAAGTAAGAATAAACATTTAAATCTATCCAATCATAATGTATGAACATTGGTTTTCTAGTTCCTAAAGGCAGAAGCTGGAAGATTCATGCCAACTACTGTCCACATTTCCATGTGTCTATTGTTATTCTATCATATGCACAACTAAAATAAAGACAGTAACTTTCTTTTTCCATTCACATATATATTGTTGTTGTTGTTTCTCTTTAATATCTCTAAAAGTACCTATTTGGTTACCACAGCCATATGCCCTTACATACATGAGAACACCTTGGGCATGTAGCATCAAAAGCCACAACAGAAAATGCTCGTTTTTAAACTAAAGGATTATAAATATCTGGATGATTACCAGGTTGATCTAACTGCATCATCTGGTCAAAATCTCATGATCTAGGCAAAGTGACTGCTGTTTGAATGCCAATAGTTTTATCTCAAAATGCTAACATTTAGAATACAGTTAAACATTGCTTAATATCTTTTGCTAACTATTTCTTTTGAATTTATTTCTTGCTTTTTTTTTAGGTTGTTTCTGCAACAATGCTGAAATTAGATGGTGTTAAGAAAAGAACTTAATTGCTACTATAATTTGAAAAGATTTGGAAACATTTGATGCTGTATTTTTGAAAGACAATTTTATGACATTGAACTAGACAGTCAAGACACAATTTATTCTTTGTAAACTAATCCTGTAATCTCTGTCCAGTTGGGCTCAAATGTACACTGATAGGATCTTGTCCAAATCTGTGTCCTGTGAGACTAATTGGTTCAGCAACCACAGTGGCAAGTCTCCATGCAATTCAGCAGTAAAAACATCCTACTGGAATGGATCTACATGACTCTACATGCCTCTAAGAGGCAAAACACAGGAAGAGGGAAAGGGATGAATCAAAAATAAAAAAGGGAGATTATAAGAAACATCATAAGGCCAGATACTTCTCCGTCTTCCTCTTTTTCCCCTCAATTTCCTTGGGCCATATAATATGCTTTTCTTAAGACAAATATAAATAGATCAACGATGTCAGAAGAAACAGCCTGAGAAAAGAGATAATTACTGTCCGTTTTTCACTGGTGTCTCCCTTGTAAACTTGCTGGTGTTACACCAGAGCATGGTGTACCCTCTGCCCTCCCCAAATGAGGTACATGATCAGGAGCATTATTTGATAAATTTGATTTTGGACATATTTACACCATTATGTCAACATTATTATGTAGAATCACATGAAATTGACAATATTCAGCCATGAAAGTTTTGTATTTCATTCAACACAATATATCTCTTCAAGTTAGTTGAATTAATTCAGAGAAATAAATGTCTGTTCTTACAAAAATGAACTAGGGAACTCAGGGCACCATGATTGCTTAGTAACATTACTTAGTCATGCTAAGAAAAGTTTCCTTTTCCCTTGTGGTATGCATTGTAAATTTCTTCTATATTTCTTCTCTTTCTGTACATGGAGGATTATAATTATGCCCAAACCTTTGGAAGTAGTAGATGTAACTACTTCACTATTCACAATGAAACATGAATGGAAGTGATGCATTTTGCATCTGATTAAATAAAGGTATTTAATCACCTTTACTGGACTCTCTAGCCATCTCCTCACATGATGCCACATGTTGAGATGATGACATTCTATAAGGGTAGAGCAGGTCTCTCTGCCAACCACATTGGATGCCAGCTTACTCAAGAAATAAACTTTTGTTTTAAGCCATTGAGATTTTTGAGTGGTTAGGTACTATAATTAACCCAGATTATTCCCACTTAAAAAAGATCTCTGGGGGAAAAATATGATGGCAGGCAATACTCAATAATACTTACTATTGATGGTAAAAATAGAATCAACATTTGCCAACTTAAAACTTTGAGAGTGTGAATGGCCTTTCCAAAACTTCTGGCCCCAGGAATTCCCACTCACTAGAAATCCTGTTTAGAAACATCTTTTCTGGGGAGGTTGTCAAAACTCCTGACACTGTGAGTTCTAAAGTAGTTAAATCCTTCCCTGCTTAATATTTGGTTAGGAAAAATTTCATTAACACAAACCCTGGAAGGGTAGGGTAAAATTCCTCATAGTAGCGCACAGTCTTTGTTTTGTCTGAGCAATATGGAATTGTAGAAACATCCTAATATCACTAGCAATTAATAATAAATGCACTCAGAAGTGACAATCCAAAGTCAATATATGGAAATGTCATCTTTTTGGAGTGAAGCTATTTTGACAGGCTAAATTCCAATAATATTAAACACAGCTGTGACTTTAGCATATGTGGTGATGACTCAGTTAGGTAAACTTAGGATCATGACCACAGGGAAAAATTAAAAGACAGACATGACAGAAAGAGGAAAGAGTTGATTTCAGTAAAAAAAAAAAAAAAAAAAAAAAAAAAAAAGAAGAAGAAGAAGAAGAAGAAGAAAATGTGAATTTATTCAGAGCATTTATTCTAATAATTTTTGTTTTTTATTTGTCCCCAAGAGACAAAAAATCTTTTCAACCATTATATTTTTAGGTACAATTGTAAACATGGCCTAATCCTCTTTTCAATTTTAAGAAACCCAGTAGACCAAATCTCTGACAACAAACACAATAGCAATAAGTACATGCTGCACAGTTTGGGGTAACATAAAGTGTTTTTGCACAAGACATCCAGAAATGAACATCACTTTGCTCCTATTTCTGGCTGCTCTTTTTAAGCAAGCTGTAGATTTCACAATCGACTTTTGTTCAAGTCTTTGCTTCATGATAATAAAGCTTATTGAAAGCATTTGTTTTGCAGCTCTGTGTTGTCCCAGTCTGATCTGAAATTAAAATAATTGTTATTAAAATTGAACAAAAGAAAAGAAATGTCATGAGATGAATTACAATTGTTTAGTATGGACAATTAACCTGATTTTCATTTTCAAAAAATGTGATTTTGCCCAAAGAAAACTATTTGCTTCTTGGAAAAGAAATAATAGTTGGAAATGCTTGAGTTATTCATGTCACATTTAGACAGAAAAGTTTCGATCATTTAAAGTGTTTGTTATGGTGTTTTATATATATATATGTTAAAATTTTTATTATGATGCAGGCAGAACTTGTCTTCTCTATCATTCCCCTTCATTTGGCTCTCCAGTGTCTGTGCCTTAAGTTCTGCCCCTAAATAGTTCAGGGGTTCCTAAAAGCCATGTTTTCATTCCCTGAAATCTTCCTTTTTCTTAATTCACAGGTCCATTTAGGGGCTTGTCTCTACCAGGATAGAGATTAGAAATTGCTACTCTATCAAACACTCTGTTGATATTAGGATACTATGGCTTCTCCCCAGTATAGTTTCCCCAAAGTCAGATTTTGAGGATTTATTTTATTTTTTATAGAGATTGAGTCTTGCTCTGTCACTCAGGCTGGAGTTCAGTGGCATGATCATAGCTTATTGCAGCCTCCAACTGCTGAGCCCAGGCACTCCTCCCACCTCAGCTTCCTGAGTAGCTACGACTACAGGTGCATGCCACCACATCTGGCTAGTTTTTATTTTTTGTATAGATGGGGTTTTTCCACATTGACTAGGCTAGTCTTGAACTCCTGGCCTCAAGGGATTCTCCTGCCTTGGCCTCTCAAAGTGCTGGGAATAGAGTCATAAGCCAACATGCTGGGCCTTAGAGTTTTCAGATTTAATACAAATTCTACCTTGTCACAAGGAACTCTAGGAGAGCAATATCTCTGGAGAGTGATATTCAACCAGTCTTCTTCCCTGGCCTTGAAAGGGGACTTTTGTGAGCAGGGGAGCAGTGAAAAAATATTTATGAAAGGTGTTTTCCTTGGCTTAAAGGAATTTCTCTGGAGGCCTAGGCCCTGCTCTGTTTCACCGTGAAGGTAGAGACTGGAACCAGGAGATAAAAAATTAGAGAAGGACTTCGGTACAAGGGCCATGGAAAATAGCATATTCTTTGGAATGTTGCTTTTTGCTTTCCAGCCAGTGTGTGTAGGTACTACATGAGGTCAGTCTAGGAGGCAGAGCCCTGACACCTTGCAATAGATATGCAAAACGCCTGCACCTTTAGTGCCCTGAAGCCCTCTTATGTTGCATGCATGTCACATGCTCATGCTTACAAGTAATTATTAAGTGCTTTTACTTAGCCAATATGGGCACATCGTATAACTCCAACTCACTTCAAAGGAAAGTTTATTACAATCACCTATCTCCTCCATCTTGCTTTGTTTACTTAAAATGTCATGTGTTTGTTGGTCAGCTTCACAAGACAAGCTCTCTTTCTGATGTCCTAAGTCAGCTCTCTAAATGTCTCATGCTCCCTCTTTCATGCGCGTTTGTGTAAAAAGACCACCAAACAGGCTTTGTGTGAGCAATAAAGCTTTTAATCACCTGAGTGAAGGCGGGCTGAGTTCAAAAAGAGAGTCAGTGAAGGGAGATGGGGTGGGGCCATTTTATAAGATTTGGGTAGGTAAAGGAAAATTACAGTCAAAGGGAGTTTGTTCTCTGGCAGGCAGGAGTGGGGATCACAAGGTGCTCAGTGGGGGAGATTTGTGAGCCAGGATGAGCCAGGAAAAGGACTTTCACAAGGTAATGTCATCACTTAAGGCAAGGATCAGACATTTTCATTTCTTTTGTGGTGGAATATCATCAGTTAAGGCAAGGACCAGACCGGCCATTTACACTTCTTTTGTGGTGCAATGTCATCAGTTAAGGCGAGGCAGGGCATATTCACTTCTTTTGTGATTCTTCAGTTACTTCAAGCCATCTGGACATATATGTGCAAGTCACAGGGGATATGATGGCTTGGCTTGGGCTTAGAGGCCTGACACCCCCCTCCTCCTTGGTTTCTGTAAAGGAGAATGCTGCTGCTTTTTATAGAAGTAATTTCCCTGAGCATCTGATAAAAGTCAAATGCTAACATGATTCTATAAAACTGCATAGTAACAAAATTATTATCACCTAGTCATTTTTCTTTTCTTCCAGATATACATTAATCAGTACATTAGCAGTTGCAATTTAATAAAGACAAAATATAAAGTCTATTTGAGATCATAGACTTTGAGGTCAAGTGTATTTTGATACCAATGAATATGCTTGAAATCTGAAGTGACTTAACTTGCAGCTTGTTTCAAGAGCTCTTGTATCATTATCAAATCGTAACCCAGAAATCTGTCTTTAACCGCACCCACCATCCTCACTAAAGTGACTGAGGTGTGTGTCTACATGGAATAATACCAATATGACTTCATTTTGAGGGAAATGGCTGACCCACCTTGTCTTATCCATGGTGGATTAGTAGTCCCTCAATAGGAAGGAGAGAACAAAATCAGCCTGGTTACACAGGACCATGAAATACACATTTATAATTATGCAAATTCATCTATTGTTGACAGAAATTGCAACATTGATTTGTTGCTGTTTGACTTTGCATTTGAATACTTGCAAACAAATTCCTTTCTTATTATACCTACTTTTTTCCTGCACTTCCTCCTAAATCTTTCAAACTAATTGCTTTGCATATCCTATAATCTGAGATCAGAGAGTAACTCAAGTACAAATTGCCCCACTTCTCAGGAAAAGTGCACTGCTCTATAGTTGAAGCCATTTCAATTCTTTTGCAAACATATTCTGAATAATTTTTAGTCTAGTTTTATTTATTGCTGGGACCAGCTCCTCTCTTTAAGTGCCTCCCTGTGAACACAGCTTGACAAGGGTTAATTTGCAAGAACAAAATGTACACAGACCTGCAGAGTGTGTGTGTGTGTGTGTGTGTTTGTGTGTGTGTGGTGGAGAGGAACATTGGCTACTCTCCTTAATGAGAATGGAAGCTAAGCTTTAAATAAAGTTTTATGGGTCCTTAGAATTGGACAAATGCATCCATAGGGAGTGAAAGGGACTGAACAAGTGACAGAGCCTTTCCTGTGTGTTATGGGCTGAATTGTGTCACCCCCCAGCCCTCACCACTGACCAATATTTAAATGTTGGAGACCTATCCCTCACGGCCCCATATTGTGACTTTATTTGGAGATATGGCCTTTAAATAGATAATTAAATTAAAATGATGTCATTAGGGTGGACCCTGAATCAATAGGACTGGTGTTTTTATTAAAAAAAGGAGATGAGGACACAGACACACACAGAGGGATGACCCTGTGAGGTCACAGGGGGAGATGGCTTCTACAAGTGAAGAGGAGAGGACTCAGGGGGAACCAATCATGCTCACACTTCCAGGATGATGAGAGAATATATGTCTGTGGTTTATAAGCCACCAGTCTATGGTATTCTGTTTCAGTCACATGAAATGAACTAAGACATCTCACAAGAAGAGATGAGGACACAGCCACACACAGAGGATGACCCTGTGAGGACAGAGGGAAAAGATGCCATCTCCAACCCATGAGAGAGGCCTCAGGGCAAACCAGCCCTGCCCACACATTGGTGTCTGACTTCTAGCCTCCAGGACTGTGAGAGAATACATTTAAGCTGTCCAGTCTGCTGTCCTTTGTTATAATAACAAGAACAAACTAATATACTATAAAAGGACACTGTGTTGGGGTGCAAGTTGCCAAGGGAGGAGAGTGTGTTTAGGTGTAGCTGTCTTTCAAGGACAGATCAAGAGACCTAACTCATACCTGCCTTTGATGATGCAAAGATGTGGATTTTTGGTAATTACAAAATGATACCCTCAGGTGTGGCAGTAAATAGTATTATGGTTGACCAGAGATTTGCATGCCCCAGTCTCCAGAACCTGTGCAGTTGTTACATCCCACAGCCAAAGGGACTTTGCAGATGTGATTAAATTTGCAGACTTTAAAATAGTGAGATTATCCTGGTTTATCAGAATGGGCCCAGTTTAACCACTCAATCTTTTTAACATCTAAGAAGAGTTCATTTGAGAGATGTCATGGAAGAAGAAAAGCAAGGAACATGTGCGTCATTGCTGGTTCTGAGATATAGCCGGCTACATGCATGCATGGTCTTAGAGATGACTCTAGGAGCAGAAGGCAGTCACCACTGACAGCCAGAAAGACAAACAGGGACCTTAGTCCTACTGCAATGAACCAGATTGTGTCAACAACCTTAATGAGCCTGGAAATGGATTTTTCACAGAGTCCCCACATAAGAACCCAGCCCAGCTGACACCTTGATTTTACCATGGTTAGACTCTAAGTAGACAACTTCATGGAGCCACCAGGAATTCTGACTTACAGATTGGAGAACAAATAAATGGGTATTGTTTTAAGCTGCAGAATCTGTGGATATTAGCTACAGCAGCAATAGGAAACTAATATTGGTGTATTTTACAAATATTTTTGGTCTGTACTGATAACCTCAAGTGATTTTTACCCTGACTGTATGAAGTATGGTCTGTGGACCAGCAGCCTAGACATCACTTGGGAGCTGTTTATAAATGCAGAAGCTCACCCCACCCTAGACCTCTTGCATCAGAATCTGCGTTTGGGTAAGATGCCCAGGTAACTTTTGAGCACACCCAACAACTACCTCTATTCATTCAGAGATCTAAGCAGGATGAGGTACTATGTTTTTTGTTTAGCAACATCATGAGAGGTTAGCAAAATTACTTAAATAAAATAAAGAAAATACACAATGGCCAAATATGTGAAAGAATGTTGAACACAACTAATCTTCAGGGAAATGCAAATCGTAGCCACAATGAGGTACCATCTTACTCCAGTTAGGATGGCTATTCTCAAGAGGACAAAAATCAACAATGGTGGTGAGGATGTGCAGAAAAGGAACACTTAAATACTGTTAGAGGGAATGTAAATTAGTATCGCCACTATGGAAAGCTGAATGGAGGTTTCTTAAATAACTACAAACAGAACTATTATATGATAGTTGTGTGGCAGTCCCACCACTGGGCATTTGTCCAAAGGGAAGGAAAGGAAATCAGTTTATGGAAGAGACATCTGCACCCCTGTGTTTATTAGCTGTTCATAATAGCCAACAGTAGATGAAGAAATAAAGAAATTCACTATATGCACACAACAGAGTACTATACAGCTATAAAAACAATTAAATCTTGTCATGAGCACCTCTGTGGGTGGAACTGGCACACATTATGTTAAGGGAAATAACTCTGAAACAGAATGTTAAATAACTTATGTTCTCACTCATATGTGAAAGCTGAAAATGATGCTGATCTAATAGACTTAAAAAGTATAACAGAGGATACTAGATGCTGGGAAGGGAAGGGAAAAGGAAGGGATAGGTAGAGATTTGTTCAACGATACAAAATTACAGCTAGATAAGAGGAATAGTTCTAGTGTTCTCTACCTGTATAGGACGACTGTAGTTAACAATAATATATTACACTGTTTCAAGTAGCTGGAAGGAGGATACTAAATATTCCCAACACAAAGAAATGATTAATATTTGAAATAATGGATGTGCTAATAACCCTGATATGATCACTATACATTACATGTATCAAAACATTACTATGTACCCATTAGTATATACTATTATTATGTATCAATTAAAATATAAAGACTTTTTTGGATAAATCTCTTAAATCTCTTAGCTCTACCACATAATATATCATTTTTCATTATCTTTATGCATTTGAAGCTTTTTATGTTTTATTTATTTATTTTAAATAGCGTCTTAGTCTGTCGCCCAGGCTGGAGTGCATTGGCATGATCTCGGCTTACTGCAACCTCTGCCTCCCAGGTTCAAGTGTTCTCCTTCCTCAGCCTCCCTAGTAGTTGAGGTTACAGGCATGCACCACCATACCTGGCTAATTTTTGTATTTTTAGTAGAGAAGGGGTTTCACCATGTTGGTCAGGCTAGTCTAAAACTCTTGACCTCAAGAAATCACCCACCTCGGCCTTCCAAAATGCTGGTTTTACAGGGCTGAGCCACCTCACACAACCTGAATCTTTTCAAATGAATGTTATTTTCATAACCTGTTTTGTTGATGGCAAAGATTCTGTTAATGTGATATTGACAGGGAATTTCCTGGGAGTCAAAGTTACTTTAACAGGTATCTTGGCATTTTCCATTCCAAACTCTTTTCTCCATTAATGCTAATCCAGGCTGGGCAGGCAGCCACTGTTCTGGAGAAGTTAGACCAAGATCAGAAGCTAGGGAGTGTTCAACATTCATAAAACTGCCTTAAAATCCTGTTTTTCATCCTGTAAGCCTCAACTCTTCTTGAATTCCGTAACCCTATCCCTTCCATCAGCTGCTAGTGTCTATGATCCTCTGAATCCAGCCATGCCTTCCTCTCTTACTTTGCCAATGCTTTAAGCCTTGACTGGTACAATTCCCCTTGACAACTGCTCCAGGGAATTAGTGGACCTGTTAATAAACAATGTTCCACTTCTCTAATCCGGGTCCTCTCAGCCTCATAAAACTGTTTATGATGTATTCTAACTCAGATCCTTGGTTTTACCAGGAGCAATATTCTCAGCTCTATTTTTATCGTATGCAAGGTAAATATCAGCATGACTAAAAAAATTATTTTTGTTTTCATTCACTGGCACGCTAAGTAGGCAGTTTACTTATCAACCAATTTTTGAAGCACCTTGATTGTAAAAGATTAAGCAGAAATGCTGCCTGGTCTGGCTTCTCAAGAGATATGTTATCTAGAGTCAAACTCAGATAGATATCTGAAAAAAAGCAAATTGAACGTAGCTCAAAGAATAAGTCTGATGACTAATCTAGATGGATTTGGGAATCACTGACTAAACAAAACTTCCTCTAATAGCTTAAGAATATTCATTTGATATGAAATTATCATATATGAAATTATCATGTATATATCATATCTCACTAAATGAAATTATCATTTAGTGTAAACTGCTTGCTGATTTTTTTATGGTGAACCTATTGAGTGTTGCTTAAATCTTCACATCTAAAAATATCCACCAGTAGTAATTAAACTGCTGTTATGATAAAGACAACCATGCTGTGGTACAGTTCATGTTCTGTGTATGATGATTTAACTACATGAACAGGTACACAGGATGTAGCTTGTTGAAAGCTACAATGGATGCATTTAATAAAGTCTATTACTGAAATGTGTGCTTTTCACTGGTCATGGGTAGAATGCACAGTCATTTGGGAAATATAAATCATACAAAAATCAAAAATAAAAATATGCATAATTTGTATTCATTAATATATACCATTAAAGAAGTGATGCAGCCAATTAGAGAGTTGAAAATAGTTTCACATATCTGATGACTGACTGAATATATAAAGAACTTCTATAAGTCAATATCAAAAAGATGTAGAAAAGCAAATAGAAAGGTGAGAAGGAATCAGATCTTTCAAAAGTGACTATTTAGAAAACCAATGAACATATTCAAAGCATCTCAAACTTACCAGCCATCAGGGATATGCAAATTGAAACCACTGTGTGATACCACTACACAACCTTCAGAATTTGCTAAAATCAAAAAGATAAACATCAAATATTAGTGAAGACATGGAATTAATAGAAATTTCATACTTGATGGGTGAAAGTATAAATTGGTCATTTTAGAAAACTGTTGGGCAGTATTTAAATATTGCAGAATGTATTCATGTTTTATGGGCCAACATTTCCAATCCTAAAAATCTGTACATTTGTTCACCATCAGAATGGAAATCACTGTTTTCGGCAGCACTATTTATAATCATGTCAAATAGGACTCATGCCCTAACCACCATAAGATTTGAACCATCTCTTTCAGCCATAGACTAAGAAAACATTGAAGAAGTCTTGAATTTAAAAAAGTTTTTTGGAGTAGATAATGAAGCATGAGTTAAATTTCATCCTTGATTTGGTCTGAGTTTGCTTCTGCTCAAGCTAGCATGGTGCACATTTCTTTATGTTAACATGCCTCCAAGCACCCTGCATTTACCTGTGTTTCTGGTCATTTATTGGTGTATTTCCTGGTACTCACCCAGTGCCCAGCACAGAATACATGCCTGTGGAACTTCGTATGTAGTTATCAGCCAGCAAGAAACAAATAAATACATAAAATGATTTCTCAGACAGTAGAAGCATTTCCTGGTATTATTTTTTCCTTTGGAGTTTATTCAAAGCATTGTCTCAAAATGTTTAAAGGAGATTTTATTACGAGAGAGTATCTGTTATGTGATGTCTCTAACACTTATGTCAGCTAACTGGATTTCGTTACTGAGAAAAGATGAATGGATTTTGAGAATAAGCCTTGACGTTCTCTCATATCCTATTAAAAGACATTGCTAACTTGTGGCTAGGCATGGTGTCTCATGCCTGTAATCCTAGCACTTTGGGAGGTTGAGGTGGGCAGATCACTTGAGGTCATAAGTATGAGACCAGCCTGGCCAAGATGATGAAATTCTGTCTCTAGTAAAATTACAAAAATTATCTGGGTGTGGTGGCACACACCTGTAATCCCAGATACTCAGAAGGCTGAGGCCTGAGAATCACTTGAACCCAGGAGACAGAGGTTGCAGTGATCCAAGATTGCACGACTGCACTCAGCCTGGGTGACACAGCAGGACTCTGTCTCAAAAAAGAAGAAAAAAAGAGGTTGCTAACTTGTGGTAAGTCACTCCCCAATAGGGAACTCCTTGTCTGTTATCTCAGACCTCTGCTTACTTCTAAGAGGACAAGGGGAGGACTCTTATCTCTGAAAACTTTTGGTATGCCACACAGTTTGGTAAGTAAGCCAGCCCTCTGAAGAGTGGAGATTATATTGATTATTGTTTATTTAATAGTAATGCTGTAATATTAATTAAAAAATCCTTGTGCTGTGTCCTCTGGAGATGTGTAATTCCTATCCCTGGCATAAAATTGTCATTTTAAAAGATAATCTTGGCATGAAATCTTTGAGTTTTATTGAAGGGTATTATCACAAAGATAGGGAATGATAATATACTCTTTGTAACTGACTGAGCCCTTGTACTTGAACTTTAAGTCTCTTCACCCATCCTCTTCTGTGATATGATAGGTAGAGTCCATTGTCTTTCATCCTTGAAAATGCATTTCAAGAGGTTACATGAAAGGGAAAACTCTTTGTTATTCTCTTTTTCTAATCTGAATAGAAAGCACACAGAAGTAACTTTCTGGAAATTTTGAAGTTAGGCAAGTGTGTGTTCAACAATATCAAATTATTATAATTCTGGGATATTTACCATGAGGTTAATAATGCTATGATTGTTGATGAGGTTCATAGATGGCAAATATTAAATAATTTTATTTTTAGTCTTAATATTTGAAAGTTAGCTAACCTTCTTATCAAGAATTCTGTATCCTGAGACTTTACTAAAGTTGCTTATCAGCTTAAGGAGATTTGGGGCTGAGAAGATGGGATTTTCTAAATATACAATCATGTCATCTGCAAAGAGGGACAATTTGACTTCCTCTTTTCCTAATTGAATACCCTTTATTTCTTTTTCCTGCCTGATTGCTCTGGCCAGAATTTCCAACACTATGTTGAATAGGAGTGGTGAGAGAGGGCATCCCAGTTTTGTGCCAGTTTTCAAAAGGAATGCTTTCAGTTTTTGCTCATTCAGTATGATATTGGCTGTGGGTTTGTCATAGATATCTCTTATTATTTTGAGATACGTCCCTCCAATACCTAATTTATTGAAAGTTTTTATCATGAAGCGCTGTTGAATATTGTCAAAAGCCTTTTCTGCATCTATTGAGACAAGCATGTGTTTTTTGTCTTTGGTCTGTTTATATGCTGGATTAGGTTTATTATTTTCTTATGTTAAACCAGCCTTGCATCCCAGGAATGAAGCTCACTTGATCATGGTGGATAAGGTTTTTGATGTGCTGCTGGATTCGGTTTGCAAGTACTTTATTAAGGATTTTTGTAAAACCATAAAAACCCTAGAAGAAAACCTAGGCAATACCATTCAGTACATAGGCATGGACAAGGACTTCATGTCTAAAACACCAAAAGCAATGGAAGCAAAAGCCAAAATTGACAAATGAGATCTAATTAAGCTAAAGAGCTTCCACACAGCAAAAGAAACTACCATCAGAGTGAACAGACAACCTACAGAATGGGAGAAAATTTTTGCAATCTACTCATCTGACAAAGGGCTAATATCCAGAATCTACAATGAACTCAAACAAATTTACAAGAAAAAAAACACACAACCCCATCAAAAAGTGGGCAAAGTATATGAACAGACACTTCTCAAAATAAGCCATTTATGCAGCCAACAGACACATGAAAAAATGCTCATTATCACTGGCCATCAGAGAAATGCAAATCAAAACCACAATGAGATACCATCATAAAACAGCCAGGAAACAACAGGTGCTGGAGAGAATGTGGAGTAATAGGAACACTTTTACACTATTGGTGGCACTGTAAACTGGTTCAACCACTGTGGAAGACAGTGTGGTGATTCCTCAAGGATCTAGAACTAGAAATACCATTTGACCCAGCCATCCCATTACTGGTTATATACCCGAATGATTATAAGTCAAGCTGCTATAAAGACACATGCACAGGTATGTTTATTGCTGCACTATACACAATAGGAAAGACTTGGAAACAACCCAAATGTCCATCACTTATAGACTGGATTAAGAAAATGTGGCACATGTGCACCATGGTATACTGTGCAGACATAAAAAAGGATGAGTTCATGTCCTTTGTAGGGACATGGATGAAGCTAGAAACCATAATTCTCAGCAAAGTATTGCAGGAACAAAAAATCAAACACCGCATGTTCTCACTCATAGGTGGGAATTGAACAATGAGAACACTTGGACACAGGAAGGGGAACATCACACAACGAGGCCTGTTATGGCATCGGGGAGAGGGGAGGGATAGCATTAGGTGATATACCTAATGTAAATGACGAGTTAATGTGTGCAGCACACCAACATGGCATATGTATACATATGTAACAAACCTGCACGTTGTGCACATGTACCCTAGAACTTAAAGTATAATAAAAATAAATAAATAGAAGACACTCATTTTAGAAAATTAAAAAAATGAATTCTGAAAATAATTTGCATAGACTGTGTTACAGAGCAGCAAGTTAACTGCTACTTCTCTTTTGAAAATTTCTCTTGCACATATTTCTTTCTATGAATGTGCTATAAGTTTCTTTTCATAGAAACAGCATAAGACTTTAGTTACTTAAAATGACCTTGCAAGGAAAAAGAGGCAGCAGAATAGTGACCTGCTTACAATGATAGTCTCCACACCTTAAATGACATGGATGAATATTTATTCCCAAAAGTAGAATTCCATGAAACCCTTAACCCTCTGACACCTATACTCATGAAAAGATCCCATGCCAACAATAATCCAGAAGACAATGGTGACTTTGATTTTATTGCGATTTTATTTTTAACTTTACCTGAATGATCAACTTCTCAGCCACAATCCACTTATAGTGAGATCAAATTAGTTTTTAATGACTAACAACACACCTAACTGGGTGGAAGTGGAGCAAAACAAAGAGTCAGCTCATTGGCTGTGATCCAGAAATCCACTTAAAACATTCATGGTCTCAGAGTCCCATCATTTGTCTTGAGAAAATGAAATGGCTTAGTTATTTTCACTAAATAAATAGTGCCTGGTGTAGACTTAGACCTTATGACTGTCTGACAAATATTTAATGGTTCTTCTAAGGGAATTACAGATAAAAAAATGAAAATTAATCTGTATTTATCCATTCTATTATCTATCTACCTATCAACTATACATCCTATCATCTATTATCTAGCTACCTATCCATCCTATCATCTCTCTTTCTATCCTATCTATAATCTATCTATTCATCTATCATTTCTCTTTCTATCCATCCTATCATCTATTTATCTATTGTATATTATCTATCTAGCTATCTATCATTATTATCATCATAATCTGTTTATCTGCCTATTTTCTATATACACTTAATCATAGAAAATGTCAGACACATTTGAATTTTTTGGTAACTTTTACCTTATTTCCATACTGTCTTCTCTGCCTACACCCCTTCCCCTGCCTCAAATCTGGACCATAAATTTGGCATTTAGTCTTTACACATATTTTAAAATTGTTGCTATATATTAGCTATTCAGAAACTACACATAGACATGTTTTGCATGATTTAAAGCTATAATGATGTAAAGCACTTATGCAAATAAATCATTTATATTGTGCATATCCTTCTGTTACTTGCCATTGCTCTTGCCTGGAATTTGTTAGATTTTTTTATGTTAATATATCTCTACTTGACTCATTTGTTCTACTGTTCATGTTTTCATCGTGTGGCTATACAACCCGTGGCTTTATTCCTCTACTGATGAAAACTTAGATTGTTTCCAGTTTTTTGCTCTCATGAAAAATGCCTCAAGGAGCATTCCCATACTTGTCCTTTTGAACACCAATATGAGCAATTCTTCAGTATGCGTAATGAAGAGTGAAGTAGCTGGCTCAGAGGATAGGTGTATTTACTTATTATTGCTTAGCAAAATGGGGTTTGAAACAATTTACATTCTGACTATTTAAACTGAAACTTTAAAATATTTGCTGATCTGATTGTTATGATGTAATAATGTATTGTAGTTATTATTTTTTTTTTTTGCAGAGACAGGGTCTTGCCACGTTGCCCAGGCTGATCTCGAACTCCGGACCTCAAGTGAACCTCCCACCTCTGCCTCCCAGAGCTCACTTATATTTTTTATTTGCATTATTCTGGTTATCAGTGAAGTCAAATATCATTTTATGTAGTTATTAGTCATTTGAATTTTCTGAGAATTTCCTGTTTATATTATTTGACCATTTTTTTGGTAATAGATTTATAGAAATGTACACACACACACATACATACATTTTGACTATGAAATCTTTCATATTATATATATTTACATACATATATTACTGATACACAACATTTGTCAATTACATGCACAAAACCCTTATAACAACAGCAGTTTATGTTTTTTTGTCTTGTTTATTATTGTGTGTCAAAGTAGTGGCTAAACAATTTATTGAATAACTTTTGAGGCTATCAAAATATCAATCACTTCTGTGTCTGTGTGTGTGTGTGTGAGAGAGAGAGAGAGAGAGAGAGAGAGAAACAGGGTGTCATGCTGTTGCTCAGGCTGGTGTGCAGTGGCATAATTATATGGTCATAGTTCACTGCAGCTTTGAAATGCTGGCCTCAAGCAATTCTCCTGACTTAGCCTCCCAAGTGTCTGGGACTACAGGTGAACTCCATACCACACCTCGATGAGATTTGTGTTCTTCATGTCTAGTTAAGAAAACTTTTAGTGTTCAAAGCCATGACAACACTTTAATCTAGTTTACTCAGGTGCAATTAATTTTATATATATATATATATATATATATATATATATATTTTTCAAAATAGCCTTCCTGTAAAGTCATCTGATACTGAACTCCAATAGTTATCAAGTCAGGTTATTTAGGCATTTAGGCTGCAAGAAATGTTATCATAGCTGCAAAACAGAAAATAAAATGCACATAACATGCTCAGGCTTAATTGATAATAAAAAGTAAAATAATCACCATAATTCTAAAGTATCTTTAAAAGCCAGAACAGGAACATAGGTAAAACAAAACCACCTTTGTTGAAATCTCATTGGTGTCAGACATGTTCCATTATGCAAACAATTGGAAGTCCACAGCAATGAGTATTTGAGCTAATTTCCAATACAAATGCCTCCTATTTAAGGGTTTAGGATGTTCATGCTAAGCCTAGCTTTGGCCTTTCTTAGATCATTTTACTCTAATTCCTACAAAAGTTCACATGAGATAATATATCTTGGTTCCTATGTACAAAACTAACCAACTGAGGTGGGCTAAGCTGTACACAAACCCCTATAAATAAACTCAACTTCTTTTAATGGCTAGTCTGCAAGCTGACATTTTGCTTCATAAATTATTCTGTATCATCATTTCAAATCAGTTTACCAGGGCTTGATCTGTGCTGCATAAATAGATAAAAATTGTATTTTGGGACAGGTTTAGACTGTATTGATCTGAGAGCAGAGGCGATGGTATTCATCAGTGTAGGCTCTAGCCTTTTTGCCATCAAAATACCTCGGCAGAATCAGATGTAAGTGTCGTGTGGTTAAAAGAGAGTTAACTGTCTAGATAATTCTTATAACGCCTTGAAAGAGGCATTAGCTGTTGCAAGACATGACTTGCACCAACTAATTTTATATGTCACCTGGGCTGGGTCAGAGGATGCCCAGATACCTGCTTAAACATGATTTCCAGTGATGTCTGTGAGGCTCTTCAGAATGAGATTAGCATGTGAATCAGCTGACAACGTGGGCAAAGAGCTTGCCCTCTGCAGTGTGGGCGGCTGTCACCCAATATGTTGAGACACTCAATAGAACAAAAGGCAGATGAAGGAGGAATTCAGCTTTCTCCTTTTTCTTTTGCCTTACTGCTTGAGTGGAGACATCTCATCATCTGCTGCCTTGGATAGGGCTTTTACACTATCAGCTCTCTAGTTCTTGGGCTTTCAGATTCAGATTGAATGATGCATCTGCATTTCTTGGCTCTTCAGTTATAGATGGCAGATCATGAGAATTTTCAGCCTCCTCAATTTCATGAGCCAGTTTCTTAATAATTATCTATCTATCTATCTATCTATCTATCTATCTATCTATCTATCTTCATCATAATCATTATCTATCTATTATCTATCATCTATCTATTATCTATCTATTTATCTAGCTCTCTCTATCCAGTTGGAAAAGCAATCTCCAATTGGCTCTGTTTCTCTGAAGAACCCTGACTAATAATTTATACTATCCATGCAATGGCCTGTCACCAGCATGGAAAATCTGGAAAAAAATGCAAGTAATTATAGACCTACCTGATAAATGCACATTCTTTAGATTTCTCTTAGCAAAGTTGCTTGGACAATTGACCCAAGCCCTCTGTGTAGTTTACGGCATACTAGCCAGGTTGGCATGGACTCATAAGTAGTTATAAGTGAGGAAAAGCTGCGAGTAACCAATACAGTGCCTACTACAGCTTAGGGCTTTAGGTCAGGGTCCCAAAATGGGGCTCATAAAATGGAGTTCTTGGAACTCTCAGGGAGGGGAAGCCAGCCGAGGAATGAGGAAGCAGGTTAGAAAATGGAGAAAGTCAAATAGAGTGTGATTTCTGCAAAGTCCCAGGCTCAGTGTGACGTCTGGGGAGCACTGAGCCTTACATAATGTCTTAGAGGATTTCTGACTCATCTTTTTTTTTTATTTTTATTTTTTGCCTGAAAGTAAGGGAGCTGGGTATTCCTCTCTACCCCCATTCAATTACTGGTGATGTTGGGGCTTTGGTGACTGAGAAGATAGAGATGCAGAATGAGAAGTGACATTAACTACTGGTATTTCTCCGTGTTCCAGTGACCCAATGACAACAGTTTCCCTTATAAAAGTCTTAGAAAAAAAGTACTCAACAGTGAGTGGTTGTCTCACAGAGGGTAAAAGGGAGCTGCTGACAATTTGGCAGAGCAACAACTTTGGCTACAGTGGTCACACAATTTTACTGAACTAAAACCCCATCTGTCTGTAGACTCTGCAATGGTTTAATCTGTAGTACATTGAAGATTTTTTTTTTAAAGAAATGCAGCAGAAATTCATCTTGATCTCAAAAATATTCCTTAAAAAATAATAATATAATTGTGTTTTTGGTTTTTCAGAAATCATCCTTGAAGAAAATTGTCTAATCACAAAATATCCTTTAAGAATTCTGTCAGCCTTGTGTGGCTGGTCAAATCTGAAGTTTGCAGAAGGGAAATTGATTGATCAGAAAAGACAGAGAGGACTACATTTTAAGAAAATAATTAAAGAGATTTATGTAGTGGCAGAAATGGTTACAACTTGGAAATCAGCCAGAAAATGCTGAATCATGGGGATTATAGTAGGATCGGTATTCCCTCGTATAGGTTGCCTGTCAACAAAACAACAGTCGGTGAAGCGTGTGACAGGGTTTCATTCTGAAAAGTATTCAGAAGTGCACTATTTTTCCCTGATAAAAAATTTTAAGACATGATTATCTAGTCACACAGTATTTTCCCCCTCAGATGCTCTTTTTAATTTCCTTTTTTTTCAGAACAAGAACTGTATTAGCAGTTTGATAAAAGTGCTAGTTTATTTCTAGAACTTTATTACCTGTTTATTCCTTGTCATCATTTGCCACTGTAGCATAGGAAGTAGCTGATTACAGCTTGGAAGCCAAATTCTGTCCATCCCCTGCTTTTGTAAATAAAGTTTTATTGAAACTCAATAATGCCCATTCATTTATGTATTGCCTGTGGCTGCAGTTTCATTCTGCTTTGTGCTACAAGAGCAGTACTGAGTAGCTGTGACCAAGACAACATGGCCCACAAGGCCTGAAATCCTTACTATTGGCTCTTTATACAACTTTGACAACCCCTGAATTAGGATGTAGTTGAATGACAAAATCTACAGCACCTCTTTTCTTCCTCGCCTGCTTTATAGAAAACAACAGGCCTCTGAGAAGATCTTTCAATATCCTGGGAGAAGATAAGAGGTCAGAATTTATCTCAGGAAAGACAATATATGCTATTGTCTCATGTTTTCATTAAAAGTCTGCAAAATACAGAGTAAAAAAAGATGGCGAGGAAACACATCTAACTCTGAACAATGATAGCTATTTTTTTTTGTTCTTTGCACATTTATATGATTTTAGCATTTTAGCAATAAGCATGGAAGTATACCTTCTATAATAAAAAATATTTTTTTTAAACTCCATAAACTTGTAAAAAATATCAGAGCATTCCTTCTCTGTAATCAGTAGGTGGTGGGGTTGGATCTTGGAAGTAAATTAATTTCTCATGAGCATCTTCAGTGCCAAGAAAATTTTACTTATTCCTCCAAGAGCAAGACAATAATTTTCTGGAATAAATATTATCATTCTTAGTTTGGGAGGCTGGAGTGATTTTTCTAGCACTGCTGTATTTGCTAAGGAAAGAGAAAGTTGGATGCACAGCTGACTTCAATGCTTGTGGTCTTTGCAGCATATTGCAAATGTAAAACTTATCAAATACTAAATGAAATCAAAGCATTAAGAGGTGTGTTCTAATAATTAACCAAATAGTATATTGTCAGCATAACAAGAATACAACAGGGTGTTACTATTGGGACACTGTCTATTGCCAGAAAAAAATATATAATGTATTTTTTTGCATGCACACACATATGTGTGTGTGTGTGTGTGTATATATATATCTGTGGGTATACAAACACACATTAATATATGTCAAATAAATAATATGATAAAATAAGTCATGGAGTAAAGTAATTTTGGAGTGATAATCTCCATTACAAGTGTACCTATTATGGCACGCATTGATATTCATAAGTAAATAATAAGAGGTTTTAAAAAAATTTGATTATGGGCTGTATTTTCACAAGTATGTTAAGTTAGATCAGGTGCTGGTCTCATGTGCTTAAAATAAGGTTACAAGGAGCTTTTCTAGAATAGTACTCTATAGTTTTCTTCTGTTCAAGGCTACCTTTGTAGGATGTCCTCTAATAAATAACTCCATAAATTTGGAAAATGTAGTTGACCTGATTTGTACCATGGGACTCTTCAGAGTCTTTGCCAAATTACTGCTCTTTGTGAATATTCAGGAGAGGGTGCTAGCCCACAGCTTTTCCAGACATGCTATGAGATAATGTTTGGCAATGTCGGAACACATTTTTGGCTGTCACCTCAGAAGGTGGTGGTGAAATTGGGATCCAGTGGATAGAGGCCAGTGATGTGGCTGAGTACCCTACAGTGCATGGGACAGCCTCTCACAGCAAGGAAATGTCCAGACAAAATATCAGTAGTCGCAAAGTTGAGAACCCTTAGACTGGGGAGAGAAGGGATTTGAAGCAGTTCTAACTTTGCCTTAACCTGGAATATCAAGCCAAAGCCTTGAGGCATTTCACAGAACACAAGGGCTCTCAGAGGCACTGCCTGACAAAATATAACAAGTGAAGTGGGGCAATTTAGTCTAGGAGGTTTAAGGGTATCACTGTTTGTATGATGAATCAGTGAGTTTCTGAGCCAGTATGCATGAAGTTTGCAGATACCTCTGGAGAATAAATTAACACCTAGTAACTGCCTGGATGTAGCATCTCCAGGTACATCTGGTCAACCAGGTTAGGTGGGCCTAACATTCATTTACTGGATTCAGCTCAAAGACTTCTGGTAAATACAAACACTCTAAGAAGAGACAGTGCATGGAAAAAAAGTCAACATTGACTTAACATTGACTTCAGGACAGAAGCAACTACTTTAAGTAAATAATTCACACCCGAAAGTGATTTCCAGCCCAGCTACAAGAGACAAATGTCAACCCTAGAAGAAGGCAATATTTAGATAGTATTAACTGTCCCAAGGTAAAGTTATGTACGTAAAATAAATGCATATTTCAGTTTATTTGTCATTTTACCTTGTTCCTGACATTTAACAAGTGTCAATGACTGCAAAATAGAAAAGAAGCACTTCACTAAAATCAGAAATGTGTGGGAGGATAAAAAAAGCAATGTTGGAATCTCATAACCCCATATTGTACACCAAGACAGGAAGTTCCTTCTTCCATCCTCCTGGTTTCTGGGGCTTTAGTGCACTTCATAGAATAGTGACCTGGGTGCTACTAATGCACCAGTGGTTCTAGTGGCCTGCAACAAATGGACCCAGTCGGGAACCATAAAAGAGAAACAGAAATTCCTATATCTAGCTTAGATGGACATACTTGAAGCAGTGCACTAGCAGAAATCATTTCTTTTTGAATTCACATAATATAAGCACCTTGAATTTAAAGAAAAACTAGAAAAGCTAGAATGAAGCAGATGGAGTGAGCCAACCAGCAGTACTCAGACCACCGTGGTTTGAATGGAATCTTAATTTGACACCTATTAACATGAAATTGGGGGAATTCATTTTAGATCATTATCAAATAAAACAGGGAGTAGTCCAGATGCTGTGGCTTATGCCTGTAATCCAGCACTTTGGAAGGCTGAGGCAGGTGGATCACCTGAGGTCAGGAGTTCGACAGCAGCCTGACCAACATGGCAAAACCCTATATCTACTACTGAAAAAAAAAAAAAAAAAGCTGGGTGTGCTGGTAGGTGCATGTAATCCCAGATACCTGGGAGGCTGAGGCAGGATAATCACCTGAATCCAGGAGGCAAAGGTTGCAGTGAGTCAAGATTGAGCCACCCCACTCCAGCCTGGGTAACTGAGCAAGACTGCCTCAAAATAAATAAAATTAAATACATATAAAAAATAAAAAATAACAAAAAAAACTAAACAGAGGCACATAGAAAGAATAAACTGAAGGGAAACAAGATATAAAACAATAAAATCAATTTAGAAAACATCCAAATGACTAAGATAGTAATGACATCTCTGGAAGGATATGTCCAAATAAACAAAATAAAAAGTCATAATAATAATACATGGAGTTAGGGAGGATTCACTCTTTTTCTATTGTTTGTAATAGTTTCAGGAAAAAAAAAAAATGGTTCCACCTCCTCTTTCTACCTCTGGTAGAATTCAAATGTAAATCTATCTGTTCCAGAGCTTTTTTTGGTTGGTAAGCTATTAATTATTGCCTCAGATTCAGAAATGGTTATTGGTCTATTTAGTGATTTGACTTCTTCCTGGTTTAGTTCCCTAGAACTAAACCCTAGAACTAGGGTGTATGTGTCCAGGAATTTATCCATTTCTTCTAGATGTTTTAGATTAATTGGATAGAGGTGTTTATAGTATTCTTTGACGGTAGTTCGTATTTCTGTGGGATCAGTGGTGATATCCCCTTTATCTTTTCTATTGTGTCATTTGATTCTTTTCTTTTTTCTTCTTTGTTAGTTTGGCTAGCGGTCTATTTAGTTAATCTTTTCAAAAAACCAGCTCCTGGATTCATTGATTTTTTTTTTTGTTTTTTTGAAGGCTTGTTCCTGTCTCTGTCTCCTTCAGTTTAGATCTTTCCCACTTTCTCCTGTGAGCATTTAGTGCTATAAATTTCCGTCTAAACACTGCTTTAGCTCTCTCTCAGAGATTCTGGTACATTGTATCTTTGTTCTCATTGGTTTCAAAGAACTGATTTATTTCTGTCTTAATTTCCTCATTTATCCAGTAGTCATTCAGAAGCAGGTTGTTGAGTTTCCATGTAGTTGTGGAGTTTTGAGTGAGTTTCTTAATCCTCAGTTGTAATTGGATTGCAACTGAGAGACTGTTTGTTATGATTTCCCTTTATTGCATTTGCTGTGGAGTGTTTTACTTCCAATTATGTGGTCATTTTTAGAATAAGTGCTATGTGGTGCTGAGAAGAACGTATAATCTGTTGATTTTCAGTGGAGACTTCTCTAGATGTCTATTAGGTCCACTTGGTCCAAGGATGAGTTCAAGTCCTGAATATCCTTGTTCATTTTCTATTTTGTTGATCTGTCTATTACTGACAGTGGGGTGTTAAAGTCCCCCACCATTATTGTGTGGGAGTCTATGTCCCTTTGTAGATCTCTAAGCACTTGCTTTATGAATCTGGGTGCTCCTGTATTGAGTGCATTTATATTTAGTACAGTTCGCTCTTCTTCTTGTTACGATCCCTTTACCATTATTTTATGCCCTCCTTTTATGTTTTTTGATTTTTGTTGGTTTAAAGTCTTTTTTTTAATCAGAGAAAAGGATTGCAACCTCTACTTTTTTGCTGATCGTTTGCTTGGCAAATATTCCTCCATCCCTTTATATTGAGCCTATATGTGCCTTTGTATATGAAATGGGTGTCTTGAATAGAGCACACTGTTGGGTCTTGGCTTTCTATACAAGTTGCCAGTCTGTGTCTTTTAACTGGGGCATTTGGCCCATTTACATTTAAGGTTAATATTGTTATGTGTAAATTTTATCCTGTTATTATGATGCTGGCTGGTCATTTTGCCCATTAGTTGATGCTGTTTCTTTATAGTGTCGATGGTCATTACAATTTGGTATGTTTTTACAGTGGCTGGTACCAGTTTTTACTATCCATATGTGGTACTTCCTTCATGAGCTCTTGTAAGACAGGTCTGGTGCTGACAAAATTTCTCAACATTTGCTTGTCTGGAAAGGATTTTCTTTCACCTTCACTGATGCAGCTTAGTTCATCTGTATAAGAAATTCTGGCTTGAAAATTCTTTGATCTAAGATTTTTTTATTACACTTTAAGTTTTAGGGTACATGTGCACAATGTGCAGGTTTGTTACATATGTATACATGTGTCATGTTGGTGTGCTGCACCCATTAATTCATCATTTACATTAGGTATATCTCCTAATGCTATCCCTCCCCACCTCATCACCCCACAACAGGCCCCAGTGTGTGATGTTCCCCTTCCTGGGTCCATGTGTTCTCATTGTTCAATTCCCACTTATGAGTGAGAACATGTGGTGTTTGGTTTTTTGTCCTTAAGACAGTTTGCTGAGAATGATGGTTTCCAGCTTCATCTATGTCCCTACCAAGGACATGAACTCATCATGTTTTATGGCTGCATAGTATTCCATGGTGTATATGTGCCACATTTTCTTAATTGGAAAATGTGGCACATATTGGTCCACAAGCTGGACATTTGGCTTGGCTCCAAGTCTTTGCTACTGTGCATAGTGCTGCAATAAACGTATGTGTGCATGTGTCTTTATTGCAGCATGATTTATTACTGGGTATATACCCAGTAATGGGATGGCTGGGTCAAATGGTATTTCCAGTTCTAGATCCCTGAGGCATCACCACACTGACTTCCACAATGGCTGAACTAGTTTACGGTCCCACCAACAGTGTAAAAGTGTTCCTATTTCTCCACATCCTCTCCAGTACCTGTTGTTTCCTGACTTTTTAATGATCACCATTCTAACTGGTGTGAGATGGTATCTCACTGTGGCTTTGATTTGCATTTTTCTGATGGCCAGTGATGATAAGCATTTTTTCATGTGTCTTTTGGGTGCATAAATGTCTTCTTTTGAGAAGTATTTGTTCATAAACTTTGCCCACTTTCTGATGGGATTGTTTGTCTTTTTCTTGTAAATTTGTTTGAGTTCATTGTAGATTCTGGATATTAGCCCTTTGTCAGATGAGTAGATTATTTCAAGATGGATTAAAGTCTTAAATGTTGGGGTGTAGCCAAGATGGCTGAATAGGAACAGCTCTAGTCTATAGCTCCCAGTGTGAGTAACACAGAAGATGGGTGATTTCTGCATTTCCAACTGAGGTATGGGGCTCATCTCACTGGGGAGTGTCAGAAAGTGGGTGCAGGGCAGTGGGTGCAGTCACCCAGTGTAAGCTGAAGCAGGGCGAGGCATTGCCTCCCCCAAGAAGTGCAAGGGGTCAAGGAATTCCCTTTCCTAGTCAAAAAAATGGGTGACAGAAGGCATCTGGAAAATCTGGTCATTCCCACCCTAATACTGTGCCTTTCCAATGGTCTTAGCAAATGGCACACCAGGAGATTATATCCCACACATGGCTCACAGGGTCCTACACCCATGGAGCCTTGCTCATTGCTAGCACAGCAGTCTGCAATCAAACTGCAAGGCGGCAGCGAGGCGGGTATGGGGAGGGACACCCACCATTGCCTAGGCTTGAGTAGATTAACAAAGTGGTCTAGAAGCTCAAACTGGGTGAAGCCCACTGCAGCTCAAGGAGACCTTCCTGCCTCTCTGGACCCCTCCTCTGGGGGGCAAGGCATAGCCCAACAAAAGACAGCAGAATCCTCTGCAGACTTAAATGTCTCTGTCTGAGAGCTTTGAAGAGAGTAGTGATTCTCCTAGCATGCAGCTGGAGATCTGAGAATGGACTTACTGCCTCCCCAAATGGGTCCCTGACCCCTAAGTAGCCTAACTGGGAGGCAATCCCTAGTAGGGGCAGACTGAAACCTCACACAGCCAGGTACTCCTCTGAGACAAAACTTCCAGAGGAATGATCAAGCAGCAACATTTGCTGCTCACCAGTATCTGCTATTCTGCAGCCTCCACTGCTGATACCCAGGCAAACAGGGTCTGGAGTGGACCTCCAGCAAACTCGAGCAGACATGCAGCTGAGGGTCCTGACTGTTAGAAGGAAAACTGATAAACAGAAATGACATCCACACCAAAATCCCTTCTGTACTTCACCATCATCAAAGACCAAAGGTACATAAAACCACACAGATGGGGAACAAACAGAGCAGAAAAACTAGAAACTCTAAAATGCAGAGCACCTCTCCTCCTCTGAAGGAACGCAGCTCCTCACCAGCAATGGAACAAAGCTGGATGGAGAATGACTTTGAAGAGTTGAGAGAAGAAGGCTTCAGATGATCAAACTACTCCGAGCTAAAGGAGGAAGTGCAAACCCATGGCAAAGAAGTTAAAAACCTTGAAAAAAATTTAGACAAATGCTAACTAGAATAAACAATGCAGAGAAGTTCTTAAAGGACCTGATGGAGCTGAAAACCAAGGCATGTGAACTATGCAAAGAAAGCACAAGCCTCAGTAGCCGATTTGATCAAATGGAAGAAAGGGTATCAGTGACGGAAGATCAGATGAATGAAATGAAACTAGCTAGCAAGACTAATACAGAAGAGAAGTTTAGAGAAAAAAGAATAAAAAGAAATGAACAAAGCCTCCAAGAAATATGGGACTATGTGAAAAGACCAAATCTACATCTGATTGGTGTACCTGAAAGTGATGGGGAGAATGGAAACAAGTTGGAAAACACTCTGCAGGATATTATCCAGGAGACTTTCCCCAATCTAGCAGGCAGTCCAATATTCAAATTCAGGAAATACAGAGAAAGCCACAAAGATACTCCTTGAGAAAAGCAACTCCAAGACACATAATCGTCAGATTCACCAAAGTTGAAATGAAGGAAAAAATGTTAGGGGCAGCCAGAGAGAAAGGTCGGGTTACCGACAAATGCAAGCCCATCAGACTAACAGCTGATCTCTCGGCAGAAATTCTACAAGCCAGAAGAGGGTAGGGGTCAATATTCAACATTCTTAAAGAAAAGAATTTTCAACCTGGAATTTCATATCCAGCCAAACTAAGCTTCATACGTGAAGGAGAAATAAAGTACTTTACAGACAAGCAAATGCTGGGAGATTTTGTTACCATCAGGCCTGCTCTAAAAGAGCTCCTGATGGAAGCACTAAACATAGAAAGGAACAACCAGTACCAGCCACTACAAAACATGCCAAATTGTAAAGACCATCAAGGCTACGAAGAAACTGTATCAACTAACGAGCAAAATAGCCAGCTAACATCATAATGACAGGATCAAATTCACATATAACAATATTAACTTTAAATGCAAATGGACTAAATGCTCCAATTAAAAGACACAGACTGGCAAATTGGATAAAGAGTCAAGACCCATCAGTGTGCTGTATTCAGGAAACCCATCTCACGTGCAGAGACACACATAGGCTCAAAATAAAGGGATGGAGGAAGATCTACCAAGCAAATGGAAAACAAAAAAAGGCAGGGGTTGCAATCCTAGTCTCTGATAAAACAGACTTTAAACCAACACAGATCAAAAGAGACAAAGAAGGCCATTACGTAATGTTAAAGGCATCAATTCAACAAGAAGAGTTAACTGTCCTAAATATATATGCACCCAATACAGGAGCACCCAGATTCATAAAGCAAGTCCTTAGAGACCTACAAATAGAATTAGACTCCCACACAATAATAATGGGAGACTTTAACACCACACTGTCAACAGGTCAATGAGACAGAAAGTTAACAAGGATATCCAGGAATTGAACTCAGCTCTGCACCAGGTGGACCTAACAGACACCTACAGAACTCTCCACCCCAAATCAACAGAATATATATTCCTTTCAGAACCACAACGCACCTATTCCAAAACTGACCACATTGTTGGAAGTAAAACACTCCTCAGCAAATGTAAAAGAACAGAAATAATAACAAATTGTCTTTCAGACAACAGTGCAATCAAAGTAGAACTCAGGATTAAGAAACTCACTCACAACTGCTCAACTACATGGAAACTGAACAACCTGCTCCTCAATGACTAATGGGTACATAATGAAATGAAGGCAGAAATAAAGATATTCTTTGAAAACAATGAGAACAAAGACACAACATACCAGAATCTCCAAGACACATTCAAAGCAGTGTGTAGAGGGAAATTTATAGCACTAAATGCCCACAAGAGAAAGCAGGAAAGATCTAAAATTGACACCCTAACATCACAATTATAAGAACTTGAGAAGCAAGAGCAAACACATTCAAAAGCTAGCAGAAGGAAAGAAATAAATAAGATTAGAGCAGAACTGAAGGAAATAGAGACACAAAAAAACACTTCAAAAAATCAATGAATCCAGGAGCTGTTTTTTTTTTTTGAAAAGATCAACAAAATTGATAGACTGCTAGCAAGACTAATAAAGAAGAAAAGAGAGAAGAATCAAATACATGCAATAAAAAATGATAAAGGGGATATCACCACTGATCCCACAGAAATACAAACTACCATCAGAGACTACTATAAACATCTCTGCACAAATAAACTAGAAAATCTAGAAGAAATGGATAAATTCCTTGAGACATACATCCTCTCAAGACTAAACCAGGAAGAAGTTGAATCTCTGAATAGACCAATACGAGGCTCTGAAATTGAGGCAATAATTAATAGCTTCCTAACCAAAAAAATTCCAAGACCAGATAGATTCACAGCTGAATTCTACCAGAGGTACAAGGAGGAGCTGGTATCATTCCTTCTGAAATGATTCCAATCAATAGAAAAAAAGGGAATCCTCCCTAACTCATTTTATGAGGCCAGCATCATTCTGATACCAAAGCCTGTCAGAGACACAACAAAAACAGAGAATTTTAGACCAATATCCTTGATGAACATTGATGCAAAAATCCTCAATAAAATACTGGCAAACTAAATCCAGCAGCACATCAAAAAGCTTATCCACCATGATCAAGTGGGCTTCACCCCTGGGATGCAAGGCTGGTTCAACATATGCAAATCAATGAACTTAATCCAGCATATAAACAGAACCAATGACAAAAACCATATGATTATCTCAATAGATGCAGAAAAGGTCTTTGACAAAATTCAACAAGGCTTCATGCTAAAAACTCTCAATAAGTTAGGTAGTGATGGGATGTATCTCAAAATAATAAGAGCTATCTATGACAAGCCCACAGCCAATATCATACTGAATGGGCAAAAACTGGAAGCATCCCCTTTGAAAACTGGCACAAGACAGGGATGCCCCCTCTCACCACTCCTTTTCAATATAGTGTTGGAAGTTCTCTCCAGGGCAATCAGGCAGGAGAAGGAAATAAAGAGTATTCAATTAGGAAAAGAGGAAGTCAAATTGTCCCTGTTTGCAGATGACATGACTGTGTATCTAGAAAACCCCATTGTTTCAGCCTCAAATCTCCTTAAGCTGATAGGGAACTTCAGCAAAGTCTCAAGATATGAAATCGATATGCAAAAATCACAAGAATTCTTATACAACAATAACAGACAAACAGAGAGCCAAATCATGAGTGATCTCCCATTCACAGTTGCTTCAAAGAGAATAAAATACCTAGGAATCCAACTTAAAAGGGACATGAAGGACCTCTTCAAGAACTACAAACCATCGCTCAATGAAATAAAAGAGGATACAAACAAATGGAAGAACATTCCATTTTCACAGGTAGGAAGAATCAGTAACACAAAAATGGCCATACTGCCCAAGGTAATTTATAGATTCATGCCATCCCATCAAGCTACCAATGACTTTCTTCACAGAATTGGAAAAACTACTTTAAAGTTCATATGGAACCAAAAAACAGCCTGCATTGCCAAGTCAATCCTAAGCCAAAAGAACAAAGCTGGAGGCATCAAGCTACCTGGCTTCAAACTATACTACGGGGCTGCAGTAACCAAAACAGCATGGTACTGGAACAAAAACAGAGATATAGACCAATGGAACAGAACAGAGCCCTCAGAAATAATGCCACATACCTAAAACTATCTGATCTTTGACAAACCAGACAAAACAAGAATTGGGGAAATGATTCCCTAGTTAATAAATGCTGCTGGGAAAATTGCCTAGCCATATGTGGAAAGCTGAAACTAGGTCCCTTCCTTGCACCTTAAACAAAAATTAATTCAAGATGGATTAAAGACTTACATGTTAGACCAAAAACCATAAAAACCCTAGAAGAAAACCTAGGCAATACCATTCAGGACATAGGCATGTGCAAGGACTTCATGTCTATAACACCAAAAGCAATGGCAACAAAAGCCAAAGTTGACAAATGGGGTCTAATTAAACTAAAGAGCTTCTGCAAAGCAAAAGAAACTACCATCAGAGTGAACAGGCAACCTACAGAATGGGAGAAAATTTTTGCAACCTACTCATCTGACAAAGGGCTAATATCCGGAATCTACAATGAACTCAAACAAATTTACAAGAAAAAAACAAACAATCCCATCAAAAAGTGGTTGAAGGATATCAAGAGACACTTCTCAAAAGAAAACATTTATGCAGCCAAAAGACACATGAAAAAATGATCATTATCACTGGCCATCAGAGAAATGCAAATCAAAACCACAATGAGATACCATCTCACACCAGTTAGAATGGCAATCATTAAAAACTCAGGAAACAATAGGTGCTGGAGAGGATGTGGAGAAATAGGAACACTTTTACACTGTTGGTGGGACTGTAAACTAGTTCAACCATTGTGGAAGTCAGTGTGGTGATGCCTCAGGGACCTGGAACTAGAAATACCAATTGACTCAGCCATCCCATTACTGGGTATATACCCAAAGGATTATAAATCATGCTGCTATAAAGACACATGCACAGGTATGTTTATTGTGGCATTATTCACAATAGCAAAGACTTGGAATCAACCCCAATGCCCAACAATGATAGACTGGATTAAGAAAATGTGGCACATACACACCATGGAATACTGTGCAGCCATAAAAAATGATGAGTTCATGTCCTTTGTAGGGACATGGATGAAGCTGGAAACCATCAGTCTCAGCAAACTATCGCAAGGACAAAAAACCATACACCGCATGTTCTCACTCATAGGTGGGAATCGAACAATGAGAACACATAGACACAGAAGGGGTATATCACTCACTGGGTCCTATTGTGGGGTTGGGGAGGGGGAGGGATAGCATTAGGAGATACAGCTAATGTTAAGTGACAAGTTAATGGGTGCAACACAACAACATGGCACATGTATACATATGTAACAAACCTGCACATTGTGCACATGTACCCTAAAACTTAAAGTATAATAAAAAAAATAAAGATATGTGTTAACTGTTGTGTACCAAAGCAGGCTATTAATTCACCTAGCCTGAATTTTAACTGAGATTTACTTAAATTTCATGTATTGTCTACTTGAGTTTTCTTCTCTTCTTCCTTCCAAAATATCTGCTTCATTTTGTCATGGAAGATCTGCTTCAAGGATATATGAATTTTCTTTTTTTTTTTTTTTTTGAGACAGTCTTGCTCTGTCACCCAGGCTGAAGTGCAATGGCATGATCTTGGCTCTCTGCAACCTCTGCCTCCTGGGTTCAAGGGATTCTCCTGCCTCAGCCTCCCCAGTAGCTGGGATTACAGGTGCCCGCCATAACACCCCACTAATTTTTGTATTTGTAGTAGAGATGGGATTTCACCACTTTGGCCAGGTTGCTCTCGAACTCCTGACTTCAGGTTATCCATCCACCTTGGCCTCTCAAAGTGCTGAGATTACAGGTGTGAGCCACCTTGCCCAGCCAGATATATGAATTTTTTAAACTTGGCTAGATTCATTGACTGTCTTTAGGACAAAGAGAGTAAACAAATTGCCTTTTTTACCCTTTGGTGTAGTGCATCAACCATACTTGTTGAGAACCAAAAGGGAAGAGGCTCTGGAAAAATGAGGTCAGCAAAAGCCACAGAGAAACATTTCTTAAGTTTCAGGGAGGATTTAAAGTTTTCTACAGTATGAAACTAAGAAAAATATAATAAAAAGACATTTTTATTAGATTTTTTTTCTTCATTTCTGTGACTCTCATTAGCTAAGGTGCTGAGAAAAAGATATTGGTTTTGTGTACAGAGACGAATATGAGAGTAAACCTGTTCTTGATTCAGATCTCATTTTGTTGTTATTGTTGTTTTTATGGCTACATAGTATTCCATGGTGTATATGTACCATATTTTCTTTATCCAGTCTGTCATTTTTTGGCATTCTGGTTGATTCCATATCTTTCCTATTATGAATAGTGCTGCGATGTACACACACTTACATGTGTCTTTATGGTAGAATGATTCACATTCCTCTGTGTATATATGCAGTAATAGCGTTTCTGGGGCGATCTGATTTCCGGAGCCTATTTCCTCATCTACAAACCTAGGGCATAGGATTAGAGGAGTGGTTAGCATGGTGGTGGAAGGTGCAGGAGGAGACGAGACTTTAGACCAAGAACTATTGTTGATGTAAAAAGACCGGAGTGGCCTGGATTTGTGATGCGCCCCCAAGTGAGGTTCAAATATTGTCATTGTTCTGATAACAGGCACGAAGAGCAGTTGCAGGAAGGCATACCAAAGGCCACCTCTATTGAAAGCAAAGCAGAACAAAATGCAAGAAAATGGGCTGGGTGTGGTGGCTCATGCCTGTAATCCCAGTACTTTGAGAGGCCAAGGAGGGCAGGTAATTTGAGGTCAGGAGTTCAAGACCAGCCTGTCCCACATGGTAAAACCCCATGTCTACTAAAAATACAAACATTAGCCAGGCATCGTGGTGCTCCTTTAACCTCAGCTTCTCAGGAGGCTGAAGCAGGAGAATCCATTGAACCCAAGAGGTGGAGGTTGCAGTGAGCCAAGATCGCACTGTTGCATTCTAGCCTGGGTGACAGAGTGAGACTCTGTCTCAAAAAACACACACACATACACACACACACACACACACACAGAAAAAAAGGTATACCTGCGAAGAAGGAATTAATGAAGTCAACTGTCACCTAATATTAGTAGTAATAGAAATTTTAAAATCCTCTTAAAGATGCTGCAGTGTGGCTCCTTCTTACCTATAAGTTAAAAGAGAATATCACTACCCTGTCTTCTCTCTGTGGACGGTGGACCTTATCTGTGCTCCCCAAGTCTGCATTCCTCAAAGTTTATTAGAATCCCAGAGGGTTCCTGAACAGCTGCAGGGTCACAAGACTGATAAGTTTAGGTTGCACGACATGTTTCTCTTAAGATGTAAGACACGTTGTAATGCTGCCTTTGTTTCTTGCTTCTGTAACTAGCTCCCTGCCTCATGTAGTTCCTGCCTTAAGATGTTTAAAAGTAAGAAAAGCCCTTTGTTCTGGGCTCAGACTTTCTGGACATATGTCTGGCTGGGCCAGTGATCATCTTAGTAAACTCTCCTGAATGTTTTTTTTTTTTTGGTCTCTCCAGTCTTTGATTGTCTCACAACACCTGCAAACCTAATGGATTCAAAACTCCATGTCATATTCCAAGTTTTTTTTTCCAACTTCTACTCTGAATTGAACAAAATATAACATGTATAAAACACTTTTCATAGTTAGATGATAGTAAAAGACTCATTTATTACAGTTTAGGACATTTTAGGGAGTGAATCTGATGATGGGTGGATACAGTTGATTTCATTTTTTTAAGGACTCATGTATATTCAAAAATCTTATTTTATAATTTTTAAAGTATATAACTTTGTACTGTGCCAACAGACAAGCCACTTCTTATTCAGTAGTATTATTTAAACTTTGATAGTTTACATTCAACAATATTTTTAAACCTTAATGTTTAAAGGAGGTTTTTGAAAATATACTGTTATAAGTAAAGTTGCTTGGTAACCGGGACTATTTCACTCAGTGTTCAAATGACTTTTTGTGTCTCAACAAATCCTGCCATTGAAACAAATGTAAGAATACAAAAGAGCATTAAATCTTTTGGAAATTATGTTGCACAGAAAAAATAAAACAGAGCCCCCATATGTTTCTATTAATAAACACATAATGCTAATGCAGTAATATAATATAGAATATATTAAATGAGGAAAATATATGTTTCAAAAGGGGGTTCACATGCATTCTCAAGATTTGGATAAAGGTAAAACAAAAACAAAGACTTCAAAGAAATGTGCACCCTAAATCAGACAATTTATGAGTAGGGAAGATAATAACATATTCTTAGATGCTATGTCAAAATCATAGTCATTTGCTTCAATAAAAAGAGATTTTATTCAGGTAGGTTCAATGGAAGCAGCTATTTTTGTTGACATCCTAGTATGTGTGATGGACATTGCCCAAACCTTTGCTAAGCCTTACCACCACCCTGCAAAATGAACTGTTCAGTAAGAACTAAATTCTTATATATTTTATGTTGCCCAAATTCCTATCTAAGGTGTCTGAGAAGTCATACCTTACAAACCATAAATTCTTATCAGATCAGTTTTATTTTTTTTTTCATTTTTTTCTTTTATTATTATACTTTAAGTTTAAGGGTATATGTGCACATTGTGCAGGTTAGTTGCATATGTATACATGTGCCATGCTGGTGCGCTGCACCCACTAACTTGACATCTAGCATTAGGTATATCTTTCAATGTTATCCCTCCCCCTCCCCCCACCCCAAAACAGTCCGCAGAGTGTGACGTTCCCCTTCCTGTGTCCATGTGATCTCATTGTTCAATTCCCACCTATGAGTGAGAATATGCGGTGTTTGGTTTTTTGTTCTTGCAATAGTTTACTGAGAATGATGATTTCCAATTTCATCCATGTCCCTACAAAGGACATGAACTCATCATTTTTTATGGCTGCATAGTATTCCATGATGTATATGTGCCACATTTTCTTAATCCAGTCTATCATTGTTGTACATTTGGCTTGGTTCCAAGTCTTTGCTACTGTGAATAGTGCCACAATAAACATACATGTGCATGTGTCTTTATAGCAGCATGATTTATAGTCCTTTGTGTATATACCCAGTAATGGGATGGCTGGGCCAAATGGTATTTCTAGTTCTAGATCCCTGAGGAATCGCCACACTGACTTCCACAATGGTTGAACTAGTTTACAGTCCCACCAACAGTGTAAAAGTGTTCCTATTTCTCCACATCCTCTCCAGCACCTGTTGTTTCCTGAGTTTTTAATGATTGCCATTCTAACTGGTGTGAGATGGTATCTCATTGTGGTTTTGATTTGCATTTCTCTGATGGCCAGTGATGATGAGCATTTTTTCATGTGTTTTTTGGCTGCATAAATGTCTTCTTTTGAGAAGTGTCTGTTCATGTCCTTTGCCCACTTTTTGATGGGGTTGTTTGTTTTTTTCTTGTAAATTTGTTTGAGTTCATTGTAGATTCTGGATATTAGCCCTTTGTCAGATGAGTAGGTTGCGAAAATTTTCTCCCATTGTGTAGGTTGCCTGTTCACTCTGATGGTAGTTTATTTTGCTGTACAGAAGCTCCTTAGTTTAATTAGATCCCATTTGTCAATTTTGTCTTCTGTTGCCATTGCTTTTGGTGTTTTAGACATGAAGTCCTTGCCCATGCCTATGTCCAGAATGGTAATGCCTAGGTTTTCTTCTAGGGTTTTTATGGTTTTAGGTCCAACGTTTAAGTCTTTAATCCATCTTAAATTGATTTTTGTATAAGGTGTAAGGAAGGGATCCAGACTCAGCTTTCTACATATGACTAGCCAGTTTTCCCAGCACCATTTATTAAATAGGGAATCCTTTCCTCATTGCTTGTTTTTCTCAGGTTTGTCAAAGATCAGATAGTTGTAGATATGCAGCGTTATTTCTTAGGGCTCTGTTCTGTTCCATTGATCTATATCTCTGTTTTGGTACCAGTACCATGCTGTTTTGGTTACTGTAGACTTGCAGTATAGTTTGAAGTCAGGTAGTGTGTTGTCTCCAGCTTTGTTCTTTTGGCTTAGGATTGACTTGGCGATGTGGGCTCTTTTTTGGTTCCATATGAACTATAAAATAGTATTTTCCAATTCTGTGAGGAAAGGCATTGGCAGCTTGATGGGGATGGCATTGAATCTGTAAATTGCCTTGGGCAGTATGGCCATTTTCACGATATTGATTCTTCCTACCATGAGCATGGAATTTTCTTCCACTTGTTTGTATCCTCGTTTATTTCCTTGAGCAGTGGTTTGTAGTTCTCCTTGAAGAGGTCCTTCACATCCCTTGTAAGTTGGATTCCTAGGTATTTTATTCTCTTTGAAGCAATTGTGAATGGGAATTCACTCATGATTTGGCTCTCTGTTTGTTATTGGTGTATAAGAATGCTTGTGATTTTTGTACATTGATTTTGTATCCTGAGAATTTGCTGAAGTTGCTTATCAGCTTAAGGAGATTTTGGGCTGAGACAATGGGGTTTTCTAGATATACAATCATGTCGTCTGTAAACAGGGACAATTTGACTTCCTCTTTTCCTAATTGAATACTCTTTATTTCCTTCTCCTGCCTAATTGCCCTGGCCAGAACTTCCAACACTATGTTGAATAGGAGTGGTGAGAGAGGGCATCCCTGTCTTGTGCCAGTTTTCAAAGGGAATGCTTCCAGTTTTTGCCCATTCGGTATGATATTGGCTGTGGGTTTGTCATAGATAGCTCTTATTATTTTGAAATACGTCCCATCAATACCTAATTATTGAGAGTTTTTATCATGAAGGGTTGTTGAATTTTGTCAAAGGCCTTTTCTGCATCTATTGAGATAATCATGTGGTTTTTGTATTTGGCTCTGTTTATATGCTGGATTACATTGAATGATTTGTATATATTGAACTAGCCTTGCATCCCAGGGATGAAGCCCACTTAATCATGGTGGATAAGCTTTTTGGTGTGCTGCTGGATTCATTTTGCCAGTATTTTATTGAGGATTTTTGCATCAATGGTCATCAGGATATTGGTCTAAAATTCTCTTTTTTGGTTGTGTCTCTGCCAGGCTTTGGTATCAGAATGATGCTGGCCTCATAAAATGAGTTAGGGAGGATTCCCTCTTTTTCTATTGATTGGAATAGTTTCAGAAGGAATGGTACCAGTTCCTCCTTGTACCTCTGGTAGAATTCGGCTGTGAATCCATCTGGTCCTGGACTCTTTTTGGTTGGTAAGCTATTGATTATTGCCACAATTTCAGATCCTGTTATTGGTCTATTCAGAGATTTAACTTCTTCCTGGTTTAGTCTTGGGAGAGTGTATGTGTCCAGGAATTTATCCATTTCTTCTAGATTTTCTAGTTTATTTGCATAGAGGTGTTTGTAGTATTCTCTGATGGTAGTTTGTATTTCTTTTGGATTGGTGGTGATATCCCCTTTATCATTTTTTATTGCATCTATTTGATTCTTCTCTCTTTTTTTCTTTATTAGTCTTGCTAGTAGTCTATCAATTTTGTTGATCCTTTCAAAAAACCAGCTACTGGATTCGTTAATTTTTTGAAGGGTTTTTTGTGTCTCTATTTCCTTCAGTTCTGCTCTGATTTTAGCTATTTCTTGCCTTCTGCTAGCTTTTGAATGTGTTTGCTTTTGCTTTTCTAGTTCTTTTATTTGTGATGTTAGGGTGTCAATTTTAGATCTTTCCTGCTTTGTCTTGTGGGCATTTAGTGCTATAAATTTCCCTCTACACACTGCTTTGAATGTGTCCCAGAGATTCTGGTATGTTGTGTCTTTGTTCTCATTGGTTTCAAAGAAGATCTGTATTTCTGCCTTCATTTCATTATGTACCCAGTAGTTATTCAGGAGCAGATTGTTCAGTTTCCATGTAGTTTAGTGGTTTTGAGTGAGTTTCTTAATCCTGAGTTCTAGTTTGATTGCACTGTGGTCTGAGAGATAGTTTGTTATAATTTGTGTTCTTTTACATTTGCTGAGGAGTGCTTTACTTCCAAGTATGTGGTCAATTTTGGAATAGGTGTGGTGGGGTGCTGAAAAAAAAATGTATATTCTGTTGATTTGGGGTGGAGAGTTCTGTAGATGTCTATTAGGTCTGCTTGGTGCAGAGCTGAGTTCAATTCCTGGGTATCCTGTTTAACTTTCTGTCTCGTTGATCTGTCTAATGTTGACAGTGGGGTGTTAAAGTCTCCCATTATTAATGTGTGGGAGTCTAAGTCTCTTTGTAGTCCTCTCAGGACTTGCTTTATGAATCTGGGTGCTCCTGCATTGGGTGCACATATATTTAGGATAGTTAGTTCTTCTTGTTGAATTGATCCCTTTACCATTATGTAATGGCCTTCTTTGTCCCTTTTGATCTGTGTTGGTTTAAAGTCTGTTTTATCAGAGATTAGGATTGTAACCCCTGCCTTTTTTGGTTTTCTATTTGCTTAATAGATCTTCCTCCATCCTTTTATTTTGAGCCTATGTGTGTCTCTGCACCTGAGATGGGTTTCCTGAATACAGCACACTGATGGGTCTTGACTCTTTATCCAATTTGCCAGTCTGTGTCTTTTAATTGGAGCATTTAGTCCATTTGCATTTAAAGTTAATATTGTTATGTGTGAATTTGATCCTGTCATTATGATGTTAGCTGGTTATTTTCCTCATTAGTTGATGCAGTTTCTTCCTAGTCTCGATGGTCTTCACAATTTGGCATGATTTTGCAGCGGCTGGTACTGGTTGTTCCTGTCCATGTTTAGCACTTCCTTCAGGAGCTCTTTTAGGGCAGGCCTGGTGGTGACAAAATCTCTCATCATTTGCTTGTCTGTAAAGTATTTTATTTCTCCTTCACTTATGAAGCTTAGTTTGGCTGGATATGAAATTCCAGGTTGAAAATTCTTTTCTTCAAGAATGTTGAATATTGGCCCCACTCTCTTCTGGCTTGTAGGGTTTCTGCCAAGAGATCCGCTGTTAGTCTGATGGGCTGCCCTTTGAGGATAATCTGACCTTTCTCTCTGGCTGTCCTTAACATTTTTTCCTTCATTTCAACTTTGGTGAATCTGACAATTATGTGTCTTGGAGTTGCTCTTCTCGAGGAGTAACTTTGTGGCGTTCTCTGTAGGTCCTGAATGTGAATGTTGGCCTGCCTTGTTAGATTGGGGAAGTTCTCCTGGATAATATCGTGCAGAGTGTTTTCCAGCTTGGTTCCATTCTCCCCGTCACTTTCAGGTACACCAATCAGACGTAGATTTGGTCTTTTCACATAGACCCATATTTCTTGGAGGCTTTGCTCATTTCTTTTTATTCCTTTTTCTCTAAACTTCCCTTCTTGCTTCATTTCATTCATTTCATCTTCCATTGCTGATACCCTTTCTTCCAGTTGATCACATCAGCTCCTGAGGCTTCTGCATTCTTCATGTAGTTGTTGAGCCTTGGTTTTCAGCTCCATCAGCTCCTTTAAGCACTTCTCTGTATTGGTTATTCTAGTTATACATTCTTCTAAATATTTTTTGAAGTTTTCAACTTCTTTGCCTTTGGTTTGAATGTCCTCCCATAGCTCAGAGTAATTTGATTGTCTGAAGCCTTCTTCTCTCAGCTCCTGAAAGTCATTCTCCATCTAGCTTTGTTCCATTGCTGGTGAGGAACTGCGTTCCTTTGGAGGAGGAGAGACACTCTGCTTTTTAGAGTTTCCAGTTTTTCTGTTCTGTTTTTTTCCCCATCTTTGTGGTTTTATCTACTTTTGGTCTTTGATGATGGTGATGTACAGATGGGTTGTTGGTGTGGATGTCCTTTCTGTTTGTTAGTTTTCCTTCTAACAGACAGGACCTTCAGCTGCAGGTCTGTTGGAATACGCTGCCATGTGAGGTGTCAGTGTGCCCCTGCTGGGGGGTGCCTCCCAGTTAGGCTGCTTGGGGGTCAGGGGTCAGGGACCCACTTGAGGAGGCAGTCTGCCCTTTCTCAGATCTCCAGCTGTGTACTGGGAGAACAACTGCTGTCTTCAAAGCTGTCTGACAGGGACATTTAAGTCTGCAGAGGTTACTGCTGTCTTTTTTTGTCTGTGCCCTGTCCCCAGAGGTGGAGCCTATAGAGGCAGGCAGGCCTCCTTGAGCTGTGGTGGGCTCCACCCAGTTGGAGCTTCCCAGCTGCTTTGTTTACCTAAGCAAGCCTGGGCAATGGCGGGTGCCCCTCCCCCAGCTTCGCTGCGGCCTTGCAGTGTGATCTCAGACTGCTGCACTAGCAATCAGCAAGACTCCGTGGGCGTAGGACCCTCCGAGCCAGGTGCGGGATATAATCTCATGCTGCGCCATTTTTTAAGCCTGTCGGAAAAGTGCAGTATTTGGGTGGGAGTGACCCAATTTTCCAGGTGCCGTCCATCAACACTTTCTTTGACTAGGAAGGGGAACTCCCTGACTCCTTGCGCTCCCCAAGTGAGGCAATGCCTCGCCCTGCTTCAGCTGGCACACAGTGCATGCACCTACTGACCTGGGCCCACTGTCTGGCACACCCTAATGAGATGAACCCGGTACCTCACATGGAAATGCAGAAATCACCCATCTTCTGCGTCACTCACGCTGGGAGCTGTAGACCAGACCTGTTCCTATTTGGCCATCTTGGCTCTTCCCCAGATCAGTTTTATTTAATCCTGTATATCATGACTTACTTTCCAGCCTAACTGGGGCGTAACATTACAAAACAAGGAATCAAATAAAAATATTTTACTCTAAAGTATGCTTCTTTGCCATATCTTCAAATGGACCTGCAAACCTGTCCTTTGTAAGGGAAGATGTACATTTGTAAAGAATATCTATGAACATACCTAGATCTTTTTTTTTTCCGGTCCTCCCAATCCTGAAGAGATTAGGTCAGTCTAGCACCTTTTAAAGGTCTGCATAGGAAACATTTGTCATCTATTGTCTTTGAGGGCAGCCACTATAAGACTTCAAAAAAATCTTGGTCTCCACAATCTTTTGTCTTAACCTGAACATTTCCTTTCCATCAATCCCAGGTTTTTAGGCAAACTCAACCAATTACCAATCAGAAAATGTTTAAGTTTACCTATAGCCAGGAAGCTCCCCACAACGCCACCCTGCACCACCAACACCTATGCCCACCCACCCTGTTTTGAGTTGTCCCACCTTTCTGGACCAAACCAAAGTAGCTCTTAAATGTATTTGATTGATGTCTCATGCCTCTCTAAAATGTGAAGAACCAAGCTGTGCTCCAACCACCATGGAAACATGTTCTCAGGACCTCTTGAGAGCTGTGTCACAGGCCATGGTCATTGATATTTGGCTCAGAATTAATCTCTTCAAATATTTTACAGAGTTGACTCTTTTTATTGACAGCAGTACACGTGATACAGATGAGAAAATGAAGGCTCAAAGGCAAAAGACACGAGAGGTCTAGAAAGCAGCTACCTCCCCCTCAGCACTCTAACCACATCACAGGTTGGTGTCATCTGAGGCCACATTAACCAATACCCCATAGCAGGATAATATGATGTTGGGAAGAGAGGTGGTGAATATGCACCACAAAGACCCTTGAAAGGCTATCTAAGGACTTTCAAATTTTGATAAACTTTGCTAATTGATGTAACCAATGCAAGAATATAACTAATATCCCTTCACTATCACGCCAAAGGATTCTGGAAAGATAGTAATTCAACTGGCATTTATTCATCTCTTTTCTGTTCTTTGTGGCCATTCAGTTCTTCATCAGCTCAACAGACACACACACACACACACACACACACACACACACACACACACACAAACACACACATTAAATACTTAGCAGGAGCTAGGTCTTATCTTTCCTCTTTTTGCATTCAGCTAAAACAAAGATGAACTTTAAAAAAGAGAGATTTGTCTGTAAAGACCAAGAATCCATTCCTAGTTACAGTGGTGGTTTCTCATCACTTTAGCTAATACTAGTGCTGATAAAAAGAGTCAAAGTTTGTAAAATGTTTGAAGCGATTTATTCTGAGTCAAATATGAGTGATCATGACACAGCCCTCTGGAGGTCTTGAGCATATGTGCCCAAGGTGGTTGGGGCACAGCTTGGTTTTATATATTTTAGAGAGGTATGAGACATCAACCAAATGCATTTAAGAAATACATTGGGTTTGTTTAGAAAGGCAGCACAACTCAAAATGGGGGCTTCCAGGCTATAGATAAATTTAAGCATTTTCTTGTTGACAATTGGTTGAGTTTATCTGAAGAGCTGGGATCAAAAGAAATATTCATGTTAAGATGAAGGATTTTGGAGGCCAAGTTTTATTGTTTAGAGGAGTCTGAACTACAAACTCTGCAACAGTCTTCCACAGGCAATCAATTCTTCATCCGTTTCTGCCAGCTTTCCTTGATTTTCTCCTCTGTACCAACTCAGAACCAACCAGGGAAAGTGAAATATGCACCCCAAACCAATGACATGAGAAGCCCCACTTTTGGACAGCTCACCTGAAGTTCCCCTATGCCAGCAAACTCCAAACACAGCACACCTACAGCCTTCTCCTTTTGTTCCTCAAAAGAAAGAATTTGACTTAGGAGCATAAAGCAGATAAAGAGACCAAGGCAAGTTCTAGAGCAGGAGTGGAAGTGTATTAAAAAGGCTTTAGAACAGGAAAGAAAGGAAAGAACCCTTGGAAGAGACCCAAGTGGGCGCCTGAAGGTCAAAGAGAAAAGAGGAGAAACTTTAATCGTGAACCTGGACTTTATAGGCTCCTGTCTTTCCCATGATTCTACCCTGAGGGTGGGCCTTCCACTTGCACAGTGTTCTCCTTACCCTTGGGAAATGAGCATGCGCAGTGTTTTTAGGGAATTGAATGCATGGCCATCTGAGGATTTCTTCCTTCTTCCAGTGGAGTATACCTGGAAGGTCATACTTCACCATTTTTGTCTCTTAATGTGCATGCCCAGAAAGTTGCTTCGACCTGGGGCCTGTCTTTAGTTAACTCTTTAATGTTAACAGGTATTGACCACCAGCAAATTGCCTCTTCCTGGTATTGGCTAAAAACTATCACTTTTAGATTGGCAATGCCATTATTGCCAAACCATCACCTGACTCTAATGGCGGGGGGCTGGGTGGGGGGTAGGTGGCAGGGAGAGTCCTCTCCTGTCCAGCTCATGCCTAACTACCTGTAACATGTTTTCACCATAAAGTATTTCCACTGGCCTTTGAGTCTTTCCTAAATGCAAGTGATAGCGCCAGACTCCCTTGTTGGAGCAAGCTCTCACTAAAAAGTCTCTGTTTGCTCTCATTTGTGAAAGAGGAAGGAAGTCTTTATTTATTTCCACAAACTTTACATTGTTTTTGATACAGATGTATATAGTGTACAGGCTGAATGCTTCACTATAGTTATTTTTGAAATGGACTAATTTTCATATTGCGCTATAGCTTCTATTTACGGGGAATAGAGAATAATCGCAGTTAAGTTCTCAAAGAATAAAAGACTAATGTTTGATGTTTGTTTGTTTTTACTAAAAATTCATTTTTTTTTTTTTTTTTTGAGACGGAGTCTCGCTCTGTCACCCAGGCTGGAGTGCAGTGGCGGGATCTCGGCTCACTGCAAGCTCTGCCTCCTGGGTTCACGCCATTCTCCTGCCTCAGCCTCCCAAGTAGCTGGGACTACAGGCGCCCGCCACTACACCCGGATAATTTTTTGTATTTTTAGTACAGACGGGGTTTCACCGTTTTAGCCGGGATGGTCTCGATCTCCTGACCTCGTGATCCGCCCGCCTCGGCCTCCCAAAGTGCCGGGATTACAGGCTTGAGCCACCGCGCCCGGCCTAAAAATTCACTTTTTAATGTGTGCGACCACTTTTGCCGAAGCTCCAGTCTTGTCAATTGTTGTTGTTTTCTCTGGTATATCTAAATAGTTGTAGCAGAAGCTGTAGTCAGCAAGACAAAGAGTGAGCATGGGTGTAAAACTCAGGAAGTTGAAGTAGGCAGTGAATAGTTAGCCATTTTAACAGCCATTCAGGAAGTGAACAGTCAGCCATGGTAACAGTTGATTTTGTATAGAAACAAGGTCTGAGGTTGATGTATATAGTACCTTCCTAGAGGAAATTTAATCAATTGGAAGGTAATTTATCAGATGGTTTTGGGGAAAGATGAGATTCAGGGAAACTATACACAGCTGAATAGGAGCTTTTCTCTGTGCAATTTGCTATATCTCAGTGGTGCCCACACATGATCAAGTGGTTAACTTCAGGAGTTCTTCGTTTAGGGTTATTTTGTCTGGGTTTTTTTATGCTGCTGCATTATGCAATCCCAGGCATCAACCTCTGAAGGCTTGTACTCTTGTAATGTGGTGTCTTACCTGTGGGCATTTGTAAGAGAATGAATAGAAGATGAAGTACTCTACTTAGACATGTGTGATGTCTTTCTCCACCTAGGTTTCTGTGAGAAAACTAACGAAGAACTTTTGGTTCTGTCTGTTCTAAGAGACAATCCTTGCTCTCTCCAGGAATTTCACTAAAACAGGATGTGGGTGCTTTGAAGAAGCCAGTAATTGTACAGTTTAATGCACAAGCAATTTAGGCAAAAGAGTCAAGAATAAGTTGTGAATTTGACCCCTTGGAAAGGAAAAGACAGACAATGTTTCTGAAAATAAAAGCTTTTGAACATAAAGTAGATAAATTTCATGGAAGCAATCTTCTACGTTTCATGGTAATTTTCATTTCTGTTTCAACTGCTCCTTCAGATAAAATTACAGTGGAGTTTGCCTTTCTATTTAACCAGTTTCTGGATACAAAGTCTCCTGAAATCTTCAAGTATTGACAGCCTTGGAAATCTCACTTACAGAAAAGGCACCTCTAAACCATATGTGTCTTGTGTTTCTTTATAAAAAGAAATCCAGTAGGCCATTAGGCCAGTATATACCTGGCTAGTCATCCTACCATTTAACATTAACATGGATAAAAAAGAAAGGGCTTTGCTCAACTGCTGTTACAAAAGTCCATTGACATATTTTTGGTAAAAAATTTTGGTAAACAAGTATAGGAAGTCAGGATAATTGCTCACTGGTTTCCATCTCCTATTGGTTGGGATACATGTGCAGTTTTGTTACATGAGTATATTGCAAAATGCTGGGATTTGGGCTTCTATTGAATCTATCACTCAAAGAGATACTACTCACACTATTCAGTAGGTAGTTTCTCTTTATCTCCTTCCCTCTCTCACTCTCCCTTTATAAAAGTTTTTAGTATCTGTTGTTTTCATCATCTGTGTTCATGCATACACATTGTATACCTCGAGCTTGTAAGCGAAAACATGCAGTATTTGAATTTCTGTTTCTGCATTAATTCACTTAGACCAATGACCTCTAGCACTATTCTGTAGAACTCCACTCTACAGAGAAGCTGCTCTTGGAACTGTTCTGCTCTCTGAAGACAACCCATGATGGAGTGGCAATAACATGGAGCTTTGTCTGACTTTATTCTTCTCTTTCCTATGTCCAATTTAATTCAGTTTCACTGAGTAAGTTATTTTCCCTAACTCCTTTTCTAGACCAATCCTTCTGTTACAAATCATGACTGCATAATTCATAGCAGCTTAGCACTGATCATTTTTGGAGACCCAGAAGGTGATTATACATTGCAATGATTGTACTGCATTTTGCAAATACATATGGTTAGTGCATTGCAGGATACCATGCATAAACCAAGGTGAATTTCCAAACATCACACAAGGACCTTTAGAAATTCACCTGATGCAAGAGCAATTATGTGCTAATAACAGGAAAAACAAAATAAAAACAAAAACACACCTGTATAGTGAGAAGTCTTCATGGAAAACAAGTACTCCTCATACTAAGTTGGTAGTTTTATAGTGTAGTTCACAGACCCCTGAGAGTCTCTGAACCATTTCACGGGTTAAGCAAAAACTATTTGGATAACAATGCTGAGATAACATTTTTCTTTTTCCCACTGGGTTTCCTTTGCATGGACAGTGCCAAAACAGTGCAGGGTGAAGCTACAAGTACCTTAGCACAAATCGATTCAGTCATACCAAACTGTGCTAATTGCCATAGTATTGTTTCCTGCTATGCACTCATGGTTTATAAAAAGCCAGTACTACCGAAGAATGTCCCTGATGCAGCACAAAATGATCTTAACTGTCTTCAACCTTAATCCTGGGGCATAGATTCAACATTTGATGTGACAAGATAAGAACTGTGCACAAAGTAGTTCTCTAGATACCAAAGTGCAATTTTGTGTGAAGGAAAGCACTGTACAGATGTGGGAAGTGTGTGCTAAATTGGCCACTTTTTAAAGGATGCACAATCTTCACTTGAAATAATGACTCTTAGATAAAATATTGTCTTTTGGACTTGAGGATTTGGTAGACATTTTCTTAAAAGTGACCAAAGTGAGTCACTCTGGTCTCTTTCAATGTATTCTAAACATATATTCCAAAGATAAATCCCAGACAGTAATTGTCAATGATAATCTTGGACAGCTTTCCAACACTTAAAGACTTTTCTGAGGAGATGTGTGGGATATTGACCAGTAAGATATTTTTAATACTACCTAATAAATTGTGTGAATATTTGGATGACCTAAATAAATTTACTGAAACAATATTTTGTAAATAAACAAGGCATCATGATACAAAATTATGCATAGCTAAAAGACCAAGTTTTCAATATATATTTATTGTTTTATGCTGTTCAACTGAAGCTAAGACACCCATTTGAAGCACATGATATATTCATGGATTTTAACACAACAGTGTTTTAAAAAATAATGAATACTGATGACAGATTCCAAATTTCAAATAATCTTTAATAAACTTCTCTTTCTAGATTTTGTATCAAAGAAGAATATCCACAATCATCTGAAAAGTTATTTAAAGATTCCTCCCTTTTCCAAATACATATCTGCACAAGACTGGGTTTCATTCATAGGGTGTAACCAAAACAACAAATGACAGAAGTTCTGTGCAGAAGCAGTTATTAGAATCCCACCATTTTCTATTATGCTATTCTATTAAAAAGATTTGCAAGAGTGTGAACCAATAGCATCCTTCTAATTTTTTTAATTTATTTTGTAAAATGTGTTTATTTTTCCGCATATCTGTTACTTATGCCATGACATAGCATTACTCAATCTATATTACAGAAATGTCTAAGTTTCAATTTCCAAGATGGTAAATAACAATAAATAAAATCTCTGAGCATCTTGCAAAGCTCTTCAGGCTTCTTGATGCTCCTTAGGTATATAAAGGGGTTCTGAGATTAATACCTTCAAGCTTTAAAATAGTAATCCTGAAACAGAGAGGATCATTAAAATCAACATGGTAGCTTTATATGTATGTTACCTCTGGCCCCAAGTTTTGAAAATTCTCACCCTGGGGAGTGATTGAAGCCATATGTCACTGCCCTTGCTGTGTTAAATTTAGTCACCATAGTATTTACAGGCATGATTCATGGGATAAGCTTTACAAATAAAATAGGAATTTCATAGTGTATCATCCTTTATTAAAATATCAAAGAAGTCACTAATTTATGTTTTTTACACTACTGGTTTTTAAACTTACTAATGTAAGTGGACATGGGTATTGTTTGGAAAACTATAAACAATCTTTTGTTGCTGTTTCTTCATGGAACTTGGTTGCTATTTTATGTTTTTAACAGGACAGGGATCCGTCTTTTGTGTAATAGCACAAGTGGGCCTAGAGTCATTTTACTTGGATCCAGTGCTCAGAATATTAAATGTTCTTTTTCCTTTTTGTCTGTACTTGATTTACTTGGTCAGGCATAAAACTCAAATGTTGTTTATTAAGCTAGTTATAACTAAACAAGAACAGCTTGTTAAGTGCTGTCTATATAATTAAAGAAAACAGAGTATATTTAAAAGATATCATTTCTCTTTTTATTATTATACTTTAAGTTTTGCGTTACATGTGCACAATGTAGAGGTTAGTTACATATGTATACATGTGCAATGTTAGTGTGCTGCACCCAGTAACTCATCATTTAACATTAGATATATCTCCAAATGCTATCCCTCCCTCGTTCCCCCACCCCACAACAGGCCTCGGTGTGTGATGTTTCCCTTCCTGTGTCCATGTGTTCTCATTGTTCATTTCTTTATAATTCCTGCGTTATTCATCTTCTTGTGTGAAATTAAATAAATTGAGGAATAACATGAGCATTTTTGTTCATAATCTAGAAAAATCACTTAAAAATAACAGTGGCAAGGAGAGAAGGTAAAATGATTTAGGATAGATTTACAAAGGAAAGGATTTATAATAAGTGTCTTGACAAAACAGAAATGCATTCTGGAAAAGAATTCACCAAGATTCAATTTGATTGAAAAACCTTTGCGCACCTGCGATGTATTCTACCACAGGTAGACTATGATTGAGAGATGCATAGAATATGGTAGTTTTCTTTTTTTGCAAGAATTTCAAGTCTAGAGTAAGGATTAGGAAGTTGGAGACTATTGCACATAATTTGAAATATTCTAGAAGTTTTTCCATAACAGGACTAGAGGAGCATTGCCCTATGGAAATGAGTAGAAAGGGTGTTAGACAAGATTAGCAGCAGCAAAAAAATAAACAGGTAGTAAAAACCATAGGAAATGAAACTTTGTGAAGGAAGAAGTAATATCATCTCAGCAGTGATTGCAGGGAACCATGAGCATTGTAAGGAAGAGGGAAAGACTCTGAAGAGGCAGAAACAGAAGAGACAGTTGGGTCTTAGAATAGATTTTGAGGGTATCACACATGTTAATCTTTGATATCAGGATTCATAAAGGCTCCTGAATCCTACTTTTATATTTTAAGCAATTTCGACCAATATCCAATTACAAACCTGCAAAGCACTTCAAGTCTACCTGCTTTTCATCAACAGGAAATGCAATTCCTGTGGCATGTTCTTGGCCTGACAGTTGTTGGTGGGTAAGAAAAACCCCTGAAATCTTCTTAAAGAAGATGGGTGATCTTCCCTGAGAGGCCATTTCCATTGTCACCCGTGGCATTTTATTATAAAAGAGTATGGCTTTCAACAATCACAGAGTGTATACCCAGTAATGGGATGGCTAGGTCAAATGGTATTTCTAGTTCTAGATCTTTGAGGAATCACCACACCAACTTCCACAATGGTTGAACTAGTTTACAGTCCCACCAACAGTGTAAAAGTGTTCCTATTTCTCCACATCCTCTCCAGCACCTGTTGTTTCCTGACTTTTTAATGATTGCCATTCTAACTGGTGTGAGATGGTATCTTATTGTGGTTTTGATTTGCATTTCTCTGATGGCCAGTGATGATGAGCATTTTTTCATGTGTTTTATGGCTGCATAAATGTCTTCTTTTAAGAAGCTTCTGTTCATATCCTTCACCCACTTTTTGATGGGGATGTTTGTCTTTTTCTTGTAAATTTGTTTGAGTTCATTGTAGATTCTGGATATTAGCCATTTGTCAGATGAGTAGACTGCAAAAATTTTCTCCCATTCTGTAGGTTGCCTGTTCACTCTGATGGTGGTTTCTTCTGCTGTGCAGAAGCTCTTTAGTTTAATTAGATCCCATTTGTCAATTTTCGCTTTTGTTGCCATTGCTTTTGGCATTTTAGACATGAAGTCTTTGCCCATACCTATGTCCTGAATGGTATTGCCTAGGTTTTCTTCTAGGGTTTTTATGGTTTTAGGTCTAACATGTAAGTCTTTAATCCATCTTGAATTAATTGCTGTTTAAGGTGTAAGGAAGGGATCTAATTTCAGCTTTCTACATATGGCTAGCCAGTTTTCTCAGCATGATTTATTAAACAGGGAATCATTTCCCCATTGCTTGTTTTTCTCAGGTTTGTCAAAGATCAGATAGTTGTAGATATGTGGCATTATTTCTGAGGACTCTGTTCTGTTCCATTGGTCTATATCTCTGTTTTGGTACCAGTACCATGCTGTTTTGGTTACTGTAGCCTTGTAGTATAGTTTGAAGTCAGGTAGTGTGATGCCTCCAGCTTTGTTCTTTTGGCTTAGGACTGACTTGCCAATGTGGGCTCTTTTTTGGTTCCATATATACTTTAAAGTAGTTTTTTCCAATTCTATGAGGAAAGTCATTGGTAGCTTGATGGGGATAGCATTGAATCTGTAAATTACCTTGGGCAGTATGGCCATTTTCAACATATTGATTCTTCCTACCCTTGAGCATGGAATGTTCCACCATGTGTTTGTATTGTATACTCTTTTATTTCATTGAGCAGTGGGTATATACCCAAAGGATTATAAATCATGTTCCTATAAAGACACATGCAATGCACATGTATGTTTGTTGTGACACTATTCACAATAGCAAAGACTTGGAACCAACCCAAATGTCCAACAATGATAGACTGGATTAAGAAAATGTGGCACATATACACCATGGAATACTATGCAGCCATAAAAAATGATGAGTTCATGTCATTTGTAGGGACATGGATGAAGCTGGAAACCATCATTCTCAGTGAACTATTGCAAGGACAAAAAACCAGACACCACTTGTTCTCACTTGTAGGTGGTAATTGACCAATGAGAACACATGTACACAGGAAGGGGACCATCACACACCAGGGACTGTTGTGGGGTGGGGGGCGTATGGAAAGCATTAGGAGATATACCTAATGCTAAATGAAGAGTTAATAGGTGCAGCACACCAACATGGCACATGTATACATATATAACAAACCTGCACGTTGTGCACATGTACCCTAAAACTTAAAGTATAATAATAATAATAATAAAGACAATCACAGAGATTGGAATGTTGACAAGAGTTACAAAACCAATTTCCATCCAGTTTTTACCTGGAGGAACTTCATGGAATATGGTTAATTATGATGAGGTTGTCTATCAAGTCCAGAAAACCCATCTACTCTTGCCAGGTGAATTGGTGAACTTCAGATTCAGAGCCAGGGTTTCTATTGGTTCCGTCATTCCAGAAAGTCATTATAGCTAAACTTGCCTCGGGTTTTGGCGGGTAGACTCTGCCAGTGAAAAAGTCTCAAAGATGATATTTTTATGGCTCAGAATCACAAGGATTTTATAGTGTCCTGCCATTCTTTTAGATGTGAGATTCCAGACCGGGAATCTGCAGCACAGACACATGGGATTTTTTTTGTTTATGATTTGCTGGATTTTATTAAGTTGATGCAAAAGTTATTTCAGTTTTTACCATTAGAAGTAATGACCAAAACTGCAATCAATTTTCCAAAAGCTTATTACTCATCGATTTATATTATAATTATGTTGTCATTTTTGGGACAGAAAACACGCTTTATAAAAATAAAGGATTGCTATTTTCTAATTAACTGTAAGAAATATCTCATTTTTTCTTGGGTTTGATATACATTGTTCTATAATAAATGATATTATTGTTTGGAAGATATAGCCTTTATTATTGAAAGAGACAAAACAATATAAAATAAAACACACACACGTACACACACACAAACACACTCCCCAAAATAAAGTATAATTTACCTCACAAAATGTTTAGAAAGTCAGGCTAATGCAGATATTCCTTTAATTCAAAGTTTTTTAAAAACTTTAGGGAAGAATAATAAAAGAAAAGTACCCAATGTGCCAACAAATTTATTTATAAAGGGGAAATGAATTATTTCTTAGGAATGTATAAACTTCCAAAATTAATCTACACAATATAGAAAATTTTAATAAGCTTAAGAAGTCTGTCATTATAAACGCCAGTGAATGGGTTTATGGACGGGTTTGTCGCTGATTTACCTGTGTCCTTATTTGATTCCTAATTCTAGTTCAATATATACTAGTATTTCTGATAGTACCACAGAGTGCTGGTCGACCAGCAGTATCAGCCTCACCGGGGAGCATGTTAGAAATGACAGCCCCCAGGACCCATTTGGTGATGACTGAGTTGAAGAGCATTGGTGATGGGAGCAGAAATCTATAATTTTAAAAACTTTCTAGGTGCCTTGTGCATGCTAAAGTTTGAGAAGCAGTGGTTTTAAATATTCTAGAAATAGAAAATATTTAAATTATCCAAATTCATTTTAAACATGAGTATAACATTAATGAAAATTGAATGGTTAAGATTTTAAAAAAACTAAAGTAATTTTTATTATGAACACACATGAAAAATTCTGAATAAAATATTCGCAGTCATTATGCAGGTCTAGCTCCAAAGAATAATGTATTACAATCAAGTAAAATTTATTCCATAAATGATAAGAGTCTCAACATGAGAAATTACAACAGCATAACTGATGATTAAAAAAAATTGAAAGAGAAAAAACACATAACTATATCAATGGGTGTCAGACAAGTGTTTGATAGTTAAAACAGCCTGTAAAAATAAAAAATCTAAGTGAAACAGATATAGAAAGCAGCTGCTTAAATATGATAATATTATTTAACCATAACAATCATCAGTCTAATAGCAAGATTCTAGAAAATTTATTTTACAGTTAAATACAGAAATGAGATATTAGCTGTCATCACTATTATCAATATTTAGTTTAGACAACAAAACACAAAAGAAAAAGGTAAAATTTATGTCAAGATTAGAACATGAGTCAAAATTATTCAGTCAGAATATTTTTGGAAACTAATATAAAGTAACTAGAATTAAGTAAACCTTGTCACGTTGAATTAGCAACATCAGCACAAATTAAATACATAAGTCAATAGTTTTTATCCCATGATGATAATAATCTCTTTTAAATATTAAAAAATACCAACTCATAATGTTGAAAATGATTAATTCTTGGAAAGTATTCTAATAAAAAAATATTTAGAATTTATATTCAAAAAACTGTACAGTCTTGTTAAGTACAAAATATAAAACCTGAACATCTGTAGAAATAGTTCATTATCCTGGATTTGAATATTTAATTTTATAAATACATAAATATGTAAATTGGATGCATTCTAATAAAAATCCAAATGAGTGAGAAGAAGACATTGATTACATATTCTTAATGTTTCACTAAGAATCTTAATTAGCTTAATCTCAATAGCAAAATATCTTGTGAAAAATAATAGTGTCTGTACAACGATATATGTGGGTGTGTGCTGCTGTACCTGTCTACATGTGTGTAATTCACCAGAAATGGACACTTACCATGAAGTCCCTGCTAATTAAAGCAGATAATATTAGTGAAGAAATGGATAAATATATTAATTAAACTACAGAGATTACTGATCTATGTGTGTGTTTACACATTCATACAGATATAAACTTATGAAATAAACAAAAATACATCTTAAATATACATATATATAACCAAGGTAACAGTATAATGCATTGGAAACAAGCTGTTATGATTGATTTCTTTGATATCTACCTCTATTATGAAAAAAATTCTTTATGTCTGCATTGTTACAGGCAATCATATTTACAAGCAAATTACACAAGAGTTTGATTATAAATGAAAATATATATACTATTATGAGAAAATTGAACAGATAAATTGTTGACTCTGGAGACACCTTTTAACCTTTCCTTTTGTTATGTAAACTAATTTGTAGTCACTTTTCTTATATTTATAGTCATTTTATTTTGGGCCTTTTGTTGTTAGTGGAAGGTGTTTTTATTGCTACATTGGACAAGAAAAGATGTCTACTAAGCTACCAACACCACAGGATTTCAAGGCCTCAATTTTGTACTCAACAAGCTGTATATTATATTTTGAGAAGTCACAAATGCAAGTTATTGACATGTAGTTACTTACATATACATTTGTGGTGGCCGGCAACTGTAGTCCCAGATCCTGCGGAGGCTGAGGCAGGAGAACGGCATGAACCCGGGAGGTGGAGTTTGCAGTGAGCCGAGATCGCGGCGCTGCACTCCACCCTGAGCGACAGAGCGAGACTCCGTCCCACACACACATAAAAACAAAAAGAATATTAAGGAGAGACAACACTTTAATAGCAATTGATGCACGAAAGCACTGTAAAAAGAACGTTCAATTTTTCTTGCTCTCTGAAAATGTCCAGGCCATGTGATTTGTGCCTGTTGCATAAAACAGCACAAAATAAAGAAGTCATGGGGATAGAGTCTAATAAAACGATATGTCGTCAGCACAAAAAAACAAGCAAACAAAAAACAAACAAGCAGCAGGAAAAACAATTACAACTTTACATAATAAAATAAATACAACTTTACATAATAAAATTTACAACTTTGCATAATTAAAAAAAGTGTTCAGGTAACTATAAAATGCAGACATGTTAGATTTGCTGCCAGGAGAAGGGAAGATGAGTAAAAGAATGAGAAATTAAAAAGAAAAAAGAGGCTGGGCTCGGTGGCTCACACAACTAATACCACTACTTATAGGATTAGGAATAGCCACTGCTACAGAAACCAGAATAGTTAGTTTATCTACTTCATTATCCTACTACCATACACTCTCAAAGGACTTCTCAGACAGTTTTCAAGAAATAAAATCTATCCTTACTCTGCAATCTCAAATAGGCTCTTTGGCAGCAGTGACTCTTCAAATCCATTGAGGCCTAGACCTCACTGCTGAAAAAAGCTGAAAAAAGGAGGACTCTGTCTTCTTGAGGGAAGAGTGTCATTTTTACACTAACCAGTTCAAGGATAGTACAAGATGCTGCCTGGCATTTACAGGAAAAGGCTTCTGAAAACAAACAACACCTTTCAAACTCTTTTTTAAATTATTATTTTACTTTAAGTTCCAGGGTACATGTGCACATCGTGCAGGTTTATTACATATGCACACATGTACCATGTTGGTGTGCTGCACCGATGAACTCGTCATTTACTTTAGTTATATCTCCTAATGCTTTCCATAACCCCTCCCCCGACCCCATGACAGGCCCGGTGTGTGATGTTCTCCTTCCTGTGTCCAAGTCTTCTCGTTGTTCAATTCCCACCTATGAGTGAGAACATGTGGTGTTTGGTTTTTTGTCCTTGCAATAGTTTGCGGAGAATTATGGTTTCCAGCTTCATCCATGTCCCTACAAAGGACATAAACTCATCATTTTTTTATGGCTGCATAGTATTCCATCGTGTATATGTGACACATTTTCTTAACCCAGTCTATCATTGATGGACATTTGGGTTGGGTCCAAGTCTTTGCTATTGTGAATAGTGCCCCAATAAACATACATGTGCATGTGTCTTTATAGCAACATGATTTATAATCCTTTGGGTATATACCCAGTAATGGGATGGCTGGGTCAAATGATATTTCTAGTTCTAGATCCCTGAGGAATTGCCATACTGACTTCCACAATGGTTGAACTAGTTTACAGTCCCATCAACAGTGTAAAACTGTTCCTATTTCTCTAGAACCTCTCCAGCACTTGTTGTTTCCTGTTTTATGATTGCCATTCTAACTGGTGTGAGATGGTATCTCATTGTGGTTTTGATTTGCATTTCTCTGATGGCCAGTGATGAGCTTTTTTCATGTGTCTGTTGCCTGCATAAATGTCTTCTTTTGAGAAGTGTCTGTTCATATCCTTCGCCCACTTTTTGATGGGATTGCTTGATTTTTTTCTTGTAAATTTGTTTGAGTTCATTGTAAATTCTGGATATTAGCCCTTTGTCAGATGAGTAGATTGTAAAAATGTTCTCCCATTCTGTAGGTTTCCTGTTCTCTGATGGTAGTTTCTTTTGCTGTGCAGAAGCTTTTTAGTTAGATTAGATCCCATTTGTCAATGTTGTCTTTTGTTGCCATTGCTTTTGGTGTTTTAGACATGAAGTCCTTGCCCATGCCTATGTCCTGAATTGTAATGCCTAGGTTTTCTTCTAGGGTTTTTATGGCTTTAGGTCTAACATTTAAATCTTTAATCAATCTTGAATTAATTGTAGTGTAAGGCGTAAAGAATGGATCCAGTTTCAGCTTTCTACATATGGATAACAAGTTTTCCCAGCATCATTTATTAGATAGGGAATCTTTTCCCCATTTCTTGTTTTTGTCAGGTTTGTCAAAGTTCAGATGGTTGTAGATGTGTGGCATTATCTCTGAGGGTTCTATTCTGTTCCATCGGTCTATATATCTGTTTTCGTACCAGTACCATGCTGTTTTGTTTACTGTAGCCCCTTGTAGTACACTTTGAAGTCAGGTAGTGTGATGCCTCCAGCTTTGTTCTTCTGGCTTAAGATTGTCTTGGCAATGTGAGCTTTTTTTTGGTTCTATATGAACTTCAAAGTAGTTTTTTCCAATTCTATGAAGAAAGTCTTTGGTAGCTTGATGGGGATGGCATTGAATCTATAAATTACTTTGGGCATTATGGCCATTTTCATGATATTGATTCTTCCTATCCATGAGCATGTAATCTTCTTCCATTTGTTTGTGTCCTCATTTGTTTCATTGAGCAGTGGTTAGTAGTTCTCCTTGAAGAGGTCATTCACATCCCTTGTAAGATGGATTGCTAGATAATCTATTCTCTTTGAAGCAATTGTGAATTTGAATTCACTCATAATTTCACTGTTTGTCTGTTATTGGTGTGTAAGAAGGCTTGTGATTTTTTCACATTGATTTTGTATCCTGAGCCTTTGCTGAAGCTGCTTATCTGCTTAAGGAGATTTTAGGCTGAGATGATGGGGTTTTCTAAATATACAACCATGTCATCTACAAACAGGACAATTTGACTTCCTTTTTTCCTAATTGAGCACCTTTTATTTCTTTCTCCTTCTTGATTGCCCTGTCCAGAACTTCCACCACTATGTTGAAAAGGAGTGGTGAGAGATGGCATCACTGTCTTGTGCCAGTTTTCAAAGGGAATGCTTCCAGTGTTTGCCCATGCAGTATCATATTGGCTGTGGGTTTGTCATAAATAGCTCTTATTATTTTGAGATACATCCCATGAATACCTAATTTATCGACAGTTTTTAGCATGAAGGGCTGTTGAATTTTGTCAAAGGCCTTTTCTGCATCTATTGAGATAATCACATGGTTTTTGTCTTTGGTTCTGTTTATATGCTGGATTACATTTATTGATTTGCATATGTTGAACCAGCCTTGCATCCCAGGGGTGAAGCCCACTTGATCACGGTGGATAAGCTTTTTGATGTGCTCCTGGATTTGGTTTGCCAGTATTTTATTGAGGATGTTTGCATCAAGATTCATCAGGGATATTGGTCTAATATTGTTTTATTTTGTTGTGTCTCTGATAGGCTTTGGTATCAGGATGATGCTGGCATCATAAAATGAGTTAGAGAGGAGTCCCTGTTTTTCTATTGATTGGAATGGTTTCAGGAGGAATGGTTCCAGCTCCTCTTTGTACCTCTGGTGGAATTTGGCTGTGAATCCAACTGGTCCTGGACTTTTTTGGTTGGTAACCTATTAATTATTGCCTCAATTTCAGAGCCTGTTATTGGTCTATTCAGGTATTCAACTTCTTCCTGGTTTAGTCTTGGGAGGGTGTATGTGTCGAGGAATTTATCCATTTCTTCTAGATTTTCTAGTTTATTTATGCAGAGGTGTTTATTGTGTTCTCTGATGGTAGTTTGTATTTCTGTGGGATTGGTGGCTATATACCCTTTATCATTTTTTATTGCGTCTATTTGATTCCTCTCTCTTGTCTTCTTTATTAGTCTTGCTAGAAGTCTATCAATTTTGTTGATCTTTTCAAAAAACCAGCTCCTGGATTCATTGAGTATTTGAAGGGTTTTTGGTGTCTCTATTTCCTTCAGTTCTGCTCTGATCTTAGTTATTTCTTGCTTTCTGCTAGCTTTTGAATGTGTTTGCTCTTGCTTCTCTAGGTCTTTTAATTGTGATGTTAGGATGTGAATTTTAGATCTTTCCTACTTTCTTTATCGCATTTAGTGCTACAAATTTCCCTCTTCACACTGCTTTAATTTCAGATATTCTGGTATGTTGTGCCTTGGTTCTCATTGGTTTCAAAGAACATATTTATTTCTGCCTTCAGTTCATTAGGGACTCAGTAGTCATTGAGGAGCAGGTTGTTCTGTTTCCATGTAGTTGAACGGCTTTGAGTGAGTTTCTTAATCCTGAGTTCTAGTTTGATTACACTGTGGTCTGAGAGATAGTTTGTTATAATTTCTCTTCTATTACATTTGCTGAGGAGTGCTTCACTTCCAACTATGTGGCCAATTTTGGAATAAGTGCAATGTGGTGCTGGGAAGAATGTATATTCTGTTGATTTGGGGTGGAGAGTTCTGTAGGTGTCTATTAGGTCTGCTTGATGCAGAGCTGAGTTCAATTCCTGGATATCCTTGTTAACTTTCTGTCTCGTTGATCTGTCTAATGTTGAGAGTGGGGTGATAATGTCTCCCATTATTATTGTGTGGGAGTCTAAGTCTCTTTGTAGGTCTCTAAGGACTTTATGTATCTGGGTGCTCCTGTATTGGGTGCATATATATTTAGGATAGTTAATCCTTCTTGTTGAATTTATTCTTTTACCATTATGCAATGGACTTCTTTGTCCTTTTGATCTTCATTTGTTTAAAGTCTGTTTTATTAGAGACTGGGATTGCAACCTCTGCCTTTTTTTGTTTTCCATTTGCTTGGTGGATCTTCCTCCATCCCTTTATTGTGAGCCTATGTTTGTCTCTGCATGTGAGATGGATTTCCTGAATACAGCACACTGATGGGTCTTGACTCTTTATCCAATTTGCCAGTCTGTGTCTTCTAATAGGAGCATTTAGCCCATTTACATTTAAGGTTAATATTGTTGTGTGTGAATTTGTTCCTGTCATTATGATGTTAGCTGGTTATTTTCCTCATTAGTTGATGCACTTTCTTCCTACTATCGATGGTCTTTACAATTTGTCATGTGTTTTCAGTGGCTGGTACCAGTTGCTCTTTTTCGTGTTTAGTGCTTCCTTCAGGGGCTCTTTTAGGCAGGCCTGGTGGTGACAAAATCTCTCAGCATTTACTTATCTGTAAAGGATTTTGTTTCTCCTTCACTTATGAAGCTGAGTTTGGCTGGATATGAAATTCTGGGTTGAAAATTCTTTGCTTTAGGAATGTTGAATATTGGCCCCCACTCTCTTCTGGTTTATAGAGTTTCTGCCAAGAGGTCTGCTGTTAGTTTGATTGGCTTCCCTTTGTGGGTAACCTGACCTTTCTCTCTGGCTACCCTTAAGATTTTTTCCTTCATTTCAACTTTGGTGAATCTGACAATTATGTGTCTTGGAGTTGCTCTTCTTGAGGAGTATCTTTGTGGTGTTCTCTGTATTTCCTGAATTTGAATGTTGGCCTGCCTTGCTAGGTTGGGGAAGTTCTCCTGGAGAACTTCCTGCAGAGAGTTTTCAAGCTTGGTTCCATTGTCCCCATCACTTTCAGGTACATCAGTCAGACGTACATTTGGTATTTTCATATAGTTCCATATTTCTTCTAGGCTTTGTTCATTTCTTTTTACTCTTTTTTTCTCTAAACTTCTCTTCTCACTTCATTTCATTCATTTGATCTTCAATCCCTGATACCCTTTCTTCCAGTTGATTGAATCGGCTACTGAAACTTATGCATTCATCATGTACATCTCATGCCATGGTTTTCAGCTCCATCAGGTCATTTAAGGACTTCTCTACACTGGTTATTCTAGTTAGCCATTCATCTAATCTTTTTTCCAGGTTTTCAGCTTATTTGTGATGGGTTTGAACTTCCTCCTTTAGCTCAGAGAAGTTTGATTGTCTGAAGTCTTCTTCTCTCAACTCGTTGAAGTCATTCTCCTTCCAGCTTTGTTCCATTGCTGGCAAGGAGCTGCGTTCCTTTGGAGGGGGAGAGGTGCTCTAATTTTTATAATTTTCAGCTTTTCTGCTCTGTTTTTTTGCCATCTTTGCGGTTTTATCTACCTTTGGTCTTTGATGATGGTGATGTACAGATGTGGTTTTGGTGTGGATGTCCCTTCTGTTTGTTAGTTTTCCTTCTAATAGTCAGGACCCTCAGCTGCAGGTCTGTTGGATTTGCTGGAAGTCCATTCCAGATGCTGTTTGCCTGGGTATCAGCATCAGAGGCTGCAGAACAGTGAATATTGCTGAAGAGAAAATGTTGCTGCCTGATCGTTCCTCTGGAAGGTTCATCTCAGGGGGGTATCTGGCTGTGTGAGGTGTCATTCTGCCCCTACTGATGGGTGCCTCCCAGTTAGCGTACTTGGGGGTCAGGGGCCCACTTGAAGATGCAGTCTGTCCATTCTCAGATCTCAAACTCCATGCTGGGAGAACAACTACTCTCTTCAAAGCTGTCAAACAGGAATATTTAAGTCCACCGAGGTTTCTGCTGCCTTTTGTTTGGCTATGCCCTGCCCCCAGAGGTGGAGTCTACAGAGGTAGGCAGGCCTCCTTGAGCTGCTGTGGGCTCCAACAAGTTCAAGCTTCCTGGCCACTTCGTTTACCTACTCAAGCTTCAGCAATGGCGGACACTCCTCCCCCAGACTCACTGCTACCTTGCTGTTTGATCTCAGACTGCTGTGCTAGCAATGACTAGGCTCTGTGGGCTTGGGACCCTCCAAGCCAGGCATGGTATATAATCTCCTGGTGTGCCATTTGCTAAGACCATTGGAAAAGCACAGTATTAGGGTGGGAGTGAACCGATTTTCCAGGTGCCATCTGTCACCCCTTCTCTTGGCTGAGAAAGGGAGTTCCCTGACCCCTTGCACTTCCTGGGTAAGGCAATGCCTTGCCTTGCTTTGGCTCACGCTTGGTGGGCTGTACCCACTGTCCTGCCCCACTGTCTGACAAGCCCCAGTGAGATGAACCCAGTACCTCAGTTGGAAATACAGAAATCACCCATCTTCTGCATTGCTCATGCTGGTTGCTGTAGACTGGAGCTGTTCCTATTCAGCTATCTTGGAACCGCCTCCCCTGAAATTCTTATACCAACCTCTGGAGTTGAGTGATATGGCTTCTTCCCTTTCTAGGTCCTATGACAGCTGTCTTGGTATTACTTGCCTTAGGGACCTCTATTTTTAACCTCATTGTCAAATTTGTTTCTTCTAGGATTGATGCCGTCCATCTACAAGATGGTCTTACAAATGGAACCCCAAATGAGTTCAATTCATAACTTCTACGAAGGACCCCTGGACTGACCTGCTGGCTCTTTGAGTGGCCTAGGGAGTTCCCCTCTGGAGGATGCTACAACTGCAGGGACCCTTTTTCACCCTTGTCCAGCAGGAAGTAGTTACAGCTCTCATCACCCAGTCCCCAACAGCAGTTGTGGTGTCCTATGAAGAGGGGATATTGAGAGAAGAGGCCAGCTGGACTTCCTGGGTCGACTGGGGACTTGGGGAAATTTTCTGTTTTACAAGAGGATTGTAAAATACACCATTTAGGAGCTTTCCTGTCTTTCAGGAGGATTGCAAAATGCACCAATCAGCACTCTGTAAAATGCACTAATCAGCACGCTGTAAAAGTCACCAATCAGCGCTCTGTAAAATACACCAATCAGCAGGATTCTAAAAGTAGCCAATTGTGGGGAGGATCAAAAAAAGGGCACTCTGATAGGATGGAAATGGAATATGGGAAGGGCCAGTAAGGGAATAATAGATGAGCACCCCAGCCATCAGTGACAACCCACTAGGGTCCCCTTTCATGCTATGGAAGCTTTGTCCTTTTGCTCTTCACAATAAACCTTGCTACTGCTCACTCTTTGGGTCCGTGCCATCTCTAAGAACTGTAACACTCACCTCAAAGGTCTGCGGCTCCATTCTTGAAGTCAGGGAGACCACGAACCCACCAGCAGAAACCAACTCCAGACACACTGTCATCCCTTAATCTCCCATTTTCCTTGGAGTGACATCATTCACTGTTTTCCCTGGACATCTCCCTGTCATATCATCATCATTTTTTTTTTTTTAACCTAGATTGACTCAGTCACCTTTTACTGTGTTCCCTGAAGTGATTTTTTGGTCAACTGTTTTCCTTGAACTTATTTGGTCATGGACTCTTTTGCCTAGACTGACTGCGTCATAGACTGTTTTCCCTGGCATGATTCAGCACTCAACTGTTTACCCTGGACAGATTGCTCATCAACTCTTTTTCCTGGATTAACTCAGCATTGACTGAGTTCCCTGAATTGACTCGGTACTCAGTTCCTTTTCCTGGTTTGACTATGTACTCATTTCCCTAGACTGACTCAGTGCTCAACTCATTTCCCTGGACTGACTCAGCAGGTCCTCAACTGTGTGCCCTGGACTGTGTGGTACTGGACTACTTCTTGGATTGAGTCAGTCATGGACTGTGTTTTCCAGACCATGGGCATCTTTGGCTGTCATCCACCCTCATCAACTGTTTTCCTTGGAGTGACTATGTCTTTCACTATTTTCCACAGTGGGGGCATCTTCATGCCATCCTGTTATCAGTGCTTTCCGTAGACTGGTTCTGGATCTCTGGAAATGTTTTACTGATCTCTGGAATGACTCACGAGCACTAATGTCACTGGTGTGATGTGGTCACTGCTTTTTTTTTTCTTTTTTTTTTTTTTAAAATGAACTGAGGAGACCATATGCTGCCACTTAATCAGCTATTTACCTTGTTGTGACCTTGTCAGAGGTTGTGTTCCCTGGGATGAAGTCATCAACCTGTGTTTTCCTCATTGGTGTTTTCCCTGGAGTGACCTGGTCATCTAATTTTTCCCTGAACTGATGAAGTAATAGGCTCTTTTTCCTGGAATCACTTAGTCATCAACTGTTTTCCCTGGACTGACTCAGCTGTTGATTATGTTACCTAGGGTGACTCAGTCATTGATTGTTTTTCCGGAACTACTCCCTTTCACCACCTCAGTCATCTTAGAAGGCAGATTGCTGGAAATAAAAACATATTTTTCTCTTCATAAATATATACACAAAAATGTATTTACACATATCCATATACACATGTTTATCTAAGCCTCCTTCTGGAAGATTTTGGTTTCAGACTATCTAAGGATGCATAACAATGTCTCCCAAAGCTCACATGTGGCAAAACTTTTCATTTTTCCCCCAATATGATAGGGGAGGAATGGTGTCTGTGTTTCTTGTTATGCTCGATTTTTTGTTTGTTTGTTTTGTTTGTGTGTGTGTGTGTGTGTGTGTTTGTTTTTTTCTTGAGATGGAGTCTCCTGTCATGCAGGCTGGAGTGCAGTGGTGTGGTCTTGGCTCATTGCAACCTCTGCCCCCTGGGTTCAAGCATTCTCCAGCCTCAGCCTCTGAAGTAGCTGGGATTAACTGCATGGGCCACCATGCCCAGCTAATTTTTGAATTTTTCATAGAGACAGGGTTTCTCCATGTTGGTCTGGCTGGTCTTGAACTCTTGACCTCAGGTGATCCACCTTCCTTGGCCTCCCCAAGTTCTGGGATTACTGGCATGAGCCACTGTGCCAGGCCATTGTGTTCATTTTTACAATCTTTTTGTGTTTTTTTTGGACTTGTTCTTCTTGAAGGTTTTGAAGAGTTTTCCTTCTATTTTCAGTGTTTTTTAATGCATGAACATTAGCCCGTCTATCTATGAGGCTACTTATACAATTCTGTGCTGAGAACACTTACTGAGGAATGCATCCTTAAGTCATTTGGTCCTTGTGAAATCATCCTAGAGTGCACAAACCCACGCCCACAAGGCCCAGCTCACAGTGCACCTGGGCTGTATTGTGTAGCCTGTTGTTCCTGGCTACCCTGTCATCACCCTGAATACTCTAGGAAACTGTTTCACATGTTACACATGATATTTGTATACCTAAACATATCCACAACTAGGTAAGTTGTGCTATAAATATGATATTATAATCTCATGGGACCACCATCAAATATGTGCTCTGTCATTGACTGAAATATTCTTATGTGGAGCAACTCTGTATTTCTCATAACTTTTTAATAGCATTTTTTGCCTAGCAAATTTTTAGAAAATTATATATTAAAGTTTCTTTTGTTTGTTTTTTTGTTTTGTTTTGTTTTGTTTTTTGAGATGGAGTTTCATTTTTCTTGCCTATGCTAGAGGGCAATAGCATGACCTCAACTCACTGCAACCTCTGCCACCCAGGTTCAAGTGATTCTCCTGCCTCAGCATCCTGAGTAGCTGGGATTAAAGGCACGTGCCACCATGCCTGGCTATTTTTTTTAGCAGAGACGGGGTTTTACTATGCTGGCCAGGCTGGTCTCAAACTCCTGACCCCAGTTGATCTGCCCATCTCGGCCTTCCTATATTCAAGGTTTATATATACTTGATTGCATTTGGATTTTGTGTGGTAATTAGCAGCCTTTTCCCCACACTGAGATTATAGAAGAATTATTTCATTTTTCTTCTAATACTTACATGGCTGTATGTATGCTTTTATTCATACACCTAAGCATGTATGTGCATGTATCTTTAGATACTTCATTTAGAGTTTATTGCTGTGTACAAATGAAGTATGGATCTAAATTTATCATTTTCCATGTTGTCCCAATATTTATTTTAAAATCCATTATTCCAGACACTGTTGTGCACCTGTAGTCCCAGCTGCTTAGGAGGCTGAGGCAGCAGAATGGCTTGAGCCCAGGAGTTCAAGACCCATTTAAGCAACATATTTAGACCCCATTTCTAAATTTAAAAAAATAAAATAAAGTAGCCAGATGTAGTGGCACATGTCTGTAGTCTCAAATACTTGAGAGGCTGAGAGACAGGAGGATTACTTGAGTCTGGAAACCAACGCTTCAGTGAGCCGTGATGGAGCCACTGCACTCCAGCCTGGGAAAAACCATGAGATCCTGTCTCAAAAAATAAATAAATAAATAAATAAATAAATAAATAAATAAATAAATCCATTATTGCCCAATAGTTTGAGATACCACCTTAAGTATATACTAAACTTCCTTCTGTACTTCTACCTGCTTCCAGATGTTCTTTTATATTCCTCTAGTCTTTTTGTGTGTATGAGTGTTTTCATGCATCTGTAACATATTATTTTCATTATAGATGGTTAATAATGTCTTTAAAATATGAACGGGCTTGACCCTACTAAGGATTTTTCTGGCTATTCTTGCCTTCTGGTTATGCCACATGAGCTTAAATGTCAACCAGTCTTAAGACAATTTGTAATTTTCAAAAACTTTGATAACATTAATTTTGTAAATTTATCCAAGTAGAATTTACCTCTTTATATTTTTGAGCCATCATATTCTATGATGTTTTTCCTTTTTTCAAACTGCTTTTATTTCTTCCAGAAGACTTTAAAGGTTTTTAAAATTATAGAGTTTTCACAGTTCTTATTATGTCTCTTCCTAAGTAGTACATGATCTTCTTTGGTGCAATTCTACATGAACTTTTCTCTAATATTAAATACTCTATAAGTTTTTTTTTCAGGTGTATGTTGATGACTTATATATGCTGCATATCTTGCTAATTTTACTAAATTATTTTATTTTGTGAAATAATTTGAACATTAATTCTTTAAAGCTTTCCAGATATCATCTGAAAAATAATAGCAATTAATTTTTTTCTAGACCTTCTGCCTCTAATTGGTTTATTTTATTTCCTTGTTTAGAAAACACCTTCAGCGTAATGTTGAATGGCAGTGGAGATATGTTACATTCTTGCTTGTATTTCTAGCATGAATCCCACTTGGTCATGGCATTTTTTTTTTCAGTGTAGTCTTGGAGTCTGACAATATTTTATTGGCCATGTGTGGTTGTTCAGGCCTGTAATTTCAGCATTTTGGGAGGCTGAGGTGAGTGAATCACCTGAGGTCAGGAGTTCAAGACCAGCCTGGCCAACATGATGAAACTCCTTCTCTACAAAAAATACAAAAATTAGCTGGGTGAGGTGGCAGGCACCTGTAATCCCATCTACTTGGGAGGCTGAGGCACAGAAATCACTTGAATGCAGGAGGCAGAGTTTGCAGTCAGCCAAGATTGTGACACTGCACTGCAGCCTGGGTGACAGAGGGAGACTCTGACTTGAAAAAGGAAAAAAAAAAAACGTGAAAAAAGAAACTATTTTATTTAGTACTTAAGCATCAGTATTTATAACTGATATTGATCTGGAATATTCTCTCATTATTCACCCACATACATTTTGAGTTAGCATTTAAGTTTAATATTATGAATTTTAAATGTTTGAAAACAATACAGTTTTCAGTTGTGTATAAGTTTGACATATTAAAAATTCTTAAATCATTCATATAAATGTACCTGTGTTTTCATGTCATACTGACTTTAAAGCTATTATACCTTTAATAGTATATGATAGAATTTTTCTTCAGGAATTAAGAATTTTACATTCTTGTTCCCTCCTCCCTGAATTATTAGTTATATTTCATACGTGTCAAAGATTTTTAGCCTTAATGTAATAGATTTTTTGAAACTATATTAATTATAATAATATTGTTTACTATATTCATGATATGTAGAAATTAAAATTAACTTTTTGATTATGAAAATAGTAGCATCATTTTTAACATTTTTATGTTAACATTTTTATTGTTTTCATTTTATTTCCATTAATTATAATTTATCAAAAATATGTCACATATTTATAAGTAATAAATATGTCTTGAAACATAATATTTTATAGGGGACAATTAAGAGCAAAAACAATAGCAAGAAACTGTATGTAAATCTTTAAACATCCAGTTGTGCACAAATTATTTGTGTGACTACAGAACTCAGTGGCACTGTCCCAGCCAGCCACAGACTCACAGCTTCCACCATTGTTATTTAATCTGGAGTAAAATCAATATTCACAGATGGCAAATCACCATCAGGAATGGAAAGGCTATAGAAACTTTTTCTAAAACTTAACACATTAGGAACTCACACTTGCCTGGGACATTATTTAAGCTCTGAAGAACATGCTTATCACACAGACATTCCATTCATATGAGATTTTAAAAATGTAATTGCATCATAGAGGGATTTTATTGACTCTTAGGAATAACTATACATATAAACAAAGTACACTTCACAAATACAAAAATGTAGCTCATTAGAATGGAATTTAAATAATGGAATTATTCCAATCACTAGACGATTATTAAATTAAACATACTTACTGCAAATATATTACTATCAGAGAAAAGGGACTGCAAGGCAGATCTCATTAATAGGGGCAGAGAGGCACTACATAACACATAAAAAGACATTTTATTCATCAGGAAATTATAAAAAGATTCTTAACTTGTATGTAAATTTAAATGTTTTTCAAAAGAAATAAATTACAAGAACAAGAAGATATTTTACAAATTCACAACTCAAAGGACATGGAGTCAAAACATTAAATAATGCAAGAAGGAAAGAGGCAATATAAATGAAGTTTTGTTATACTATTGAAAATAAAAAATTCTGTTTTAAAAAATGTATGCCCTGGTGGGATGTACTGAGGACACAACATCACATGCATAACTTAAAACTAATCATGAGAATTCTTAAGTCAACGCAAACTGAAAGACATTCTACAAAATACCTAACCACTACTCACCAAAAGTATCAAGGACATGAATGACAAAGAAATAAATCAGAGTAAAATAAGGAAACACAAATTGTAGGGGAATAAAGATATACAAAAATAAAATGCAATAAGGGATTAGATCCTAGAAATTAAGAAACCATTAGGGGAAAACTAGTGAAATGTTAAAGTCTGTGGTTTAATTAATAGTGTCCATTGTCAAAAATCAGGACATTATTGTTAGTGTCGTGATTTTCACAATTATTCTATGGTTATATAATTTGTTACTATTCAGGGAAGTTAGATGAGGAGTATATGTGAACTTTCTGTAGTTTCAAACTTTTTCAAAATGCAGTATTTTTAAAAGATATTGATGATTTTAATATAAAAATGAATATATTTGCTATGGCAAATCTTGACACTGTAAAGTTGCAAGAATCATAAAGATAACATTCTCTACCACAATAAAATAAAATTTGAAATCAAATGAAAATATAATTAAAATACCTTATTTTTCAAAATTAAAATATAATGATAAATATTTATGGATAAAAAGGAATAAGTAATGAGAATGAGAAAATAATTAGGACTAAGTAAATGTATTGCATATGAAAATTAGTAAATTTAAATAAAACAAAATTAGAGGGAAATTTATAGACAAAAATGGTTATGTTAGAAAAAGAAAAGCAAAGGAAAGAAAGAAAGGAAAGAAGGAAAGAAAAGCAAAACTTAATGAAATAACAATCCCACTTAAGAGTATAGAAAATGAACAGTAAAATCATGAAGGTAAGATTAGAAACTAAGGGAATATGAAAACCCTCTCCATTCTCTCAGAGACCTCACAGGAAATGGGAGACCAATGTACAATCAAATTACTTCACTAATTGGTGATTTGTACCACCTCTGATGTCTACATACATGAAGGATGTGAATAGTCCCAACTTTTAACTCAGAGTCGTGTAATGTGAGGTGTTTGTGTGGTCATGTAATCAGTCCATGGGAACTCCAGGAACCACCTTTTTTTTTTTTTTCTTTTTTGACATGTAGGTCATCAAAACATGAATTAGAACACTTTTGGCTTCAAGAGGTAGACATCAATTTTTGCTATCTGAAGACCCAAGTGGAAACTTATTGGAAAGATTATTAGGCTTCTCATTAGAAACTGAAAAAGTTGAAGGAAAAGAAAACCAAACACAAACAACCAAGGGTCTCAGGAACAAGGACAACTCTGAGACCTCACCTGAAGAAGATTGAGCACCTCCTAAAAATTAGCCACAAACAAAACTCAGCTTCTAAAAATCCCAGCCTTGGGATCTCAATCCCAAAAGTCTATTTCCTGAATGCATGTGACAGTGGTCCAACCTGAATGACCTCTGCAGCCTTGGGTCTATCGGCTATAGCCAAGAGACCAAGTGCTCATGCAATTCGAGTGTAGCCACTTGGCCAACCTTTCTAAGAAGCCATGTCCAGAGAAGAGGAAAGGAGGAGCCGAAACCCAGTGACCCTGAATATTGTTTCTGCCAGTTTCAGATGCCAACAGCAACATGCTCATCAGAGTGCTCATTGACATTTACGAGAAAGGCACTTGTATGTCTTCCAGTCAGCTGTAGAAATTAAAGCATTCATGTAAGCCGTAGAGAATTGGAAATGTGAGAACTTCTTAATGTAAACTAAAGAGGGTGATAAGGAAGAGATATTTACAGTCAATCCACCCCCTGCTTTCATACTATTACTGCTTCTAAAATATTATATATGAGCAATGGTAAGAGAGAAAATGAGGAAACACAAAGAAGCTTGGAGATATTTGCTATGAAGGATGATTCAGTAATTGTCATCAAGTAAGTGAGGGTCTACTGTGAGGAGAAGGCTGGCCAACTTAATCTTCTTAGAACAAGAATAAATGGATTTAAATAACAACAAGGGAAGATTAGGTTAGAAATTTTAAAAGATGTCTTGGCAATAAAAGTTATTAAGCATTAACCAAGGATTCTTGGTCATAAAAGGTGGGAATACTTCATTTTAAAAATCACTTAAGTCATCATTTTTTATATAAAATTGATTGTTGTCAGAAGGTATTTAGATGGAAAAGAATCACCAAGGGAAACAAACCATTTTTATAGTTATGTTTGAGAGCTTGGGAATTAGGCAATCTCATAGTGTCCAAAGAATGATAAACAATGATAAGATCAGTTTTAAGTCAGCTGTTTTTTTAAATAGAGTTGAAAGATAATGAAGTTCACTAAAGTCTGTCACTTTATGTCTTGGAATTTATGTCATGGGTCTGCTCCTAGATAAGAAAACACTCTTAATGAAGTGCCTTGGGTTGTTGAAATCACTTGGAGGAATTTCAAGTCAGATATGCTTACCTATTTACTGGAGGACCCTGAATATTGTTTCTTCCAGTTTCAAATATCAACAGAAACATGGTCATCAGAGCGCTCATTAACATTTACTAGAAAGGCATTTGTATTTCTTCCAATCAGCTGTAGAAATTTAAGCATGCATGCAAGCTTTAGAAAACAGGAGATATGAGAAGTTCTTAATGGAAACTAAAGAAAAATAAAAACAAATGAAGTATTATCATGTACTGGCAACATGTTAGTAATGACAGATATAAAAATGCTTGTACTTAAGTATTCAATTTTTTTCAGTTTATCGTCATCAAACTCCTTTTATGAAAGCATTAGGTATTGATTTTTTAAAACCCTATCACTCATAACTTTTATGGTCATCAATTGTTAATTTTACTTAAGTAAACTTAAGTAAACTTAATAAATTTTACTTAAGTAAACTTAAGTAAACTTAATAAATTTTACTTAAGCAAATAAGAAAAATTCATTTTCAAAGGGGATACTCTATGGAATACCATCTTTTATTGGTTATTGGAGTAATATAGGTTAAAATAGAGTGAAAGATGTTGATAAGGCAGCATTGGTGTTGTCAGAATAAATTCATCTGTTTCCAAACTGTGTTCTTTACATAGAGATCTCTACATGGCAATATTTTAAAATAATGCTTCCCAATTAAGCACAGTACAATGGTACATGTTCATTACTTTTTGTGTCTTTGTGTTGCTGATATTATTATTGCTAGGAAAATGGGAAAAGTTATTTTGTATTATATCATTAGAACCAAGTAAAACAAAGTGTATGTACAATGGAGTAATTGGGGACTAGTGAAAAGTTACTATGTGGAATAAAACACACACACACACCACGCACACATATACACACACACACACACAATCCATTCTCTCTTTCAGTGGAACCATCTATTTTCCATTGACTGTCACCCATGTACAAGGAGCTTTCCAAGTCGCAACTACAAACAAACACACAATTAAAATGAAATATACATTAAAAAAATAAAAAACATATAAAAAGAGATAACTGATGTTGGCAAGGACGTGAAGAAAAGGAAACCCTTGTATGCCACTGGCAGGAATGTAAATTAGCACAGACATTATGGAGAACAGTGTGGATATTTCTAAAAAATATTAAAAATAGAAATACTAATCTGACATTAGAGCAGTAATCCCACTTCTGGGTATACATCCAAAGGAAAGGAAATCAGATTCATATACAGACCTCTATATGGCAATGCCTTTTCAATAATACTCCCCAATTTAATAGAGTACAAAAGCACATGTTCATTATGTTTTAAGTTTTGTTGCTACTACAATTGTTGCTAGAGAAGTGGGGTAAGAGATAGCTGCACTTCCATGTTCATTGCAATATTATTCACAATAGCTTAGATGTGAAAACACAAGTGTCTATCAATGGATGAATAGACTTTTAAAATGTGGCATATACACACAATGCAATACTCTTCAACCTTAAAAAAAGAAGGGAATTCTGTCACTTGCAGCAATATGTATAATCCTAGAGGATATTCTGTTGAGTGGAATAAACCAGAAACAGGACAAATACTGCATGTTCTCATCTGTATGTGAACTCATTAAAGCAAGAGTAGAATTGTGGTTACCAGGGCCTGGAGATGAGGAGGAGTTGAAGAGATGCTGGTCAAATAATACAAAATTTCAGTTAGACAACAGGAACAAGTTCAAGAGATCTATTGTAGTCGGGCTGACTGTAGTTAATAACACTGTATTGTCTGCTGGAAAACTGCTAAATAGATTTTAGGTGTTCTCTTTATTTTAAAAAGTGATGTGTATGTGAGGTAATGGATATGTTAATTAGCTTGATTTAGCCATTCCACAATGTCTATACATATATTGAAACATCATAATGGATACCATAAATTCATGCAATTTTTATTTGTTAATTTAAAGGAATAAGTAATGGATAAGTAGAGGAAGTTCAGTTTGATGTTAAAAATCCAGACCTGTAGCCTGGCTTTGTAGTATACTGGCCCAATTTGAGTGTGTTATTTGTTTCCTAACAGGCTAAACTGTGGTATTTACTATGTTCTCTAAATATCTATACTCACAAAATGGTTTTTCCCAATCTACATTGAAGGTCATGCCATATATTGAATGTCTCCTGCTGGACTCTGCAGGAAATTGAGTCTGGGAGGCAGATTTTTTCTTATTCTCTCAATTTCCAAGCCACTGTTTTTGGTGCCATAATTGCCAATGTTCACTTGTTTCCTATCTGTAAATCTCATCTTACCAAGAACTTCAGCTGAAGACCCAGGGGAGATCCTGAACTTTGGCTGTGTAGCACTCACAGTGCAGGGTTAGAAGAATGAGTGATATCCTTGCACCGTTCCAGCTAGCTGACTCATGGAGGCTAAGAGATGCTGTGAACATCTTCCCCAAGTCTGGAGACAGCTAGATGCACATAGGAAAGCAGAATCCCAGTGGGTTTTGTGAGGTTTCTTGATGAAGTACCTTAGCACAGCCAACTTTTAGGAGCTGTGGTCCAAAGAAGTTTCGTTGAAACTCAGAACATGGATCACCTTTGCTTGGTTCATAGAATCAGAACAATTAATATTGCAGCCCAGATTAAGTTTTCAGCCCACTATTTTCTCAACAAATATGTGACACCTGAAGTTAGATGACACAGTTGCTGCTCCATGGATCAAAGTAGATATGTATATCTACATATAGATAATATGTATTTGTGTGTGTGTTTTAAGCAACAATGCAGAGGCTTCAATCAATACTTCCTCATACAAAATGCAGGATCAAAGTGATATCATCATTCTACTTCATTTAATAGAATTGTGTAGTTAAATGGACAGTACACTGGGTCTCAATTAATCAAATGCATTTCTTAGCCAGGTGTTAATTTGAAAGTTACTAGGTGGCAGTTTTAGCACTTGTTCCATGTTTTCATGTGGTTCGCTGAATCCTGAAGGTCTTAATTTTCCATTGAGGACACAATGTGTTTGTTTTAACTTCCCTGAATGAAGCCGTTACCCATGACTCTGAGGCAAGGCTTAGAATGCACATCATTTATCTAAGAGGTGATTCTTCCCAAGGAGAACTTGGAGAGATGACACAAGGTAGGGAGAAAAGACAGTAAATCAGTAAATGTTATGTTTAAAAGCGGGCACCTTTGCAGAGGACAAGGGTCCAGTCTCTCAAGAGACTGTAGAACATGCCTCAAAGTTGACCAAAGTTGAGGGGCTGCAGAGCTGGGATATGCTATGCCAACTCCAGCCCTCATTGACTGAGGTTCAGTGGCAAACTGACTGCCTAGTGTTTCTAGTCCGTGCCTCCCGGAGTCAGAAAATGCCCATGAAGAATGATGACGTTATTAAGTAGGCAATACTAATAACTGCTACACTCTTTTTTTTTTTTTTTTTGACAAGTTCTCAGTCTGTCACCCAGGCTGGAGTGCAGTGGCATGATCATAGCTCACTGCAGCCTCCACCTCCTGGGCTCAGGTGATCCTCCCAACTCCAACATTATTAGGGGAGCTTATACAATCAGGTCATATCCTTCCAAACCTGGGCATATTTGGACCCAGGGTTTGAAATACTACATTATTTCTCCTAGTATGAAATGTTTGCTTCAAACCAGCTTGAGTTTCTTGTGTTACATCTTTTGATGGATAAAATTCCTTGCAGTCACTAATTGTTCTTTCTGGTGCAAGTCTGGGTAAAATGGTTGGGTGAGAGCAGACCCTCAAATTGGCAGCAATTGGTGTGTGCACGTCCCCACAGCTGGATTCTTCCAACTTAGATGGGAATGCTTAATTTTTGCTCTAGTTTGTACAAAATCTATAATAGCTGTAAAGCTCAAACGGAAGTGATCTAAGTCTGATGTCTGATGTTCTTTTCTTTTATGGCTATATGAATTTATGACATATCTATATACATAAATGCATGCATAGGAGAGTTCTACCAAAGAACAGCAGTAAGAATCTCCATGTCTTTTCATTAAATTAAAAAAAAATGTGTTCAGTTCACCACCCCACTCCCTTGAATGTTTCTCCCTAGAAAAGTGACAATACATGGTAATTGTCTAATATGTACAGGACTAAAGGCATTATGCAATGACACTTCCCTAACTCTAGAGCCAAAAAACTTTCAGCATCTCTGGACTGATCATTCTCCAGCTTTGCACTAAAGCGATAAAAGGATTGCAGTCTCCATCAGATGTCACATCCTATATGTAACAAACAAAAGACTAAACTTCTCACAACACAAACCAACCTGAAAGACAAACCAAGATGAATGCATGTAAGAAAAATCTGTGCACAAGCCTGTTTTTTCTTATCACCTGGATTATAGCATGTGACCTGTTTTGGGGCATTTTAATAATGGAACTTTTTCCCAAATTCCAGAGAAGAATTTTAATTTTGGAAATGCAAAAGAAATTTAGTAAAATTCAACAGTAGTAATGATTTCAAACTTTGAAACTTCATCAATATTTATGAAATTGGATTACAGTCATTTACAGATGATACAATCATCATTTGAAGCTACCATCTGTGAATTAATTTCAAAGATTAAAGGTATGTGATAGTCATGATGTTTTGGTATTTAATTATGTCTTACGTGGGTCTAAATGCCAGAGTTATAATCACATTGCAAAATGAATCCTAAAATAATAAACTTGCATTTATTTTATATCATATTCACACTTTAAGTTGTGAGTTAATTGAAAGTACGTGAAGTTAACATATTTGACAATTTGATATGTATGTTAAAATATAACTCTAAAATGCATTTTGCTGAAGCAATGTTGAACACATAATGTGGAGATTTTCAAAATCTTGATATTTAAATCAAAGTGCTCACCATGGCTTCTGAACACGGCAGAGTGAATGGTTAATGATTTTACTACACTTGGTATAATAACAAAACTGGATACAGTAGCTTATCAAATACATTTTAGCACAGCCCAAATAAATAAAAAGAGTATTTTCAATGTTAATCACTTGTGTGTGAGAGAACAGAAGACATATTTGTTTCTGTAGGGCCAGCCACAATGTGTAGCATACACAGTGAATACTTAATACATGATTGTGAAGTGGAGAAAAAAGACTTACATGTATATTTAAACAGTGAATTTGATGATCAGAGGCAATTATTTGAAAAGCATTATACCAACCCTTTCAATCAAGATGTAAAATGATAATAATTATAGCCTTCTCTCTCTATTTCAAACATGGACCTGTCCTGTTATTCCATTATACATGTTGAGAATTGAGGAGAGATCACTGAATTTAGTCATCAGGCAGTTGTTGGTGACACTAGGAAGAGTTTCATGGGCTAGAAGAAGAAAGCAGATGTCTGAGGGTGGCAGAGTAAACATTAATTGGAGAGCTTTAGCATTTTGGGTCTGGTGGAATTCAACAACATTTGGGCAAAGATGGTTAAAAAACATTTTCAAAAAATATATAAAAACAATGTATTTTTTTATGAAATAAATAAGGAAGAATGACTATCTCATTAAGTAAACCTAAATAATATTTTAGTTTTATGAGAAAAGTCATCACCCTAATGAATCATTGAGCTGTCCCTTTGGCATTATTGAATGCAAGTATAGGGATTCCCAAATCAATATGATGAGCTTTTCTGTGTTATCCCATATGGGATTTATCTTTCCCAAACCTGACTCTCAGTACATAATAATCCTCATGCTCCCAACCCCAAACACAGACAAAGATATTTTTATAGTCTGAATACACAGAACAACACAGGAGGTAAATATTCAGAACATACACAGAATACACAGTTCTTCTGAATTGTCCAGAGCCCTACAACACTAGGGGCTGGATGCAGGTTTCTGAGGGCACCTGTTCACCTTAGACACTGGTCATGGTCTCTAGAATGAGGGTCAGAAATTGCATCTACCTGGCCCTGCTTCGTATATATATACATATATATATGTCTATGCCTCAAGCTTTTTGGATCACAGCCACATCCATTGGTTTCAATGTTGTCTACATCTGTTCGTATACTTCAGAGGCAGGGCTCAGTAGGCAAATCTGAGACTATATGGCCCACAAAGCCAAAATATATTTACTATCTGACCCTTTACAGAAATGGTTGCCGATGTCTGGTCCAGATTCTTGAATGTTTTAGATTAAGTGTTTTTGTTTGTTTGTTTCTAAAAAATAAGATATATCAGGTAAAGTTATCTCATTTTATTCTTTAATATTTTATAGTACAAATATTTGAAAATGCTCACTATTAAATGATTAGAATAAAGGTAATCTCACACCACTAGGAATTCACTAGGAAGTTAAAATAAGTCACATGCATCTTCCAGAAATAGTCAAGGATATGAAGAAAGATTTGATTCTAAGGATATTTGTTGCAATATTATTGATAATAAAAGATTAGAAACAACAGGATATTTAGGCTAACTGAAATATAGTTTGTTCCTTATACCCTCCTGTTCCTGTCACCAAGTCCCAGGTAAGAGAAAAGATTGTCCTGTTTGCCACTCTGTGGCAGGGGATAGGCCCTTTCTAAGTTCAAAATGGAGCCACTGAGACAAGGCTGAGATCATTAGCAGGAAGTGAATGAAGTTTTCAGTAATAATAGAGGGAATTTACATAATAGAAAACATCTTATAACTACTGACTGTGCTAACACTCACCTGTCCAAAGCCAAAGGCCCCTTGCTGGCCCAATGCCTTATCAATAACCTTGCCTGTATCCCAATAGCAAGAAGTTCCTCATCTTCCAACAACTGAAAATATTTCATGCAGTTGTTATTACTTAGAGTCTGACAGACTGAACTCTTGTGCCAAAGAAAAATGTTTTCACTTACCTCATCTCAGACCATTTCCTTGAGTCTTTTTTTAAAATTTTTATTTATTATTATTATTATTTTTGAGATGGAGTCTCGTTCTGTCGCCCAGGCTGGAGTACAGTGATGCGATCTTGGCTCACTGCAAGCTCCGCCTCCTGGGTTCACATCATTTTCCTGCCTCAACCTCCTGAGTAGCTGGGACTACAGGTACCCACCACCATGCCCCCCATTCTGGGCTAATTTTTTGTATTTTTAGTAGAGACGGGGTTTCACCGTGTTAGCCAGGATGGTCTCGATGTCCTGACCTCATGATCCGCCCACGCGGGCCTCCTAAGGTGCTTGGATTACAGGCTTGAGCCAGCATGCCCGGCCGAGTTTTTTTTGTTTGTTTGTTTTTGTTTTTTTTTTGTTTTGTTTTGAGGCAGAGACTCACTCTGTTGCCCAGGCTGGAGTGCAGTGGCACAATCTCAGCTCACTTCAACTTTCACCATCCAAATTCAAGTAACTCTCCTTCCTTAACTCCCCAAATAGCTGGGATAACAGGCATGTGACACCACATCTGGCTAATTTTTATATTTTTAGTAGAGACGGGATTTTGCCATGTTGGCCAGACTGGTCTCAAACTCCTGACCTCAAGTGAGGTCACCCATATTGCTGGGGCAATTAGGGTGTAAATTGGCACAACTATTTGAACAACAATGTGTCTCTTGTAAAGTTGAATAGTCACAAACCAATGACTCCATAATACTTTACTCGTAAGAGGAATACACCTCACTTAAATGCTTGCACAGGTGCAATATGTAAAAGAATGTTTAAATCGGCATTGCTTATAATAGCTAAAACTTCGAAGAACTCAAATGTTTATCAACAGGAATAGGATAAATAAAATACATATGTATGGGGTGAAATATTTTACAGCAATGAAAATAAGTGAACTCTCCCTACATGAACAAGATAGATGACTGTAAAACTGACAAATGCAAAAAGAAAATCATAGAAGAGTACATGTTATATGATATTTTCACAAAACTCACCTGCCTCGACTCCCCAGAGTGCTTGGATTACAGGCATGAGGCACTGCAACCAGCCTCCCTTGAGTCTTAATTCATGGTTCAGGAGGAACCACTTCTCAGAATGATTGAGAATGGATATAACTATTGCCTTCAGGGTTAGCTCTACATCTTTGTAAAAGTATGTGGTCATGCTCAAAGCCAGTTGCAACATTCCATCTGTAGATAGCCCTTTCTCAATATCTGGACCATAAAGCTTTAGAAATGCTCTGCCTAAAATATCAACCCAGGTCTGGGTTGGGTGGTATTAAGTCCAGTGTAGTTATTTATCAAAGATTAAAATACATGGATGTTCAGTTTTATAGTGACCACCTTGCTTTAGAGACAAAAACACTCATAACAGAGTTGGATTTTAGGTTAAATTTTAAAAAAATGAATTAAACTTTAGAAAATCTGGTTTTAGGAGAAGTGATGTTGGGCAGAGTTATTGGTTACCTTTGTTGCTGCTGTTACCTAAAAGCTGATGATGACAGTCTCCATGTATTTTTCTCACTTCCACCCCTTAATGTGGTATCTGTCCTAAAGCTGGCATAGCTCAGAGGATATACAGCATTATCCCTTTTCTCTATTTACTCTTTGTCTCCTTGAAATATTGAGATTAACTCCCCTCTATGAAGAAATCTACTCAAAGCCATATGCAGTATTCCATCCATGCCCACAATACCTTTCTCCTGGAGGGCAGACACTTCTAGTGGTGTCATTCAAACTGGACAAATATTGGTTCAAGGTCAAGTGATGAGTGAAACAGGGTTTTGGAAGATTAGGTGGTATGGCTAAAATCAAGAGATAACTGCAGGTCATAATTTTTTAAAGGTAACTTGGTAAATTTTCAGTTATAAAATAATAAATGTTTAATGTAAGTAGTGTCTTTTTTTACCATATAGCTTTGGTGGTTCATTCTCCTTCCCATGTCCCTTCCCCTTCTCTCCCTCTTCCTTCTCTTGTTCTTCCTCTTCGTCCTCCTTCCTCTTCCCATCTTTACTTGTCCTTCTTCTTCTTGTCCTTCTCTGTCCTCTTCTCTTCCTCCTCCTTCTTCTTCCTAATATTATTTTAATATTTTTAAAATCAAGTAGTAGTAGTCTCAGATTTTTGCCTTAGGCATTAAAGACAATAGAGATGTTGATAAATTGTAAAAATTTAAACAATTTATTACCAAAAAAGAATTTACCACCAAACGCAAATTATCAGCAAAAAACCAACCTGCATAGAAAAGGGATTAAGATGATCATGGTCTGGCAGAAAGAAAGCTATAAAGAAACTTAAAGATCTTCAAATCCATGTAGAACTGTGCTCAGCTATATTTTTATCTCAGCTGAAAACAGTGTGTGTGGGCTGAGGGAAGGCAAGTGGCCTAAGACACCAACTAGCTGAAAGAGGAAGAAAAGTTTCTTTTGATACAGTTAGTTTTAATATTCTGAAATGGACTCCTGCTGAAGCTGATAGAACTGCCTTCCCTGAATATCTTTAAGAACAAGCTGACAATTTTCTGTGTCCTTGAAAGGGTTCTAAAAGTAAAATGCTGGAAAAATGAAAGTGAAATAGGAAATCTCCAAGGATTCAGAACTGCGATTCATTTCTGGAAATGTTTGAAGATCCTCAAATTAATTGTGCAGACTCATAAGTATTTTTGAAGTATGTGCTGTGCCCACTGTGCTGCTGGTTATGAATTGCACTAGACACCATGGAAAGAGGAAGGATGAGTAACTATTAATACATCTCCTTGGACATTATAAAACAGGCAGGAGAGAGATTTATGTACATAAGAAGGCGTCATTTAAGGCAGAAGACATGGAGTACCAAAGGAGAAGGGCCAATAAAAGTCAAGGGAAGCGGAAGTGTTTATATGAGATGCACTGGTGTAGTATCACATATAGTAGCAGACACAGGAATTACAGATGACAACCCGGTGAACAATACAACAGTTAAATAAGCAAAAGCTGTGGGCTATCCTACAAGAGATTTTGTGGGATGTATAAGATCCACTCTGGAACAGGAGGACATTCTGAGGACATCTGATGGAAGCTGCTGTTTGCAGAAAACATTTATTATTTTAAAAATCACATTGGTAGTTTATTAGTCTGTTTTCATGCTGCTAATTTATACATACCTGAGACTGGGTAATTTATAAAGAAAGAGAGACTCACAGTTCCACATGGCTGAGAAGGCCTCACAATCATGGCACAAGGCGAAAGGTACTTACATGGCAGCAGGGAAGAGAGAAAATGGGAGCCAAGCAAAATGTTCCCATCAAATTTCATGAGACTTATTCACCACCATAAGATTGGTATGGGAGAAACCACCACTACGATTCAATTATCTCCAACCAAGTCCCTCCTACAATATGTGGGAGTTATGGGACCTACAATTCAAGATGAGATTTGGGTGGAGACACAGCCACACCGTGTCAGACAGCATACAACTTCTTAAATCTTTTAAAATAAACTTTCAAATCATTTTGATAATTTTTAAAATAAATTTTCAAATAGTTTTTGATTTACAGAAATATTGTGAATATATTACAGAGAGTTTCCATGTTCCCCACACTCAATCCCCCCTATTATTAACATCTTCCACTGGTACAGTAAATTTGTCACACTTAGTAAACCAAGGTAGCTATGTTATTATTAACACAAGTCCAGTTTCTTCCATATTTCTGTATTTTTATCTAATTCCCCATTTAGAATACCACATTACATTTAGCTTTTATGTCTCCTCGGCTGTGACAGTGTCTCCTTCTATTTATTTTTCATATTTTTGACAGTTTTGAGAAATACTGAGTATTTTGCAGAATGTCTGTTAATTTGAGTTTATCTGATGTTTTCATTATGATTCAACAATGGCTGTAGGTTTTGGAGAGGAAGACCATAAATGTACAATTCCATGTTGATCACATCTCATCAAAGGTACATGCTGTCAATATGACTTATCATTGTGGAGGTTGACCTTAATCAGTCTCAGGTTTCTCCACTCTGAAGTTACTTTTCCCACCTTCTCCTACTTTACTAAGTTACTAAGCACAGCTGACGCTTAATGTGTGGGAAGCAATTTTTCACCTTCCTGAGGATGGAGTTTCTACATCAATTACTGGAATTCTTCTGCACAGGAGATTTGCATTTCTCTCTCCACACATTTGCTTATTTATTCAATAATTTATTTATATCAGTACAGATTCACAACATATAACTTTGATACTCAAAACTTTATGTGAGCGTCTCTCCATTCTGATATCCAAAATAACTGTCACATGTCTTTTGGATACAAACCTTCAAAAAACTTTCCAAATATTATATCGGTAGACTGTTTTGTCTATGGTGTTTATTTGGTGGATCGGTCACCTTAATAAGTTCATATGTGCATACGATGGAAACAATCCCATTCTACCCATGGAAGCATGTTTTATTAAGAGCGAATGCCTCACTCATTTTTCTGAAATTTTCAAGTTTCAGCTTCATAAGTTTCTAATTTGGTGAGAATGCCTTCTGGATGCTGCTAAGAAATTTGGTAAATTGAGTTTCCAAAGGGGAACCTGAGTTCCTTCAAAGAATTGGGTTCTGATGAATGAACAGTAATAAAGCATTTGCATCAGTACTGTGTTCATCTAAAATTATTAAAGCTTAAAATTGCACGTGGCCCTACAGATGGGATGTGGTTAAAATGGAGCATTTCCCTAGTATGTATCTGGTGAAACAAAAGGCTTTTGTTTGTAATTGTTAATGTGGAGGATGGGAAAGTTTCTCTTAGCAATTAAACCATTAGGAACATGAAAAACCCTCCCAAATCATCACATGTTTAAGCTGAATACTGAAAGAAGTCTCTAAGTGTGATGGCTTATTTTGTTACCCAAGGTATGCATTTTTAAAGGGCATCCTAGGGAAGAAATCTGTGTGATAGCATGATATGCGGAGACAAATGGCCGCATTTCCAAATTTCTGTAACCCTATGTTTTTACATGAGACAGATCTCTCCTAACACCAATAGAAGCAAGGTATTTCATTTTAGTAAAACTCTCCAGCAAAAATGTATTTTTTAATATTGCAACTCTAAGTGTGTTCTCTGATACTTAGCACAGTGGTGTTTTTGTTATTAGACTATGTGGGACACTCATTGCCCAGAGCTAGCTGAAAGACCTAAGGATAAACTAGTACACATAGCTCAGGAAGATTTACTATTCTTTACTTAGCCTGGAAAAAAAAAACATTTCTGTGGATTTCTTGAGGGTCATCCTTCTTCCCCTGAATGCTTTATTGAAAAAGCAATTTTGTGGACTCATATTTTGCATAAAGTGTCAGAAAGTGATATGAGGGCCTTGCCTTCTGTTTTAGTAGTGTTCCATTGAAAATGTTCTCATTCTATACACAGATGCACAAAAATATGCTTTTTATATGTTTAAAAGTAAATCTAATCTTATTTTTTTTAGCATTGAGGTCTTGCTCTGTTATCCAGGCTGGAGTGCAGTGGCACGATCATGGCTTGCTGCAGCCTTGACCTTCTGGGCTCAAGTGATTCTCCCACTTTAGCCTCCTAAGTAGCCACCACACCCGGCTAAACTTTCTCACTTCATTAGGAGTAAGGAATACCATAAATTTTCAACCCACCAATTCAGAGTATGACAATTTCTTCCATTTAGTCTCTTGAGTGACTTGACTCCTGGATCAATACTCAGTTATTCATTTTTTATTGCCATATACTTCTCACCCTGTTAATATCCATGTGTATAGGCAATATACAATGACCTTAGGATGCTAGGAAGAAAGGAGTCTTAAAATCCTGTGGGTGCTATGAATCCTTACTGTTCTATACCACAGAGGGACCTGTAGAGTCTGGTTCCTGGACTGGCTTAGATCTTTCCAATCTATCCTGCTGGGGGAATGTGCCAGTATTCTATCCTGAAGCTCACAGCCCCAGCCAAGTATCACTAGTTTCCAAATTTGCATATAGCAACTTTCCCTTCCATATTGATCTCCTAGTCATCATTCCTGTGTCTCCACATTCACATATACATCAAGTTTCCAGTCCACTATATGTCATAGAATAGCTCAAGTGAGCTATAATTCCCACCCTCCAACCCAGCAAGCCCTCAGATAGCATGTACCCACTCCTCTCAAACTATGAGAGATCATAAGCCTTTGCAAGACTTGGTTTTCTCTTTGAGCCTTATCATCTCCCCAACAGAGATAAGAGACACAGGTGCTAATTTTTTTACAGCATCTTCATGCCATTCTAATGTTTATGTATCCCTAACCCATAGCAACTGGGGAAAATAAGGATCCTGCTCCGTAATCACCACACTGTCTCTCCATCTTCCCCCATTCTTGACTCAGTGTGCACCATGAGAGAAGTTACAGGCTTTCCACTTCATTTGTTCTCTGGCGTAGACTTCAGCCACATTCCATCTTCCTTCAAGATGGTGCCAGGAAGCCAATTCAGCCTTTGTAGAACTGTAGACAATTGAAAACAAAACTATTGTGCTTATTACTCCTATTGTATTTTTAGTAGAGAAGGGGTTTCACCATGTTGGCCAGGCTGGTCTTGAACTCCTGACCTCAAATGATCCACCCGCCTTGGCCTCCCAAAGTGCTGGGATTATAGGCAGGAGCCACCGTGTCCGTCCCAACCTGGTCACTTTCAAGAGGTCAGCAAGGCCCAGAGATGAAGGGACTGCCCGGAGCACACCCAGGCAGGCCCCCAAGGTCAAGCAGAAGCGACCTGCAGGACTTCCGGGGAAAGGAGGGTGGCTCCGGGTCGTGCTGTGTGTCTGCCTGTAAATCTGCTCTGTGGCTCATTGAGGGGCCAGATAACTTTTGGGTGCCAGGAGTCTCTGCTGCTACTTCAGTGAGCACAACGATTCTGAACAGCAGGGTCCAAGGACCATTGCATGTTCTTGGACAGGGGGGAAAAAAACAGGCCAAAACCATAGGCAGTTTTTTATTTCAGATGGAAAATACTCAGGCATAAATAAGCTCACCCTTGAAATGCATCCTAAGCCACTGGGGCCAATTTGACCCACAAACCCTGACAAAGAAGCAGATTATGTCTTTCTGCACTATGGCCTGGCCCCAATATTTTCTCTCTGATAGGGAAAAATGGCCGCCTGAGGGAAATATAAATTACATTAGTATCCTGCAGCTTGACCATTTCTGGAAGAGGGAAGGCAAATGGAGTGAAATACCTTATGTCCAAGATTTCTTTTCATTCAAGGATAATCCACTACTATGCAAAGCTTGCAATTTACATTCCACAGGAGGACCTCTCATCTTACCTCTGTATCCTAGCCTCACTACAGCTCCCCTTCCTATTGATAGTGAGCCTCCTCTAATCTCCCCCACCCAGAAGAAAACAAGGAAATAAATCTCGAAGGGAAAACAAAACCCTCCTGTCTATCAGTTATGTCCCCTTCACACTGTAGGGGGAGGGTAATTTTACCCAAACCAGGTACATGTCCTCTTCTCCATCTCTGATTTAAAGCAGATCAGGGTAGACCTGGAGAAGTTTTCAGATGATCCAGATATGTATATAGATGTCCTACAGGGTCTAGGGCAAACATTCATCCTCACTTGGAGAGATGTCATCCTATCATTATATCAAACCCCGGCCTTTAAGTAAAAGAATGTGGCTTTAGCTGCAGCCTGAGACTGGAGATACCTGGTATCTTAGTCAAATAAGTGATAGAATGACAGCTGAAGAGAGGGACAAGTTCCCTTCCAGTCAGCAAGCCATCCCCAATATGGTTCCCCACTGGGACCTAGACTCATATCATGGGGAATGGAGTTGCAAACATCTGTTGACCTGTGTTCTAGAACTTACATAATTATTCAATTATGTCCACCATAACTCAGGGAAAGAAAGAAAATCCTACTGCCTTCCTTGAGCACCTCTGATATCTCCTGGTGCTATCCCCAAACCACCACTCTTGAAGTAAATAAATAATCTTTGCTGGCAGGGCTATACTGAACCCCCTTGGGCACTCTCTAATTGGCTGTCCTGGGTCCTCCCAATTCTTTGTCATTTAATATTTGTTTTTCTCCTTCTCTTCATTCAGACCTTGTGTCTTCCATTTAGTTTCTCAATTCATAGAAAACCACATCTAGGCCATCAGCAATCACTCTACATGACAAATGCTCCTTTTAGCAACCCCACAATATCACCCTTTACCACAAAATCTTCCATCAGCTTAATCTCTCCCACTCTAAGATCCCACATCGCCCCAATCCCACTCAAAGCAGCCCTGAGAGACACTGCCCATTATCTCTCCATACAACTCCCAGAAATTTTCACTGCCCCAACACTTTACCACTATTTCATTTTATTTTTCTTATTAATATAAGAAGACAGGAATGTCAGGCCTCTGAGCCATGCTAAGCCATCATATACCCTGTGACCTACACATATACATCCAGATGGCCTGAAGTAACTGAAGAATCACAAAAGAAGTGAAAATTTCCTGTTCCTGCCTTAACTGATGACATTCCACCACAAAAGAAGTGAAAATGGCCTGTTCCTGCCTTGACTGATGACATTACCTTGTGAAATTACTTCTCCTGGCTCATCCTGGCTCAAAAGCACCCCCACTGAGCACCTTGTGAACCCCACCCCTGCCTGTCAGAGAACAACCCCCTTTGACTGTAATTTTCCATTACCTACCCAAATACTATGAAACGGCCCCATCCCTATCTCCCTTCACTGACTGTCTTTCTGGACTCAGCCCACCTGCACCCAGGTGAAATACACAGCCTTGTTGCTCACACAAAGCCTAGTTGGTGGTTTCTTTACATGGACACCAGTGAAAGTTAGGAAAATGGGTTATTCATTCTTTCATTCATTTGTACAAATGTCAGGTCTGGCTATGCTTAGCTACTCAGGGGATATCAGAGGCAACTGGGTCCTCTAGGGATTTTTAGCAATATCTGGACATTTTTGAAAGGGAGGCCTGCCCCTCCACACCTGTGGGCATTTCTCATCAGGTGGGATGAGAGACTGAGAAAAGAAAGAGACACAGAGACAAAGAATAGAGAAAGAAAAGCAGGCCCAGGGGACTGGTGCTCAACATACAGAGGACCAACGCCATCACAGGACTCTGAGTTCCCTCAGTATTTATTAATCATTATCTCTACCATCTCAGAGAAGGTGATGTGTCAGGATAACAGGGTAATTGTAGGGAAAGGTTCAGCATGAAAACATGTGAACAAATGTCTCTGTGTCATAAACAATGTTAGAAAAAGTGCTGTGCTTTGATGTGCACATACATAAACATCTCTGGTGCATTAAAGAGCAGTATTGCCTCCAGCATGTCTCACCTCCAGCCTTAAGGCAGTTTTCTCCTATCTCAGTAGATGGAACATACAATCAGGTTTTACACCGAGACATTCCATTGCCCAGGGTCAAGCAGGAGACAGATGCCTTCTTCTTATCTCAATTGCAAAGATGCCTTCTTATTTTACGAATCCTCCTCAGCACAGACCATTTACGGGTGTTGGGCTGGGGGATGGTCAGGTCTTTCCCCTTCCATCAGGGTATATCTCAGGCTATCACACAGGGAAAAGCTTGGACAATACCTGGCTTTCCTAGGCAGAGGTCCCTGTGGCTCTCTGCAGTGTATTGTGTCCCTGGGTACTTGAGATTAGAGAGTGGTGATGACTTTTAACAAGCATACTGCCTTTAAGCACTTGCTTAACAAAGCACATCCTGCAGAGCCCTAAATCCATTAAATCTTGAGTCAACACAGCACATGTCTCTGTGAGCACAGTGTTGGGGGTAGGGTTACAGATTAACAACATCTCAAGGCAGAAGAATTTTTCTTAGTACAGAACAAAATGGAGTATCTTATGTCTACTTCTTTCTACATAGACACAGTAACAGTCTGATCTCTCTTTCTTTTCCCCACAATTTTTCACTTGTCCTCACTGGGAGGTTGTTACTGGCATCTAGCAAGCAGAGGCCCAGTGATACTGCAGGACACAGGACAGCTTCCCATCATAAGAAATATCTCCTCCCAAATGTTAATAGTGGTGTTACCAGGAAGGGGTCCCTAAACAGACCCCAAGTGTAGGTTCTTGGATCTTGCACAAAAAAGAATATGAAGTGACCCCATAGAGTAAAGTGAAAGCAAGTTTATTAAGAAAGTAAAGGAATGAAGAATGGCTACTCCATATGTAGAACAGTGGCTTGAGCTGCTCAACCAAGGATACTTATTGTTATTTCTTGATTACATGTCAAACAAGGGGTGGATTATTCATGAGTTTTCCAGGAAAGGGGTGGGCTATTCCCAGAACTGAGCGTTCCTCCCTTTTTTAGACCATATACGGGGATTTCCAGATGTTGCCATGACATTTGCAAACTCTCATGGTGCAAGTGGGCCTGTCTTTTAGCCTGCTAATGCATTATAATTAGCACATAATGAGCAGTGAGGATAACCAGAGGTCATTATGGTCACCATCTTTGTTTTGGTGGGTTTTGGCAGGCTTCTTTAGTGCAAAGTGTTTTATCAGCAAGGTCGTTTATGACCTGTGTCTTGTGCTGACCTCTTATCTCATCCTGTGACTTAGAATGCCTAACCTCCTGGGAATGAGTTTGGCAGGTCTCAGCCTTATTTTACCCAGTCCCTCTTCAACATGTGGAGTTGCCCTGGTTGAAACGCCTCTGACAGTGGGATGGTTGAGAAATTCAGGGATAGCACAAGGGTGAGGCAGCAATCTCAGCATGTGGAAAATATTTTATCAGATGCCTTTGTAATGTCCAAAGTCACTCCATTGTAATGTCAAACTCGCTGCAAAATATGCATTATCTAAATTTCTCTTATTTAGATAGTTATATCTCTCTATTTCTCTCTAATTCTATATTTTAAAGTCATATATATATTGACCAATATACTTTTTGGCTGATCATTGGAAAGGCAATTGGAGAAGCTGTCCTTGACAGTCCTGTTGAAATCCTCCACAGATGCCATCTCCATGCAAATTCTGTACAAGGCACAGTTGTAAAGTTTGGCTATATATTATTGTTTTGAAGGGACAATTTTCCCTCCTAAATCCCTAGTCTCAAAGCCTGACTCCACTTTTTTTTTGCCATCTACCCTGCCAAGAAGCTTGTCAAAGCCTGAGGGCATCATTGCTCTTCCCCCATTTCTAGCAGATGGCCATGTTGTGAGACATTTAATCCACTGACTGATTCAGTTATAGTTATAGCAGTGGCTTCTGTAGATCAGCCTCAAATAACAGTAGCTCAAAGAATACAAATGGCATCAGAAAAATACAAGTAACTGCAGAAATTACAGGGATTTATGTCCACACTCTTTGTTCAGTGAATGTTTTTGTCTGGATATGACTGAAAAGGGAGCTTTGTTAATGACTGATCTTAGAAATCAGGTTTCTTCCACACTGTGGTTCTCCCAACTCCAACGTGAGACATCTAAGGCCAAGTTGGGCATTTTTTTTTTATTGCAGCCAGCAAGGAACAGAAAAGAGCATGAAGGTTTGCACGTTGTAAGTAGCACACAGCACACAGCAGCACCACCCAACCCCACTGGTGAGAACTGGGCTCCACAAAGACCTCTGGCATATGGGAGGCTTGGAAGTGTATGTAGCCCTCTGTGCCTGGGATGAAGAAGACATAGGTTTGCTGAGCCAGCCTCTGATCTGCAAGGTGCTTCATCATTTCTTCACCATGTGACCTCTGCAAGTGACTTAAGCTGTCTGGCCCTCAGGATGCTCTTCCACATTCATTATTCTCATGACCTGCATGAGCGTAACTGCCAGGTCGTGTCTGGCTCCAGATCCTACAATTATTTTTGTCTTCACTTCATCCAGGCCCTTTACAGTCAACCAAGGACCATGGAGAGTTCCTTTGGCTGATTTCTGTTTCTCACGATCTGACTGTGTTCAGTAACTACATGAGGATGCTTTAGAGAAATATAGTCAACAGGATAAACATCCTATTGATAGATATGCCTATTTATCTATAAATTAAATATGAATAATATAGATATAAATAGATGGATACATATATAGGTGGATACAGAAATAGATATAAATACAGAGAGAGGAGATTTTTTTATGGGAATTGGCTCATGCTATGGCAAGATACGGAGACCTAGCAAAACTCTTTGTGTGATGTAATCCAAGACTGAAGTCTAGAAAACCATAAGAGCTGATGGTGTAAGTCCTGGAACACCAAAACCTGGGAAACAGGGCCTTGATTTTGCAGGGCAGGAAAAGGTGAATGTCTCAGCTCAAAAATAAAGATAATGCACCCTTCCTCTCTCTGCCTTTTTGTTTTCATCAGGCATCAAAAGATAAGACAGTGCCAGCCGCATTTTTGAGAGATCTTCTTTACTCAATCCACTGATTCAAATGCTAATCTCTTCTGGAAACACTCTGGCAGACATACTCAGAAATAATGATTTATCAGCTGTCTGGTCTTCCTTTAGCTCTGTCATATTGACACATACAATTAATCATCACAGTACAGTTTCTAATACTTCTTTTTATTCTTCCAGCTATTTCTGAGGGCACAAATAATGAGCAAAGCAACTCTTTGGAAACTTGCCACAGTTTCCAACTATGTCAGCCAATTATAAAGCCACCAATCAGGGAGAGTCAGCACTATAATTCCCAGGTGTTGGGTCCCCATTCCCACCACTGGAAGCCACCAATAGAGCAGTTGATGGAAAGTGGACTCAGGGACATCTACTGGAGTGACATATGACTGGGACCAATTCAGTTGAGGATGCATCATGTAGGTTTGTAGTAACTAAAACAGGCCTATATATGTAAGATGAGGGAAGCATCTTCTTTCTACCCAAATTCTCTCTTGCTTCTGAAAAAGCAGAGCTAGTTGAACCACATGAGACCTGGTTTGTCACCTCATTCTTACATAAATTTTTCTAATTAATTATTACATTTTAATGAGAAGAAGGCCTCTAAGACAATGCCCTAAGAGTAACATGGGACATTAATCTTTATTATTCTTTTGGCTCAATTTGACCAAAATCCTTTTGTGTATCTAACATATTCTTATGGTTTCTTGGTTACAAATACTCTCTTTCTCTCTCTGACTACCTTGAATTTTGTCTTTTTTTTTTTCTGGCCTATACAACTGCCACTGAATATATTGATGCATTAAGCATAATAAATGTATAAATAACTGATACCATCTTCTATTCCAAAGTCACTTTTCTGCCTTTTATATATATTTCCAAATTTGTTGTTTCTATCTGTATAACAAAATGCACCTGTACATTTTCCAACATATTTCTGAATTAGTACTAGGCAGCATGGCTTCTTTAAGGCAAATAGACAAATTTAAAATTATATTTTAGAAAATACTTCATGTTCTCTTCCTTTGTGTAAACCACCTGACTTGAACCTGCTTTAATTCCTCTCTGCTTTGCATCTCTTCCTTGGTATTCCTCCATATCATAATTAACCTGTTGACCTGTCACTCGACTGTAGAAAATCTTGTTAACACATTTGTGTGTGCTTTTATCACCTTTCACCTCTCAATGCACACACTCTGCTGAACTGAGATTGTGTTCTGGTCTCACAGAAAGACAGTTTTCACATAACTCTGTGTTAATATTGTGGGGTTTTGCTGTTTTCTTGTGTCTGTTTTTGAGACAGAGTCTTGCTCTGTTACCCATGCTGCAGTGCAGTGGTGTCATCTTGGCTCACTTCAACCTCTGCCTCCTGCAAACAATTCTCCTGCCACAGCCTCCCAAGTAGCTGGGATTACAGGTAAACACCAACATGCCCAGCTAATTGGTGTGTTTTTAGTAGGGATGGGTTTTCACCATGTTGGCCAGGCTGGTCTTTAACACCTGGCTTCAAGTGATCCACCTGCGTTGGCCTCCCAAAGTGCTGAGATTGAAAGCATGAGCCACTGTGCCCAACCCAGCTCTGTGTTAATATTTTCACTGACACGATGACGTCCCCATTTCATTCTGTCCCCTCAGATGCTACACAACTCTCAGGTTCAAGGTATTTTAACAACTGAGATTCATCCATTACTTTAGCATGGGCTGTATATTTTTTCAGTAAGTGTAAAGTTGGTTGGATTGTCTATTCGTAGGGAGCATTGTAACTATAATTCAACACAAGAGATGTTATACCCCTAGTCAGAATTATCCTTCAAAATCCATGTATACCCTGGCTTCAGGAAGCTCAATAGCCATTGAAAGTCACAGAGAAGTTCAATCCTCTGCAATTCCAGAGAACTTCAGTAGAGATGCACAGGACTTGCACTAGTCAAGGCAATAGTGAATTAATTATGGTCTTATATGTTCTGTGTCCTGAATAAAAGAAATTAAAACCTGCTGAGATAGTCACTAACTTCCTTGCTTTGAAGCTGGTCGTGTAAGTAAAAAGGCTCCAGTCACAACATTAACACAAATTATTGCAAAAAACCACATATGTACACTTGAGGAAAATGTACATATAACACAATCATGGTAGACTTGGAAATGTGCATAATTTATTTTATTTTATTTTTATTTTATTTTATTTTTTGAGACTGAGTCTCATTCTGTCACCCAGGGTGGCATGCAGTCATGCAATCTTGGTTCATGCCACCTCTGACTCCCAGGTTCCAGCAATTCTCCTGCCTCAGTCTCCAAAGTAGCCAGGACTATATGTGTACACCACCACAACAGGCATATTTTTGTATTTTTAGTAGAGACAGGGTTTCCCCATGTTGACCAGGCTTGTTTTGAACTCCTGACCTCAAGAAATCTGCCTGCCTTGGCCTCCTAGACTGCTGGGATTACAGAACTGATTCACTGCACCCAGCTATCTGGATTAGATTCTTCATCCTCTGCTGTATCCTAAAATGTTGGTCCTCTTCCTTGTTCTGTAGCAGGCTCCCTTCACAATCTGCATACCTCCCCCACCCAAAGGAATTTCAAGTTCCAGTGGCTCCAAAATGTCCCCATTTCTATCCCAAATCTTATTCCTGAAGTATAGGCCTACATATTCTGTCACCTGGAGATCTTCACTGTCCTTTTTACAATCTGTTCTCCAATCCAATTTCTCATTCACAAGCAGCCTCTGAATCCTAAATGGCAGCTTATACAAATCCAGAAAATTGCATGTCTATGAATGCCTCACAACCAGATAGCACAGAATTTCAGACACGGGTAAGGCACACAGTTCCATCAGGCTGGAGGCTAATACAGAAAAATGCCAGAAATGGAATAAGAAAGTGTCCAGAATGAATAAAAGTGATACACTCGAGTTGTGCTGATTCCAGGTAACAGACAGATTAAGAGACTGAAAAAGCACACCTGAACCATTTCAAATACACTACACTCATGAAAGCTGTTAGTAAGCCAGTTCTTTGCACATCAGTGCTTCCTAACTCCACAGCAACCAAGAAGAATTTGAGCTTGCTACTCCTATATCCATCTCTATAAGAATAGTGTAAGCCATTCTTTAAACATTTAAACCAGGCAGCCCCATCATTCTTATTCATAAATGTTCTGTCTTAGCCCATGCCCAAAGCGTGCCAGTTTCATCAATATTCACTTTCAACTGAGGCAGGTGAGGCCTCTTCAAGTGGTTTCCCTGTGGGAATTTCTGTAGAGTTCTTCTCAATATCTGTGGCATCAGAATGGTGCTTTGGAACTTTCCATTTGTTACTCTGGGAGGCTTTGGACAATCCTCTTCTCTTGACAGTCTGTGGCATCAACAGAACATAGACAAAACTGAGGCTTGATAAACTGGAGTCTTTTCTTAAACAGACCTGGAGCTAGCAGCCATCCAACATGAACACAGATCTGGTGTTATACTGGAAGGGAATTTAACAAATCTTCAATGATTTTTTCCTTCACTCTTTCTGATTTGTTGATTCCACAAGCTCAGCACTTTTTGCTTCCTATACCATTCTCTCTTATTCCCTAAGGGTTATTCTGTCTTTCAATTTATTGTATAAGCCATAGTACATTCATCATTTTCTGACCCCTTGGGGTTCATTACCTACTTTTACTTCCATTGCAACCAGAACCTTCTTTGACTCTCATTTTCAACACTCTTGACATCTTTTTCTGCTTCCCAGACATAAGCAAGTTAGTTTTGTTCTGTATCATCTCAAAGGAACTCTGAGACAGGGGTCTCAAACTCAAGAGTCGTTGGTTCCCAGAAAGGAAAATTGATGTGAAAAGCAAGATGGGTGGCGAAAACCCACAACAGAACAAGCACAGAGATGAGTACCCCACAACTGGGCAGCAGGGAGAGAACAAGAAGGGTGAGCTAGTGGAAGTTGCCCACTGGTTTCTAAGGCAATATGTTCTTGGAATGTTATAATATTATTTTTAACAAAAGTGTAGACATGGAGCATGAAAATGAACTAAGAGTGTAAAAGGAAGCTAGATGAAACCTTTATCAAAGACCCAGAAATGCATGTACCAAACTAACTGAAATAAAACCAAACCAAAAAAATAATATCAAATGAAACACACTGTGTTCGAATTATAAAATTTGAGGATTGTGAAACAAAATGACTTAGTTTCATTTTGTCATGAAATTCACTTTTCCCTGCCAAATGTATACTTTGTGTTCTGTGGTATTTAGGTAATTTTCAATATTTATTTATTATTTATTAAATTTCACTGGTCTCTCTGATGAACTTTCGGACATTACTACTTTTTGAGATGCATTTTTGAATTTTGAAATTTCTTTATAAATATGTAGGGGCACCCCAGTTTTGATGATGTGTGTACTAGTGGTATAGATCTTTGCTTTAATGGTTATAATAGCAATTTTATCTGTTCACTTAGTTATGACTAAACACTGGGCAATTAGTTCTCAGTAACCTGTCTCAAACGTGTCATTATACAAGGCAGCTGGGTGTGGTAGGGCTCACCTGTAGTCCCAGTGCTTCATAGGAGGCTGACATGGAAGGATCAAACAGAGAAATGAATACCCAGAAGTTTGAGACCAGGCTGGGCAACACAGTGAGACCTCAACTCATAAAAAAAAATAAATAAAAATTACATATACAAAGATATGAATAGGTGTTTGGCTATCAGAAGGCACCATTTGGGAGCCAGCTGTACCACTCCTTCATGGGTAACCTTGATTAAGTCCACTTGAAACACTTACTGTGTGGTTATTATACAAGGCTGCCTGCTAAATAGCCTGCCATAATCAGCTTATTTAATTATCTTATACGTTGGGGGTGGCAAAACTGTATTTTCTATTTTTTCTCACTGAAGAAACAAAGACTCAGATGGATTAACTGAGTCACCTACACAGAGTACTTGGTACTGCTGGAATTACCTGTGAAGTCATGCTCTCAAATACACCCATAAGCTGCCTAATGTTTTTTAGCTTATTCCGTCGTCTTCCTTGTGAAACAAAAATCCACCTTCTTTCACATCATTTTTGGAATTAATACTTATTAAATTGTGCTGAAGCTCAAACTATTCTGACAGTAGGAAGCATCATATTTATTATTTCAAACTAACAGGCAAAGATTTCACCTGCATGTGAAGACACAGTTTCACCAAAGAGCCCAGATAAGACTTCTTTTCAGGGCCCTCTTCCTGGTTGATAATCTCACCCAGCAAAACCAAATGCAATGCTGACAAAACTTGACAACTGAACCGAGAGAATTTGGGGATGTGCATAATCCCATTAATTAGAGCTGCTTGGTGTGGAGTGATGTTTGTAAAAGCATTCTATTGGAACAATAGTTTCTCAAAATCATTTGAATACAAAGGATCTATGGCCAAAGAAGCTTAGAAAACATTGCATATAAAAATGGCTTCAATTTGGCACAGTGGCTCACATCTGTAATCCCAGCATTGGTAGGCCAAGGCAGGCAGATCACTTGAGATCGGGAGTTCAAATCGTCTGGCCAACATGGTGAAACCCTGTCTCACTAAAAACACAAAAATTAGCCAAGTCTTTATGGTGTGTGCCTGTAATCCCAACTACTTGGGAGGCTGAGGAAAGAGAATTATTGCAACTTTTGGGGCAGAGGTTGCAGTGAGATGAGATCAGGCCACTGCACTCCAGCCTGAGTGACAGAGTGAAACTCTTTCTCAAAAAATAGTTTCTTGTAGATTAATAACACACAAGATGATGCAAAGTTCTAAGGTTGAAAACATAGGTGTTTATATTTTTGGGGGGTTTACACAACAGACTTTTTTTTCTCTCAAATCTCACAGTCCTAGGGGCTGGAATTTCAAGATCAAGTTGTTAGTAGGGTTGGTTCCTCCTGAGGCCTCTCTCCTTGGCTTGTAGATGCCATCTCCTCCCTGTGTCCTCACGTGGCTGACCCTCTGTGTATGTCTGTATCCTAATCTCCTCTTCCTATAAAAACACGAGTCACTTCAGATTAGTGTCCTCCCCATGACATCATTTTACCATAATTACCTCATTAAAGGATTTGTCTTCAAATACATTCTGAGGTACTGGGGGTTAGAACTTCAATATATGAATTTGTCAGGGGCTCAACTAAGCCCATAACACATCCTCATTAACATTCTGTAGGAATAATACTCCTAGGACAATGGCATTGAGATGCTGATCATGAGGACTGTCAAGACTTCCCACAGTTAAAAAGTGATCTGCAGAGATTTGAATGACCCATAACTGTCTTGACTGTGCAAAGCCAACAGTTTCTCTTACAGGAAATTGCCAAAAAATGTAATAGGCTCCAGTAACCATACTTTATCACATTGGTGGTGTTCTTCTCAAAAAAATAATTTCTGAAAAAAATAAGCCCTGCAAGATGATCCTAAATGTTATTTAAGAATACAATCTACCATCCAAATATTCACAACAATGTCAATATTTTGTTTGGTATCCTATGATTGTAAAAGTCTTCAGCATATACTTGGTTCATTCAGTCAAACCTTGTGATTATAACTTAAAGGGTCTCTAAATCCTGGGTTCTCTGGAACTATCAGGGACAGAGACAAAGAGAGGTGAGGTACCCTGAGTTATGCTCTGTGATTAAAGCAATTATTGAATTAACTATAAATCCAACTGGATAAATTCTGAAAGAGGAAAATTCTTTTAACTTCCTTTTGCCTATAATGAATCTTTTAATTTTTTTTTTTTTTTTTTTTTGCCTTGAACGCATATTTACCTGAGAAGAATAATGCTGAGAACTGGCCACTATTACAGTCAGTAAATGGAAACACCCTATTCTGAAAATCCATGAGACTGACTCTCCACAAAAGCCTTCTGTGTGAAATAACAGCCAGTCATTCAGAAATTATTGAGGAAAATAAAACTAGGTCATATGACTTGACCAGGCTACTTACTAGGGAGCTAATGTCCTGTTTGAATTAGTGGGTGGTGGTATAGTTAGGAAACACAATAGTTTCCCTTACTAGAAGATCTGTGGTAGGTAGGAAGTCTTTCGAGAAGAAGAACCTTTTCTATTCACAAGTGTGATGAAAGCAAGTTGAAATATGTCAACTTCTTTCTGCATTCATCAGATTCATAAGAACCAACATAGAAGAGTCAGGGGATGGACAATAAGAGATTGCATTGGTTCACCTCCAGCAACTATGGGCATAGCTAAGTATTGTCTGCCTCACTTGAGTGGGCTATTAAGAACCCAGTAGAATAGCAAACTGACCCAGAAAGAGGATCAAAGGACCCAGCATTATACCTCAATCATCTGCCTTCTTAATTGCTCTAACAGAGTATTTTTTCCATGAGAATCTGAATTTTTACAATAGTTTCCTCTTGGTTTCCTAAAGAACAAGCTCACTACTTTATCGTGGTTTAGTGAAAAATCCAGAGTACTTTTATTTTTAAATGTTGTTTACTAGCACTATTCACAATAGCAAAGACATGGAACCAACCAAAATGTCTATAAATGATAAACTGGATAAAGAAAATATGGTACTTATATAAAAAAATGTAGGCAACTTACTGGTGCACTTAAGAGTATCAAATACTATGCAGCCATAAAAAGGAATGACATGTCTGTTGCAGGGACATGGATGAAGCTGGAAGCCATCATTCTCAGCAAACTAACACAGGAACAGAAAACCAAACATGTCATGTTGTCAGTCATAAGTGGGACCTGAACAATGAGAACACATGAAGACAGGGAGGGAAACAACACACACTGGGGTCTGTTCCAGAATGGGTGAGGGGAAAGAGAACATCAGGGTAAAAAGCTAATGCATGCATGGCTTAATACCCAGGTGATGGCTTGGTAGGTACTGCAAACCTCTGAGAATACATTTACCTATGTAACAAACCTGCAATTTTTGCACATGTATCCTGGAACTTAAAATAAAATAATTAAAAAAATTGTTGCTTACTGACACACTGATAAAAGGAGCTGTATTCATGAATCTGTATTCCTGATTTGTCTATAAGTTGAAATCAGAAAATAAGCCTCAAAGTCTTCTAACATCAGGAAAGCCAATTTATTTGTATACAACATAATCACCTATCATGTGAAATGTCTGGAATTTAGCATTGTACTTTTCTGGAGAACATAATGATGATTGCATAATATTACTGAAACTGTTGAAAGTAAAATTCTCAAATCATTCAATAAGCCTCTACTATTTATGCACTCATTTGAATCCATTGAATATGTATATTTTTTCTTTAGCACATTTGAGTTTATATGTAGGATTCATTGTGTAGAAAAAGTTAAGCAAATTGTTTCTTGTTAGTACCCAGTAATTTATTGCATGTGAGTGGTTTAAAGCAGTGTTCACTAACTGCCGTGTTATAAACTGGAGACTGACAAACTGCATCAGTTATGCATTGTTTGAATGAAAGAGGGCAAATATTGCATTAAGCAGCAAGCAAAGTTATGTATTGGAGATAGTGAAGACATTATCAGAATCTGTAGCCTTCTCAATCTTCTGTTGTCCAATTATTCCTCTTGTCTATACCATGAACTGAAGAGTCATGATAATTTATCCTCCTTCTCCTATAATTAGTAACTCTTCCTTTCAGCTTCAAAGTGCTCTCTCTTTCCCTTTGTTTCATACAAATCCGTTATTATTTTCTGTTCTCATTAATTCATTCAGGTACCCATCCACTCATCCTTCTGTCCTGATTCAAATTATCCATCTGTTTACCTAAAATGTATTAAGCAACTTCTTTAAGCTAGGCATTTTATTATGATCTGCATAGGTAAAGAGAAAGCCATCCATTTAACAGCAGTGCCAGTGTCATAGGCAGTGGTCATAGTGCAGCAAGGCACAACAAAACAAAGCAAAATGGAAACCCAAAGACCTATACTTACGAGATTTACATATGAGTGGGATGACTAGGGTGATTTTTTCTCCCTCTCTTAGTTCAAAATTAACTTGGAACTCAGCTTAAAAGGTCTAGATATTTATTTCTCTATCCTTCCCTTCTTTATTTACACATAATGGGCCTTGGCCTCACAGTTTTTAATTCTTGAGCATCTACATTTTATCAGCCACAGCTTAGAATACCCACGCCAGTTGGGCATATTATGCAAAACCTTATATTATCACAATATATTATAAACACATGTTATATATCTATAAGAACTCTATTAAGGAGTTTCTTGTATCAGGAATTCCCCAGAGATGCCAACATTTTGTTTCTGCTAATAGTATTTCAGGTTCTACATGAAAGTATAATTTTCACATGGTAGAAAAAAGATTGAGAGACCAAATAAATATGTTGGTGTCTTCTTAATCCAGCAGGTATTGCAGTAAATTTTAGTCTTCATGAAGAATGACACTATCACACACACACATACCTTAAAATATTTAATAACGTGGGGTAAATGTTGTGTATTCTGGTATTTTGTTTCTTGATCATTTATAATTTGCATGAGCAAACCCTTTTTGATTATCCTTAATTAAAAACTTCTCAAAAATATTTGTTAAAAATTTAAAATGTTACCAAAGGTTCACTAACATCTATACCTTCATTCATAGATCTCAACTTCTAAATTCATTCATTAGCCCTTTTATTATTATTACTATTATTATTATCATACTTTAAGTTTTAGGGTACATGTGCACAATGTGCAGGTTAGTTACATATGTATACTAGCGACATGCTGGTGTGCTGCACCCATTAACTTGTCATTTAGCATTAGGTATATTTCCTAATATTATCCCTACTCCCTACCCCCACCCCACAACAGTCCACAGAGTGTGATGTTCCCCTTCCTGTGTCCATGTGTTCTCATCGTCCAATTCCCATCTATGAGTGAGAACATGTGGTGTTTGGTTTTTTGTCCTTGTGACAGTTTACTGAGAATGATGATTTCCAATTTCATCCATGTCCCTACAAAGGACATGAACTCATCATTTTTTATGGCTGCATAGTGTTCCATGGTGTATATGTGCCACATTTTCTTAATCCAGTCTATCACTGTTGGACATTTGGGTTGGTTCCAAGTCTTTGCTATTGTGAATAGTGCCACAATAAACATACATGTGCATGTGTCTTTATAGCAGCATGATTTATAGTCCTTTGCGTATATACCCAGTAATGGGATGGCTGGGTCAAATAGTATTTCCTGTTCTAGATCCCTGAGGAATCACCACACTGACTTCCACAATGTTTGAACTAGTTTACAGTCCCACCAACAGTGTCAAAGTGTTCCTATTTCTCCACATCCTCTCCAGCACCTGTTGTATCCTGACTTTTTAATGACTGCCATTCTAACTGGTGTGAGATGGTATCTCATAGTGGTTTTGATTTGCATTTCTCTGATGGCCAGTGATGATGAGCATTTTTTTCATGTATCTTTTGGTTGCATAAATGTCTTCTTTTGAGAAATGTCTGTTCATAACCTTTGCCCACTTTTTGATGGGGTTGTTTGTTTTTTTCTTGTAAATTTGTTTGAGTTCATTGTAGATTCTGAATATTTGCCCTTGTCAGATGAATAGGTTGTGAAAATTTTCTCCCGTTTTGTAGCTTGTCTGTTCACTCTGATGGTAGTTTCTTTTGCTGTGCAGAAGCTCTTTAGTTGAATTGGATCCCATTTGTCAATTTTGGCTTTTGTTGCCATTGCTTTTGGTGTTTTAGACATGAAGTCCTTGCCCATGCCTAGGTCCTGAATGGTAATGCCTAGGTTTTCTTCTAGGGTTTTTATGGTTTTAGGTCTAATGTTTAAGTCTCTAATCCATCTTGAATTAATTTTTGTATAAGGTGTAAGGAAGGGATCCAGTGTCAGCTTTCTATGTATGGCTAGCCAGTTTTTCCAGCATTATTTATTAAATAGGGAATTCTTTCCCCATTGCTTGTTTTTCTCAGGTTTTCAAAGATCAGATAATTGTAGATATGCAGCATTATTTCTGACAGCTCTGTTCTGTTCCATTGGTCTATATCTCTGTTTTGGTACCAGTACCATGCTGTTTTGGTTACTGTAGCCTTGTAGTATAGTTTGAAGTCAGGTAGTGTGATGCCTCCAGCTTTGTTCTTTTGGCTTAGGATTGACTTGGCAATGTGGGCTCTTTTTGGTCCCATATGAACTTTAAAGTATATTTTTCCAATTCTGTGAAGAAAGTCATTGGTAGCTTGATGGGGATCGCATTGAATCTGTAAATTACCTTGGGCAGTATGGCCATTTTCATGATATTGATTCTTCCTACCCATGAGCATGGAATGTTCTTCCATTTCTTTGTATCCTCTTTTATTTCATTGAGCAGTGGTTTGTAGTTCTCCTTGAAGAGGTCCTTCACGTCCCTTGTAAGTTGGATTCCTAAGTATTTTATTCCCTTTGAAGCAATTGTGAATGGGAGTTCACTCATGATTTGGTTCTCTCTTTGTCTGTTATTGGTGCAAAGAATGCTTGTGATTTTTGTACATTGATTTTGTATCCTGAGACTTTGCTGAAGTTGCTTATCAGCTTAAGGAGATTTTGGGCTGAAACAATGGGGTTTTCTAGATATACAATCATGTCATCTGCAAACACGGACAATTTGACTTCCTCTTTTCCTAATCGAATTCCCTTTGTTTCCTTCTCCTGCCTAATTGCCCTGGCCAGAACTTCCAACACTATGTTGAATAGGAGTGGTGAGAGAGGTCATCCCTGTCTTGTGCTAGTTTTCAAAGGGAATGCTTCCAGTTTTTGCCCATTCGGTATGATATTGGCTGTGACTTTGTCATAGATAGCTCTTATTATTTTGAGGTACGTCCCATCAATGCCTAATTTATTGAGAGTTTTTAGCATGAAGGGTTGTTGAATTTTGTCAAAAGCCTTTTCTGCATCTATTGAGATAATCGTGTGGTTTTTGTCTTTGGTTCTTTTTATATGCTGGATTATGTTTATTGATTTGTGTATATTGAACCAGTCTTGCATCCCAGGGTTGAAGCCCACTTGATCATGGTGGATAAGCTTTTTGATGTGCTGCTGGATTTGGTTTGCCAGTATTTTATTGAGGATTTTTGCATCAATGTTCATCAAGGATATTGGTCTAAAATTATCTTTTTTTTTTGTCTCTGCCCGGCTTTGGTATCAGGATGATGCTGGCCTCATAAAATGAGTTAGGGAGGATTCCTTATTTTTCTATTGATTGGAATAGTTTCAGAAAGAATGGTACCACTTCCTCCTTGTACCTCTGGTAGAATTTGGCTCTGAATCCATCTGGTCCTGGACTCTTTTTGGTTGGTAAACTATTGATTATTGCCACAGTTTCAGATCCTGTTATTGGTCTTTTCAGAGATTCAACTTCTTCCGGGTTTAGTCTTGGGAGAGTGTATGTGTCGAGGAATTTATCCATTTCTTCTAGATTTTCTAGTTTATTTGTGTAGAGGTGTTTGTAATATTCTCTGACGGTAGTTTGTATTTCTGTGGGATTGGTGGTGGTATTCCCTTTATCATTTTTTATTGCATGTATTTGATTCTTCTCTCTTTTTTTCTTTATTAATCTTGCTAGCAGTCTATCAATTTTGATGATCCTTTCAAAAACCCAGCTCCTAGATTCATTAATTTTTTGAAGGGTTTTTTGTGTCTTTATTTCCTTCAGTTCTCCTCTGATTTTAGTTATTTCTTGCCTTCTGCTAGCTTTTGAATGTGTTTGCTCTTGCTTTTCTAGTTCTTTTAATTGTGATGTTAGGTTGTCAATTTTGAATCTTTCCTGCTTTCTTTTGTGGGCATTTAGTGTTATAAATTTCCCTCTACCCATTGCTTTGAATGTGTCCCAGAGATTCTGGTATGTTGTGTCTTTGTTCTCGTTGGTTTCAAAGAACATCTTTATTTCTGCCTTCATTTCGTTATATAACCAGTAGTCATTCAGGAGCAGGTTGTTCAGTTTCCATGTAGTTGAGCAGTTTTGAGTGAGTTTCTTAATCCTGAGTTCTAGTTTGATTGCACTGTGGTCTGAGAGACAGTTTGTTATAATTTCTATTCTTTTACATTTGCTGGGGAGAGCTTTACTTCCAAGTATGTGGTCAATTTTGGAATAGGTGTGGTGTGGTGCTGAAAAAAAATGTATATTCTGTTGATTTGGGGTGGAGAGTTCTGTAGATGTCTATTAGGTCCGCTTGGTGCAGAGCTGAGTTCAATTCCTGGGTATCCTTGTTGACTTTCTGTCTCAATCTATCTAATATTGACAGTGGGGTGTTAAAGTCTCCCATTATTAATGTGTGGGAGTCTAAGTCTCTTTGTAGGTCACTCAGGACTTGCTTTATGAATCTGGGTGCTCCTGTATTGGGTGCATATATATTTAGAATAGTTAGTTCTTCTTGTTGAATTGATCCCTTTACCATTATGTTATAGCTTTCTTTTTCTCTTTTGCTCCTCCTTGGTTTAAAGTGTGTTTTATCAGAGACTAGGATTGCAACCTCTGCCTTTTTTTGTTTCCCTTTTGCTTGGTAGATCTTCCTCCATCCTTTTATTTTGAGCCTATGTGTGTCTCTGCATGTTAGATGGGTTTCCTGAATACAGCACACTGATGAGTCTTGACTCTTTATCCAATTTGCCAGTCTGTGTCTTTTAATTGGAGCATTTACATTTACATTTAAATGTAAAGTCCATTTACATTTAAAGTTAATATTGTTATGTGTGAATTTGATCCTGTCATTATGATGTTAGCTGGTTATTTTGCTCGTTAGTTGATGCAGTTTCTTCCTAGTCTCGATGGTCTTTACACTTTGGCATGATTTTGCAGCGGCTGGTACTGGTTGTTCCTTTCCATGCTTAGTGCTTCCTTCAGGAGCTCTTTTAGGGCAGGCCTGGTGGTGACGAAATCTCTCAGTATTTGCTTGTCTGTAGAGGATCTTATTTCTCCTTCACTTATGAAGCTTAGTTTGGCTGGATATGAAATTCTGGTTTGAAAATTCTTTTCTTTAAGAATGTTGAATATTGGACCCCACTCTCTTCTGGCTTGTAGAGTTCCTGCTGAGAGATCCGCTATTAATCTGATGGGCTTCCCTTTGTGGGTAACCCGACCTTTCTCTCTGGCTGCGCTTAGCATTTTTTCCTTCATTTCAACTTTGGTGAATCTGACAATTATGTATCTTGGATTTGCTCTTCTCGAGGAGTATCTTTGTGGATTTCTCTGTATTTCCTGAATCTGAATGTTGGCCTGCCTTGCTAGATTGGGAAAGTTCTCCTGGACAATAAACTGCAGAGTGCTTTCCAACTTGATTCCATTCTCCCTGTCACTTTCAGGTACACCAATCGACGCAGATTTCGTCTTTTCACATAGTCTCATATTTCTTGGAGGCTTTGTTCATTTCTTTTTATTCTTTTTACTCTAAACTTCCCTTCTCGCTTCATTTCATTCATTTCATCTTCCAGCACTGGTACCCTTTCTTCCAGTTGATCACATTGGCTCCTGAGGCTTCTGCATTCTTCACGTAGTTCTTGAGCCTTGGCTTTCAGCTCCTTTAAGCACTTCTCTGTGTTGGTTATTCTAGCTATACATTCGTCTACATTTTTTTCAAAGTTTTCAACTTCTTTGCCTTTGGTTTGAATTTCCTCCTGTAGCTCAGAGTAGTTTGATCGTCTGAAGCTTTCTTCTCTCAACTCATCAAAGTCATTCTCCGTCCAGCTTTGTTCCGTTGCTGGTGAGGAACTGCATTCCTTTGGAGGAGGAGAGGCACTCTGATTTTTAGAGTTTCCAGTTTTTCTGCTGTTTTTTCCCCATCTTTGTGGTTTTATCTACTTTTGGTCTTTGATGATGGTGATGTACAGATGGGTTTTTGGTGTGGATGTCCTTTCTGTTTGTTAGTTTTCCTTCTAACAGACAGGACCCTCAGGTGCAGGTCTGTTGGATTTTGCTAGAGGTCCACTCCAGACCCTGTTTGCCTGGGTATCAGCAGTGGTGTCAGCAGGATTGCAGATTTTTGTGATCCGGGAATGCTGCTCTCTGATCATTCCTCTGGAATTTTTGTCTCAGAGGAGTACCTGGCCACGTGAGTTGTCAGTCTGCCCCTATTGGGGGGTGCCTCCCAGTTAGGCTGCTCGGGGGTCATGTGTCAGGGACCCACTTGAGGAGGCAGTCTGCCCATTCTCAGATCTCCAGTTGCGTGCTGGGAGAACCACTGGTCTCCTCAAAGCTGTCAGACAGGGACATTTAAGTCTGCAGAGGTTACTGGTGTCTTTTTGTTTGTGTGTGCCTTGCCCCCAGAGGTGGAGCCTACAGAGGCAGGCAGGCCTCCTTGAGCTATGGTGGGCTCCACTCAGTTCAAGCTTCCCAGCTGTTTTGTTTTAAAAGCCATTCAATTACTTAAAATTTAACTTTATAGCATCATTCTACTTCCCCTGGAGGAAAGCTAATGCACTCTTTTATAGTTCAAAAAGGGAACAATGCATACTTGAATCAGTAAGACTGACTTCCTTACAATGGATTAGGAAACATGAATTTTTTCCTATTGCTATCCTGCTGATCACAGCAGCGTTTCTACAATGATACACGCTTTTGCAACTTGCAAACTACTGGAGTGTATACCTGTACTTTAAAAAGCCTTTTAAATTCAATAAAGTTTATCGTTAGAGGTCTCTTTTTCTTCTTCTTGCTTTGTTTTTTTTTTTCTTTTTTTTTTTTCCCTCTGCATTCTTTGCTTTGTTCTTTGGATCAGAAATAATGCCATATTCTTAGAGCACATTTGCATAAACCTTATGTTCATACTCTTTGTATATAATCTCCTAGGCATCTCAAATACAACATACTCCAAGTTTACCCTCCCCTACCAAAAAAGAAAACCCATATCCTCTTCTCTCCAGCATTTTTGGCATTGGTGAACAGCACAAGAATCCCTGGGAACACCCCAACTCCTGTCTCTCCTTAGCCACTGTGAATTTATCTACAGCCCTGTCAGTTGTTGTAGTATCTCTTAATCCAGCCCCTCTTCTCCCTTCTAGGACCTCCCATGAATTGCTTTCAGAATCTTGTGCTCACACTATTGCGGTAAATTCTGAATTGGCTTTCCTGGCCCTGAATTCATTCCTAAAATTTGTCCTAAAGTCTTCCTTCAATTAAAACGTGTTCATTTCTAGACCCTTCTTAAAACCCTTTGTTTTCTCTCTCTGTTGAGCACCATCTTAATTCTGAAGCTCAGAATACCAGCCTCTTTAGGAATTCAACAGTCTCTAGCTGGCCCTTATGTTGCCCAGGCTGGTCAGCAACTCCTGGCCTCAAGCAATTCTCCTGCCTCAGTCTCCCAAAGTGGTGAGATTGTAGGCATAAGCCATTGTTCACAGCTCTATTTGGCCCTTCTTTTATCTTTACTCTCCTCTCCTTGCCCATCTTCTCCTCTTTTCTTCTTTGTTCTCATCCACCTCCTCCTGTTTCTCTCCCTCTCCCCTTTTTATTATTTAATCTTCTCTTCTTTCTCCTCTGTTTTATTCATCTTTTTTCTTCTCTCCCCTCTTTCTTTCTCTTTCTCTGTCTTCTCCTTTACCCAGTCTTTCTCAATTTCTACCTGGTATGAAGCATTCAACCATGCTTCTTGCTATGCCATACTACTACTTTGCTTTGAAAAATGCATCTTTTTTCACCTGTAATATCTTCGTATTTCTAGAAAATATAAGCTGCCTTTTTTTGGAACCCTTGCTTAACTATCTCAGGCATACTTAGGTCTACCGCAGTGAACAAAAACAAACCCGCTGTCCTGGGAAATGCCACTTGTATTTCCCTGGTACTATAGATCACTTCAGGACCTCAGGAATAAAACTCAGTTAAACTGCATTTTTTTTTTAAATGATTGTTATCTTTATTACACTGGGAGCCCCTTGAGGACATAAACAAAATTTTTGTGTGGATTCACCTGTGTATTTTGAACACAGTAGTTTCTGAATAACTATCTAGTAGATAAATGAATAGATCAGTTGGTTGAAATGATCTTCCAAAGCAGGTTTTTGATAGGAAAAGAGATCAGAATATGTGGACCATTAGTTGAATTTAGGTTGTTGTCTTGGCATCATTTTGCTGGAGAATAAAAGACAGATTTTACTACTTTTAGGAGATCAGTGAGTCAGGTTGATGGTCCAACCCGAGGAGTATCCAAATCATAGACAGGCCTTCCAACAGAGCTTCTGCAACCAAAAGATAATACACTATTCTCTAAGTGACAAAGACCACCTTGTTATGCAAGTAGTCTGCACTGGATAAAACATGAACCAGGAAGTAGAAAAAATATGGGCAAATGTGACCCAGCTAGAAGGCAATAGCTCTTCTGGAGGTGAAAACAGAATGAATGCTTCATAGTGAAAATTGCATTGAGTGATTGAGTGTATCGTCTCATATTGTTTGATAATTGGCTCTGAAATGCCTTCTTATAAACTGCACAGTGTATGTGTGTATGAACATTAACTTTACTTGCAGTCTACTCTAGAGCTTTAGCATTTTAAGTATCTTAATCACAAATCCAAACATATTTAAAAAGTTTATATTCCAAATATCCTTTTTGGAATCAACAACAGAGTCTCCTTATTTATCATAAGGTGTATTAGAAATATGTTTTTTATGGTGATAGACAGTGATTATATATGTGGTAATACAGTGTGGCAGATGGAATAAAGCTGCCACCAAAGATGTTCACATATGAATTCCCTGGAACTGTGAAATATCTGGGATATTCAGGTCCCAGATGGAATTAAAATAGGGAGATTTTTAAAATAGGGAGATCTCTTGCATAATCCAGGTGGGTTCATTTGAATCACAGAATCTTTAAAAGTGAAAGAGAAAGACAAATAGGTCAGAGAGATATGGCAAGAAACCTTCTATTGCTGGCTTTGAAGATGGAAATTGGGGCCATGCATCAAGGAATATAGGTGGTCTCTAGATACTAGAAAGAACAAGGAAATATTTTCTCCCTTAGAACTTCCAGAAGGAATGAAGTGCTGACAGCACCTTGAAACTCATGCATTGAGATACATGCTGGACTTCTTCAGAACATATGATAATAACTTTGTGTTGTCTTAAACCGCCAAGTGTGTGATGCTCTGTTACACTGGGCATAAGAAACTAATACATAAAACTTGTGTATGTCTGAGAATGTGAGCACTCCAGCACCTAGCAGCTTCAGGCCAATGCTTAGTTCTATAATCCAATGAGCCTTGTGTACCTCAGCCCTTTGTCAACCCCTACATTTCCAAGAGAGACTTTTGCCAAAAGCAACTTGAAACATGTCTAATTCTGACTTTGGAGTGTCATTCTTTCTATCTCGATGAGTATCTTTTGTGAAAAGATCCTGTATACAAAGACAATTCTTGAGGTTATCACAGTGTGTCTGTAGGCTAATAAATATTTGTTCTGTTTGTAGGGTTAATCTCCACAGTAAATCATTCCCTGGGAAGCCAAGTTCTGTGGCTGGTCTTATATCGAGAGCCTCCTGATAAGGTCTAAGTCACCTGGGAACTCATGAGCAGCTAAATTGGCTTAGGTCAGGTGAGAAAATTTAAAACAAAATAAAGGAAAGGCTATGGATTTGATTATAATTAATTCAATAATTATAAATGAGTATGTTTTGTTCATTATAGTCAGCAGTATGGACAAATCTTTTAAGCATTTAATTTTTCAATTGAGCATCTTAGAAATTCATTCTTTTCACTAATTCAGACTGAGCTTTTCCATCAGTTAGCGCTAATTATTAATATTATATTGTCATTAATTTGCTACACTTCAATCAGCCTAGGGTCAATTCTGAACATTGTAAATTAGCATGGACTTTTAACTCATTACTGAAAAACACTCTTCTTTGTTGAGTGATAAATAGCCACAATGTGCACATTAATTGGGAAAAGCTACCATGAGATAAAAGGACGGGCATTAAATTTATCATTTAATTAGAAAGCAATCTCTATTTTATTTTCTAGATTTAAACTTCTTGACTGCAGGGGCTAGATATACTTGCCTGGGTCTCTCCCAAAATGCCTGTTACAGGACTTTAATCAGTGATGAATATATTTAAATTGCACTCATCAAAAGCTTACGTAGTAATCGCTGAGAGAATTAGAGTGAAAAAATCGAGAAAATAGGCTATTTTTTTGTGGAGGTGGCAGATGAATGGGGAATTTTCGGTGCTAAAGAATAGAAATGAATAAGAAAGGTGTGTTCTGGGTCAACACTGGTTCCAGTCAACATAGGAATAAAGAAAAATTTGTGTTTTGCTCATTATGGAGCTTATATTTTAGTAACAAATATGTCCCTGAGATGTTTTGTCCAGTGTGACAATTTGAGGATTAGAAGAAGTCTGCATACACTTAGTGTCTTGCTGAATCATCCTTGCAGCCTCTAGATTTGATTTATGTCTAATGTTAAACTCCCTTTCTATGTTTGAGCAGCCAAGATAATTTAATTTTAATGTTTTCAAAAGAAATAGCTTTGATTCTGAGAGGTAAAGATAAATAAATAAGCAAAAGGATTTTAAAAAATATACAAAGCATTGAAATCTCAATTATTAGATTTAATTTTATGTAATGAGAATATTAGATACTATATATTTAATTGTGTGAAATGAACATAGAAAGCCAAATTTGAAAGCAAATAAGCCAATAAATATTTAACATTCATGTCCAAAAATTCTTAAGTCATAGGTGATTGCATTTTCTGCTTTTGTGATCTTTTCAATATCTCTATAGAGAGTTTACATTGTCAGAGAAAAAAATTATACAGCTTAAAATTATTTTAAAATGGTAAACACACAATTTAAATTACCAATTTCATTATATAAAGAACTAATAGAACCTATGTTGTTTGCTGGGATTTTACATTTTCCACAGCTTTTCATGACACATATAAAACTTTGATATTGATCTGAATATCAGTCTTTAATTTGATAAATACATGCTTTCTCTCAAATACCTGTGGTTTATGATTTTACCAATCAGCAGGGTAATATGGTGTTCTAGGAAATTGTTCATGACTTGGTTTTATGTTCACACAGAAAAAATGAAATTCAGATAATCACAGGTATGGAAAATAAACACTTTGCAAGTGCTTGGATGAGCTGAATTCAATTTAAACAGAAAACTAACACTTTTCCTAAACACATATAGTTGGACATATTTAAATCATTATATACTAATTTGGATTGAATGGTGTCAGAAGTTCAAATTCAATGTGAAGATAATGGCATATTATAAGAATTCACTGTCTCTGTGGGTCTTTTAGCCCTTGGTTTTCTCTCCCAGAAGAAACTCGGGCAATAATCTGGGAAATCTTACCTTGTAAACACACATCACACACATCCAAATAACTAGTCTTAAAGGAAAAAGGAATCTTGCACATATTACATGTTCTTCTTAAATGTTTGGTAAATAAATAGATGGGACAATCTTTTCAATAATAAACTTGACAGTTATTCAGATATCTAAGATATAGATATTTTGTTCATAGAGTGACTTGCTCTGAAATGTATCCTGTCATTTCTAGAGCCTGTCCTATCATTCTATCATTCTCTATCATTCTATCATTCTCTGGAGCCTGTCCAATGAAGAGAATAGGTAATTGATTCTCTCACTTCCTAACTGTGACATTTCATCTCTCGAGCTCTATAATTCTGTTTCCCTATAAACAAGGTGGAGAAGGAGATGACTCAAAAAGAAGAATTTATGATCAAACACAGATGCTTTTATTAGGTTAGTGCAAAAGTCATTGTGATTTTGCCACTGAAAGTAAATGCAAAAACTGCTGTGGCTTTTGCACGAGGTGAGGTATCTCGCTCAGGGATTATAAAGATGAGTATTGGCTCCTTTAGTTGTGTTCAGGATTCACTGTTTGTTTTCAAACCTACATATATAAATGAACTCTGTACTGAATCTGAGAGGTGGAGGCACTATGCAACAAGACTTTACCGCCCCCTGGTTTTGTGTAGATCTCGCTAGAATATAAATGGCTTCAGGGCAAGAATTTCTCTCTGTTTTGTGTTCCTTTGTATCCACAATGACAGAAGTGCTTGGAATACAGTTCAAGAAAAGTTTGCTGAACAGCAAATGGCCAATGGTTTCCAACGGAATTTTTTGCAATCATAGAAATCAGTGTTGCCCAATATGGTAGTCATGAACCACATATGGCTATTGAGTGATTTTATTGTGGCGGACATAAACAAGTGTATTAGTTCATTCCTACACTGGTATGAAGAGATACCCAAGACTGGGTAATTTATAAATGAAAAAGACTGAATTGACTCAGTTGTGCAAGGCTGGAGGGGCATCAGGGAACTTACAATAATTGTAGAAGGGGAAGCAAATACGTCCTTCTTTACATGGCAGCAGCAAGGAGAAGAATGAGAGCGCAGTGAAGGGGAAGCCCCTTATAAAACCATAAGAGCTTGTGAGAACTTACTCACTACCATGAGAATAACAGGAGAAAAACCATCCCCCTGATTCAAATACATCCCACTGGGCCTTTCCCGTGACATGTGGGGATTATGGGAACTACAATTCAAGATGAGATTTGGGCGGGGACACAGCCAAACCATATCAACAAGTAAGCAGTTTCAAATTTAATCGAAGAAAATTTCAATTTAAATGGCCCCAGGAAACTGTTGGTTACCTTTCTGGACAGCACAGGGTTCACATTTGCATTTGGAGTTTTCCATAGAGGAATGAAATACTAGTTTTATTTTTGGTAGCTCGTCTAGGTGCACTTCATTTTCTCTTACGAACTCACAAAATAACAAAGCTAGGAAAGGGATAGCTCCAAGTTTGCTTTAATATTCTCCATTTATGGGGTATTTTTTATGTAGAAATTTTGATTAGTAGTTTCTTTTTGACTTATTTATATTGTCATTGTTAGAAAGACCTTCCCACTGCAAGATTATAAATTATCCCATCCTTTCTTCTAGTAGATTTAATACAAACATAGCTTCATTGTTTATATTCAAATCATTGATCTATTCAGAATTTATTTGTGAATACATTGTGGGACATGGATCTAGATTTTTCTTTTTCTTTCATTTTTTTAAAGAGATGGGGTCTTGTTCTGTTGCTCAGGCTGGAGTGGAGTGGTGTGATCACATCTCACTGTAGCCTCAAACTCCTGGGGTCAAGTGTTCCTCCCACATCAGCCTTCCAAGCAGCTATGTCCATGGGAATATGCCATCATGATCTGTTAATTATTATTATTTTTTTGTAGAGGTGAGATCTTGCATTGTTGCCCAGGTTGGTATTGAACTTCTGGCTTCAAATGATCCTGCCACCTAAGCGTCCTCAGATTTAAATTTTTCCATAGGCTAATCAAGTGTCCCACTCTTTTCTTGAAACTGATGTTTTCCCACAGATTGCGATGTCAGCTATTCATGTCCAGAATTCATACATACATTTTACCTACCCTGGACCCTTTGATCTGTTCCATTGGTTAGTCTCTGTCTATTTAGCAATGCCATGTTGTATTCATCATTGAGGATTTATAATATGCTACAAGAATATTTCAATGGCTTCTAACCATGCTTTTCATTGTTTTTATTTTGCAAAGACTTTCTAGTTAATCTTCTTCGTTCATTTTTCCAATATGGGCTTCCAATTAGTGGTTGTTTATTATATATGTGACCATCATTTGTTTTTATATATTATTTTATATGGAAAAAAAGGAATTCCAATGGCTGTTGCAAAAAGGAAGAGATGCATGTTAAAATAATACCATTATTATATAAGCAAATTACAATTTCACTGAGATAATTTTTAAATTTATTACATGAGGAGGAGGAAGAGCTAGGCAAGAAAAGAGAAGATGTGGAAGAGGAGGAGGAAGGGGAAAATAATGAGTAAATATTGGCTATAGCCAAATTATAACCCAGAGTACCCTAGTCCCTTCTGGTGTCCATTCAGAGGGACAGCTTTCTCCATTTCTTCACCTGTGTCCTGCTTCCCAGTGCAAAATAAATGCCTGTGATTAGGTTCAAGTTGCATACTCTGAGTGTGTTTGCAAGAGCCTGAGTCTAGCTTCACAGCTGCAAACACTGCAGTCCCCCAAGAGGCAATTCCTGACAAGACCAAGTCACTTTGAGACCCCTTTTTCTGGCTGACTTCCCATACTCTGAATCACTTGTTGGTGCTCTCTCTCACTTTGATGGAGAAAGAGAATCCAGCCTATTTTATTTGGGAAGTTTGTTTCATTTGTGTCCATGTGAAGAGACCACCAAACAGGCTTTGTGTGAGCAATAAAGCTTTTAATCACCTGGGTGCAGGCAGGCTCAGTCCAAAAAGAGAGTCCGTGAAGGGAGATAAGGGTGGGGCTGTTTTATAGGATTTTGGTAGATAAAGGAAAAATTACAGTCAAAGGGGATTTATTCTCTGGCAGACAGGAGTGAGGATCGTAAGGTGCTCAGTGGGGGAGATTTTTGAGCCAGGATGAGCCAGGAAAAGGACTTCACAAGATAATGTCATCACTTAAGACAAGGACCGGCCATTTTCACTTCTTTTGTGGTGGAATGTCATCCGTTAAGGCAGGGCAGGGCATTTTCACTTCTTTTGTGATTCTTCAGTTACTTCAGGCCACCTGGGCATATACATGCAAGTCACAGGGGATGCGATGGCTTGGCTTGGGCTCAGAGGCCTGACAGTTCCCATGCCTCTTAACAACTTCTCACTCTCGAGTTTACTGTGAGTCATTTTCCTGTTTGTCTCATCTCAGCCAGTGGACAGAGCTCACAAGAGCAGCTAAAGCAAGGGAAATAGTGAGAGAACACACTGGCAGGAAAGAGACAATTTGGGAATATTTCACCATAGCAGGGAAGCTAAGACTTGGGAAAAAACAGGTTGATGAATACAAGGAAGACCTGACTTTGCCCCCACCAAGGGTTTTCAGAAAAACAAATAGTAATTAATAATAATAATAATAATAATAACAATAATAATAATAGCAGATAAGATAAAATTGTGTGGGAAACATCATTCTGATACCCTCAACATCTTTCTGTGGGTGACTGAGACTTTTATTTGAGAGAGAAAGGACACTAAAACATCACATTCCCAAGCCATGGGAGCAGGCTTATTCTAGGCCTGCTGTTCAATATGGTGGCCAGTCAACTAGGTGGTCACTGAATTCTTCAAATGGGTCAAGTCTAAATATAGATAGATTACAAATACCACATATGCACCTTATTGCAAAATATATTAATAGTCAAAATATTTCCTAGATATTTTAAAATATTGATTACCTATGCTGAAATAGTAATATTTTAGATATAAAATTGAGTCTCAAACAACATAGGGTTTAAGAGGGCCCACCCCTGTGCCATTGAAAATATGCATGTAACTCTGGACTCACTCAGAAATTAACAACTAATTGCCTACTATTAGGCTTATCAATAACATAAATGGTAGATTAACACATATATGGTATGTTGTATGTATTATATACTGTATTCCTACAGTAAAGTAAGCTAGAGTAAAGAAAATGTTGTTAAGAAAATCATAAGGAATTGAAAATATATTTGCTATTAAGTGGAAGTGGATCACTGTAAAGGTCTTTATCCTCCTGGTCTCCACGTTGAGTAGGCTGAGGAGGAGGAAGAGGAGGGGCTGGCCTTGCTGTCTCAAGGGTAGCAGAGAAAGAATAACCTCTATATGTAAGTGAACCCACACAATTCAGACCTGTGTTGTTCAAGGGACAATTCTACTGAGTTAAGGAAAATATGTTATTCAAGTCAATTTCACCTATCCCATCTATGTTGTTTTAATGCATGCTACTAGAAAATTCAAAATGACACATGTGATTTGCACATATTTTTATTGGATTAAGCTATTGTAAATTGTCCACATCAATAAACTTAGGCTGGGTGCAGTGGCTCACACCTATAATCTCCGCAGTTTGGGAGGCTGAGGCACGAGAATCGCATGAGCCCAGGATTTGGGGACCAGCCTGGACAACACGGTGGAACCTCATCTGCACAAATATATCTAAAAAAAATTAGTCAGCCTTGGGGGTGTGCACCTGTAGCCCCACCTACTTGAGAGGCTGAGGTGGGAGGATTCCTTGAGCCCAGGTATTCGAGGCCTCAGTGAGTTATGGACAACAGAGTTAGACCCTATCTTTTAAAAAGAAAAAAAAAATTAATACAAGAGCAAAGACATGGAAAGAGCTGAGCTCTCTCTTTAGCTAAGTTTCTGTGGACTTTGCCTAGGCAGGTGACATGTGCCTCACATGTTGCAGGACATGGCTTGCATCTCCTTGGGCCTTCATTAACCCATCCCTAACTCTATCCCTTAAGCATTGCCTATCCATCTCTTATCTCCTTCTTAACCCCCTTTCTGTGTTTTCTCATAATGTAAACATTGTCCTGTATTCATTAGATGTAAACCTTCTTACAAAATCACTTGCAGTTTTTTTTTTTCCCTTTCCATACAAAACAGTCCCCTTTCTCCTTGATATTGTGTCTGGGACATGCTTTCGTCCACTACAGCATTGTTCCATCTTAGAGTGGCAGAAGGGATATTCCAACATCACTCCTCCCTTCTCTATTCAGAAGACTTAATCTCAACACAAACTCTCCCCTCTCCAAAAACATATTCCTTAGAAAGACCTCTGGCCATGGAGAGAACTACAGGACCATAGAAGTGAGGAAACATTGCCAGCTTGTTTCCTTTATTATGGTTGGTCCCAGTTCAACAAGGTCTTCTTTCCCCAAATAAAATTATGCCTGAAACACAGAAGCCGCTTATTTAATACTTTGGTAGACTTGTCATGGCACTATGTCAATAAGACTTAAATATATGTGTGTGCGTGTATATATATATATATATATATATATATATATTTGTGTGTGTATATAAGTATATATATGTTTATATATGTTTTTATATATGTTTATATATGTTTTATATATAAATTACCCTTTTCAAAACCATTGTTTTAAAGCACTTCTAACTTTACTAGATCTACTATATATACTTATATTATTAAATGTCCATTGTTATAAAATTAATAATATAAATATCTAATATAAATATATATTTATAAATACATAATAAATATATTCATATATTTATTATTTATGTCAATAATATAATAATATATTATATAATATATGATATATTATAATATAGTATTATATAATTATATAATATATGATATATTATAATACAGTATTATATAATTATATAATATATGATTTATTATAATATACAAATATATATAATTAAATTTATATTATATATATTAGATCCAGTAAATTTAGAAGTGGTTCAAAACAGTGGTTTACAACATTTCCCCTTTCTTCCCTTCCATTTAAACTTCTACCTTGCCAGGTCAGACCTTGCATAAATGCATGTCTTTTAAAAGAGTACCTTCAAAGACATTTTATTTTGCACACTTCATCAATGACAGTGTTTTAATCGGTTGAAACACAGGTCATAATTTAAGTTTCCCATCTAGAAAATGCCTTTTGGCATAGAAAGTTATCTTGAGATATTGGTTGCTAAACACCATTTTTTAAAACATAATTAACTTGCCCAGATGTGGTGGCTCACACCTGTAATCCTAGCACTTTGGGAGGACAAGGTGGGTGGGTTGCCTGAGGTCAGGAGTTTGAGATGAGCCTGTTCAATGTGGTGAAACCCAATCTCTACTTAAAATACAAAAAATTTGCTGAGCATGGTGGCAGGCCCCTGTAATCCTAGCTCAGTAGCTGAGGCAAAAGAATCCCTTGAACCCAGAAGGGGGAGGTTGCAGTGAGCTGAGATCGTGCCACTTTCCTCCAGCATGGGCAACAGAATGAGACTCTGTCTCCCAAAAACAAAAAATGAAAAAACAAACAAACATAATTAACTTAAACAAATGTCTGAGCCGGGAGAAAGAGGCCACTTGCAAAGGATGTCAGAAGGGTATCAGACTGCAGATTCTAAAACTTTGTAAATCACAGCAGTTGATACTATCAACCAAAGTTTGTCTCCTCCTTGCCAAGGAAAGATGAAAAGGACATAGTATGTCTTACTTTAGGATTCCCTCTGGGGTAGGCTGAATAATGGCCCCCAAAGGTCTCCATGTTCTAATGTCCAGAATCTGCAAATATGTGGCCTTGTGTGGCAAAATAGATTTTGCAGATGTGGTTAGGTTAAGGATATTGAGATGGGGAGATTGTCCTGGATTATGCAGGTGGGTTGTTATAAAAGGGATGCAGTGGGGTCAGATACAGAAAAAAAGATGAGACAACAACAATGACAACAGATGCTAGGTGACACAGGACCATGAGCTAGGGGATGTGAACACCTTCTAGAAGCTAGAGAAGGCAAAGAGCTGACTGCTTCCTAGAGCCTCCATAAGAAATCAGCCTGCTGGTGGAAAAGCAAATTAGTTCAGCCAGCAGTTTAGAGATTTCTTTAAGAACTTACATCAGAACTACCATTCGACCCAGCAAACCAATTACCAGGTATAGACCCAAAGGAAAATAAATCATTCTACCAAAAAGACACAAGCATTTGCATGTTCAGCACAGCAGTATTCACAATAGCAAAGACATGCAATCAACCTATGTGCCCATCAATGGTGAACTGCACAAAGAAAATGTGGTACATATACACCATGAAGTACTAGGCAGCCATATAAAAGTAACAAAATTATGTCCTTTACAGCAACATGGATGCAGTTGAAGACAATTATGCTAAGTGAACTAATTCAGAAACAGAAAAACAAATACCATGTTGATATGGTTTGGCTGTGTCTCCAACCAAATCACATGCTGAATTGTAGCTCTCATAATCCACACATATAATGGGAGAGACCTGGTGGGAGGTAAATTGATCATGGGGGTGGGTTTTTTCTTATGCTATTCTCATGACAGTGAATAAGGTTTACGAGATCTGATGGCTTTATAAAGGCCAGAACCCCTGCACACTCTCTTGCCTGCCACCATGTGAGACATGCCTTTGCTCCTTCTTTACCTTCCACCATAATTGTGAGGCCTCCCAGTAATGTAGAACTGCGAGTCCATGAAACCACTTTTTCTTTATAAATTACTCAGTCTCAGGTATTTCTTTATAGCAGTATGAAAATGAACAAATGCAAATTTTCTCATTTATAAGTGGGACCTAAACAACAGATACACATGGACATAAAGATTGGGACAATAGACACTGGGATTTTGAAAGGTAGGAGGAACAGGAGGCAAGTGTTGAAAAACTTCCTGTTGGGTACAATATTCACTAACTGAGCAAGGGGATCATTAGAAGGCCAAACCTCAGCATCATACAATATATCCTAGTTACAAACCTGCACATGTGTTCTCTAAATCCAAAATAAAATTGGAAAAGAAAAAGAAAAAGAAATCAGTCATGCCAACATCTTGATTTTAGGACTTCTGACCTCCAATTATATAAGGGAATAAGTTTATCTCACCTTTAGTCACTATGTATGTAATAATTTTTATAGCAGCAAAAGAAAACTAATATACCTTCCCACATCCAGAACATTTGTTAACTCTTCATTTTCTCTCATCTAATAGACTATCACCTTTTCTTATTTTTCCTTTCTGTAAGGATGGTAGGCTGAACCTAGCTTGTACTGGCTCATGAAAGTCAGCGGAGGTCATCTCCTCCCATCTCCATATTCAGTAACAATATTTTGCAGCCTAGAATCAGACATGATAGGAGTATCTTCACCATGGAAATTCAAAAATGCTATAAATTATCACCTCATGACACTCCTTCTTGAGACTTCAATTTTATTTAAAATTCACCAGTCATTCCCACTTTCTTGGATAATGGGTTTGGAAAAAGTCATGAAATTTTGTCTTGGAGTCCTTGACCTAGGTTCAGTGATTTTCATCAAAATGTAGATATATCTGGTTGAATATTGACTTAGTATAAAACCTAAAATGTACCTAATAATAACAGACATGTGTAAAGTATTTTAAATCATTGACATAAGCTAGAATTAGAGTAATCTTAGGGAGTGTTTATGGATAGAATATATGTGAAGAAAAGAATACAAAGCAGACCTTAAGAAATAAGGCAGACTTGGTTGTAGATTAATTGACAGTTTAAATGTGCAGAAAGATACCGAATACAGGGAATATAACTGTTATTAAGCAATTTGGAAAGAAGAATTAGTAGTAGATGATACCACATCTTTCCATTTCAGTGTAAGCCTTCTATATGCATTAAATATAGGCATGACACATACAAACAATATACTACCTTGTTAATATAATTCAAAATAACTGATTTTGCTTGCATGAAAAAGAAATGGCCCTACTTATACAAATCTATGCAATGATACTGACATTCGAGACTCCAGGAAAACTGGGTCATTAAAGGATACTTTTGAACCAAATCTGATTAGTGGTACATAAATTTTTTTGCCTTGAAGGCTTCCCTTGGGTGTGTTCTTGAATACCTCTTCTCTCTTTTTTGTAGTGATTGATATATCCTCTTTGGAACTTGGTATGTCATTACACTTTTCCATCTTTCCAATTTTACACATTGGCAGTGAGGATTTCTGCTGTTTGTGTCATCAGCAGCATCTCAATCTTTTTGTATTTCCAAGCAAGGCTATTTTTACTTTCAGTCTTATTTTTAATCACTCTTGCTTTGGTCAGAAACATAGGCAATAGAGGGCAAGTAAATACTCAGTGACTGCCTGTTTAGAGGAGTTGGGGGTAGAGCTTTGATGTGCAATGTTTGTTGACTCTTGTGTAAATACTCCAACTGGGACTGATTTCAAGTGATCACCATAATGTCATTGAGTGCAGAGTTAGGAGGAGATGCACCCAGTTGAATGTTTGGGAGCCAGTTCCCCTAAGATTTAGTGTTGAATGTAAAGCAACTCTGGGCACCATTGACCAAAGTCAAACCACATAGACAAAGCCTGTTCATAAAGCCAACTAAAACCACTCAACAACAACAAATAAAAAAATTACTCCATGAAAAAGTGGGCAAAAGGCATGAGTAGACACTTTTCAAAAGAAGACATACAAATGCCAGTGAGTCTATGAAAAATCCTCATCATCTCAAATTATCAGGGACCACAGTCATTACTACTGTGGTCCAAGTCAAAACAACAATGAGATATCATTTTTGCCAGTCAGAATGGCTATAATTAAAAAATCAGAAAACAGCAGATGTTGATGAGGATGTGGTGAAAAGGAAATGTTTATACACTGTTAGTAGGAATGCAAATTAGTAAAACCTCAGTGGAAAACTGTGGAGATTTCTCAGTGAACTAAAAACAGAACTACCATTGATTTATCAATGCCACTACTGGAGGCCTATCCAAAGGAAAAGAAATTATTATATAAAAAAATCATACCTGAACTTGTGTATTCATATACAGCACTATTCACAATAGCAAAGCTATAAAATTAACACAGTTTCCCATCAATGGTGTACTGGGTAAAGAAAATGTGGTCTAAATACACTGTGGAATATTACACAGCCATAAAAAAGAATAAAATCAGTCTTTTGCAGCAACATAGATACAATGGAGGCCATTATCTTAAGTAAACTAACTCAGAAAGGAAAATTAAATACTGTATATTGTCACTCACAATTGGGAGCTAAATAATGTACACATGGACAAAAAGAGTGGAATAATAGACTTTGTTGGCTTATGAAGGTATTAGGGGATGAGAAATTACTTAATTGACATAAAGTACTCGATTCAGTTGATGGCTACACTAAAAGCCCAGACTTCATTACTGTGCATTGTATCTATGTAAGAGAACTGCACATGTACCCTCTAAATATGTACTTTTAAAAAAGGAATAAAACAGTCTTAAAAAAAGAGAAATCTAGGAAGCTTCCATAATCCATATTGTAACTCCGGGAAAGTTATCATTGTGAGGTCCTCCATTGGGTGTCCCAGTACAAAATCTGTTAAAAGAAAAAATTACATAAAGTGAAGTTGACAAGAACAGAAGTATGCATGTGGGAAAGTTACTAGCTTTCAAATCTGGAGTACACATCCACCAGCATTGTCTCATGAAATGTATAGCTTCCTCATGCAAAGAAGTCATTGGTGCTTGCAATCATACAAATGAGAAGAATGAAAGTATTGTCGAAATACCGACAGCCTTATAGCTGTCTACTAAACATAGAGCTAAGCAGAAGCAAAGAAGAGATAATTCATGAGTTAGAGTAAATTCAACCAAACTTTCTTTGAACAGATCAGGGCATCCATGGAAATCAACAGGATTGAAAAAGTTGCAGCTCTTCTCTTTTAGGGAAAAATTTGGCCTCAGATAAACATTTATGTTTGTTGTCAAAGGGGGGGGAAATGTTATATTATATTAAAGAATAGAATTTTTTTTGTAATACCACACCACAGATAGAATAGTACTGTTCAGTGAAAGTTCATATCTCCCAAAACACAACCATTAAGGCAGAAAAGCCACTATCTCAGAGAGATGCTTCTATCTGGGAAAAAAAGAAAAAAAAAAAAAAAAAAAAAAAAACAGAAAAAGATGCAAAAGGCTAAAGACAGTATCCTGAGACAGCATGTTTTTATCCCAAGATTTTATTTTTGAAGGATGCGCTAACCTACCTCTTTTTCTCATCTATTTTTCAGAGAGAAACACTGGCATTAGGAGAACAGCCATGTAACAGATTCAAAGAAGCACCTGTCCTGTAGGATTTAATTTCTGGAAGATCAAAACCATCATCAACAATATGCTTGGTATTTCCATTGAAGGAATTTCCTCAGGGAATTAAAAATTAGAAGGAAATGAATAGAAAGTCAGAGGACATTCAATACCAGCAAAAGGACTTGGTCTTGCTCTCTGCTTTTGGGGCAAAGAAAACCTAGGGAGATGACATGATCCTAGATGGGTTTATCTGCATGGTGTGCCTACGTGATGAGGGCTGTGGATGGCCTCTCATTTTCTGACATCCGGCACAGATCGGAACTGGAAACCACAGTAGGACAAAGCAAATCTCATCTCCTTATGTCAACCAAAGTCAAAGTCCAGATTCACTGCCACTGAAGCTAAAGACCAGAAGGTACCACCACCTCTCTGCAGAAGCCATTGCAGTTTGCAAGCACTTCAGGGAAAACTGCTCTGTGGTTGGTTTGCAAAATGAACTGAGATGGTATTTTCTCCATTTCAGTTTAACCAGAAGATTAGAGTCTAAAAAGTATAGTTGTATTTCTTAGATGCCAGAGTTTAAAGGCTGATCTTCACACTAATGAGTTTCAGAGTTGGCCGTGAAGTAAGTGATCTAAGAAACCCTGGGTGGGCCAGGTGCGGTGGCTCACGCCTGTAATCCCAGCACTTTGGGAGGCCGAGGCGGACGGATCACGAGGTCAGGAGATCGAGACCATGTTGGCTAACGTAGTGGAACCCCGTCTCTACTAAAAATACAAAAAATTAGCTGTGCGTGGTGGCGGGCGCCTGTAGTCCCAGCTACTCGGGAGGCTGAGGCAGGAGAATGGCGTGAACCCGGGAGGTGGAGCTTGCAGTGAGCCGAGATTGTGCCACTGCACTCCAGCCTGGGCGACAGAGCGAGACTCCGTCTCAAAAAAAAAAAAAAAAAAAAAAAAAAAAAAAAAAAAAAAAAAAAAGAAAGAAACCCTGGTTGGAAGCTCATGCATAATAGAATTTTACACTAATTTGCATGCAGATTTTTATTAATGCAACCAAAAAGTCAAGTCTATAACCTCTATTCAATATTAAGGTGATCACATCCAAAGGAGGGAAACAGTATTAAAGGGAAACAGGTGGAACTGGAACTAAATTAACAAAGAAGGGGGCTGATGGAAAGTTACTTCACTTACCAGATAAGTCAGGGTCTGTAATATATACAAAAGTTCAACCTGAAGAAAAGCTTTGCTCCAAAGGAACTGTGTCTTAGGTAGTACCCCCATTATTCTCTACTTTGTACTTTTTTCTCTTTTCTTGGTTAGATAAATGATTTCCCATTTAAAAGCATCCAAAAACCCAATTTTGTCTGTGAGCCATGCAGGATTCCACACTAGGGCATCAGGGGTTGGCTAGTTTCCAGGCTGTAACCTGCTTTTGATCTTTCAACACATGGTCTTAGTGTTCTAAACTCTTCTACATGAACACCCAAATAAACAAGATTCGAGAGAGCATCATTCTTGTTGGTTTTAGTTTCTAGACCACATTCATTAAGGACAGTGTGTTTAGTGTTTCTGAGGTGGGTATTTCCTCAGGAGGCTAAAAGTGTGTGATGGAAACTCAGTAGAGGGGCAGAGGATATTCATGAAGATGCTGTCTATCAATTTCTATGCCTGTTCCTAGGGTTCTAGCCGTTTGTCGGTCTTGTGCCCCAAATGCCAAGAATAAATGGTTTAAAACACTGATTCTATCTTTCCTGCAACACAGTTAATGAGTAACAACTGATGACTGGGACTAATTTACAGAAAATACTAACTTGCAAACAGACACCTCAAATGCTTTAAACTAGGATTACTGAACTCTAGTACCAGTGATAATGGCTGTAGGTGATTCTTGGGAAGAGAAGGCACAGTCTTGTTGATCACAGAATGCTTATCAGCCTCTCTAGCTTCTATCCACTAGATTCCAGTAGAATTCACCACATTGCAAGGCTCCAACCACCAAAAATTATCTTTAAACTCTGCTAAATGTCATCTTGACAGCAAAATTGCTGCCATGGAGAGACATGGATTTATTTAATTTTGAAGCTACTGACAGTAGGCTGGGTTGAAATCAGGGTTATGCCGAATGAGAGAAAATATTGTCACAACAAAAGAAAACCAAGCAAAAACAAAAGTTACCAACATAGATATACCTAAGGTCAACTTTTCTGTGAATTTCTGCAAGGTATGTTGGCACTACATTTTGGGGACTAGTAGCCAAAGGAACTTCTTAAGAAATGCAGCCCTCAAATGAACCCTACCAATAACACATCTGATATGGTTTGGCTCTGTGCCCCAACCAAATCTCACCTTGAATTGTAATAATCACCAAATGTCAAGGGTGGGGCCAGGTGGAGATAATTGAATTATGGGACTGGTTCCCCCATACTGTCCTCCTGATAGTGAATGAGTTCTAATGAGATATGATGGTTTTAAAAGCATCCAGCATTTCCCCTGCTGGTACACTCTCTCTTGCCTGCTGTGATGTAAGACATGCCTTCTGACTTCTGCCATGATTGTGAGGCCTCCCCAGCCACGTGGAACTGAAATTCCATTAAACCTCTTTCTTTTGTAAACTGCCATGGCTTGAGTATGTCTTCATCAGCAGTGTGAAAATGGACTAATACAACATTAATGTGAATGGATGTTACAATGACCCCCACCCCATTGAATAGACCTTCTGTGAGGCTCAGGTATGTTTTCAGGTGAGTTAAAAATTCTGTAAGAAAAATATCATCTCACTGATTCCTTCATTTTGTTTAAAAGGTTAGTGCAAAATGTATTTATGTATCAAAGTTAGTTGCCTGGATAAATAAGTATCTATCTGAAGACATTAAAATAAACAAACAACAAAAACCTGGTTAGCATAGTTAACTTGGTAAGAGCCAGGGAAATCATACCTTTAAAAATATTATATTTTGGCCAGGCGCAGTGGCTCATGCCTGTAATCCCAGCACTTTGGGAGGTTAAGGGGGGCCGATCACTCAAGGTCAGGAGTTGAGACAGCCTGGGCAACATGACAAAACTCAGTCTCTACGAAAGATACAAAAATTAGCCAGGGGCGGTGGCATGCACCTGTAATCACAGCAACTGGGGAGGCTGAGGCACAAGCATACCTTGAACCCAGGAGGCAGAAGTTGCAGTGAGCTGAGATTATGCCATTGCACTCTAGCCTGAGCAATAGAGTCAGATGCTGTCTCAAATAAAAAAAGAAAAAAAAGAAAAGTTAATATTTGGAGTGGGGAACAATGAATTCGTTCTGAAAGTAGATTGTGGCCAGGCGCGGTGGCTCACGCCTATAACCCCAGAACTTTGGGAGGCAGAGGTGGGCAGATCACAAGGTCAGGAGATTGAGACCATCCTGGCTAACACGGTGAAACCCCATCTCTACTAAAAATACAAAAGAAGTTAGCCAGGCGTGGTGGTGGATGCCTGTAGTCCCAGCTACTCCGGAGGCTGAGGCAGGAGAATGGAGTGAACCCAGGAGGTGGAGCTTGCAGTGAGTGGAGATCGCGGCACTGCACTCCTACCTGGGCAACAGAACAACACTCCATCAAAAAGAAAGAAGGAAAGGAAAGAAAGAAAGAGAGAGAGAGAGAGGGAGGGAGGGAGGGAAAGAAAAAGAAAAGAAAGAAAGAGAGAAAGAAAGAAAGAGAGAGAGAGAAAAGAAAGAAAGAGAAAGAAAGAAAGAGAAAGAAGGAAAAAGAAAGAAAGAAAGAAAGAAAGAAAGAAAGAAAGAAAGAAAGAAGGAAAGAAAGAAGGAAAGAAAGAAAGAGAAAGGAAGAAAGAAAAAAGAAGATTGCATTCTGTCTGGGATACAGTATGTAGACAGTTTTTTTTTTTTTTTTTTAACTGTGGGGAAAAAAATGTGGTTTTTCTTGCTTCACATGATTCTAACATTCTTTGTATCCTGTACTGAAGATTGAGAATTAAGCATTTCACTTTTATGTTTCTCCCATGGGGTAATTTTAAATTAAGCTGGTCTCCGGCTATTATATTTATTTTACTCTTTTGAGTTTGCTTTTTTTCCAAAAATAAAGCCTGCAGTTCACTAATGTACTGTCAGATGATGTTGAATACACAGGAGACACAGCCATTATCTGTCTCAGTAAACACATTTTTCTCAAACCAAAAGCTAGAGATTATGCCAATAAGCTTTTATGGCAACTTGTTAGATCTTTCTTAGGATATGATAATGATTTTTCTCTCTAGCTTGCTTTCAAATTCTATGAAATGATGAGAATTAAAAATAAGAATTTTAGAACTAATATTTTGTAAAAATAGGATCATAAAACCAAGACCCAAATCAAATTTTAAAAATGTATATACCCAGAGTGTCTTAGGTCAAGTTTTCTAGAAGAGCCTGGAGAAGGATTCTTGTGCATTAGTTTTTAGTAATAATAATAATTTTTATTATTAGTGAAGCCTTTGTATGTGCTAGAAATAATGCCAAACACCTTACCTAAATTATTTTATTTAATTTTCAAAGGAATCCTATGAAACAGATTTTATCATAACAATAATATTTATTTTTTAGATATATGGGGTACATCTGCTTGTTTTTTATATGAGTATGTTGCATGCTGGTGGGGATTCAGCTTATAGAATACTCATTATGCAAATAGTGAACATTATACTCAATAGGTAATTTTTCAACCCTCATGCCCCTCACTTTTCCATTTTGGAGTCTCCAGTGTTTGTTATCTCCTTTCTGATGTCCATGTCTGCCCATTGTTTAGCTCCTTCTTATAAGGGAGAACATATAGTATTTGAGTTTCTGTTTCTGAGTTACTAGACTTAGGACACTGGCTTCCAACTTCATCCATGTTGCAGTTAAAGACTTGATTTCATTTTTTTTATGGCTGTGTAATTTTCTATTGTGTATATGCATCACATTTTGTTTATCCAGTAAACCACCAATGGACATGATTTTCTGAAGAAGACCTCTCAGGAGAAGGGCAGGACAGCAGGCTGGGGTTCAGGGGCTGGAGAGCTAGAGTGGATATGGTCCCACCTGGAGATGTATTTCAACTTGCACTTCAAACTTAGTCCTATCTTGAGGCAAGATAACTCATCTGTGCTCTCTAGGGGATGCAAAATTGCCACATCAATATGATGTCCACTAAGGATTTTAATGATAAGGAAAAGTGGTTATGACTTTTATATTTTTTTTTGAGATGGAGTTTCACTCTTGTTGCCCAGTCTGGAGTGCAATGACTCGATCTCGGCTCACCCCAACCTCCGCCTCCCAGGTTCAAGTGATTCTTCTGCCTCAGCCTTCCTAATAGCTGGAATTACAGGTATGTGCCACCACACCCGGCTAATTTTCTATTATTTTTTTTTTTAGTAGAGACAGGGTTTCTTCATGTTGGTCAGGCTCGTTTCAAACTCCTGACCTCAGGTGATCCACCCACCTCAGCCTCCCAAAGTGCTGGGATTACAGGCACGAGCCACTGCACCTGGCCAACATGTGTTAAGTGAATCAGAGACTACACAGGAATCTACCACTAACACAATCTTAACCATGCACCAAAGTCTACTGAACCAAGACTAAAGACAGTTATACCAAAGTATTATTAATGGTTATCTCTGGAAGTTTCAAGATATCAGAAGATGAAAGGTAGTCATTTTCTTTAATTTTTTAAAATAAATTGGTTTTCACAGTGGACATAGTGTAGTGAACAAGAACACATACCTAGTATGTGTGCAAAACCTTATTCAGCAACCCAAGTAAGGTATGACTGAGCAATTTACATCCTTTAAAAGGGTTTTGATAAATTATTGTCCATGATTCTCCAACTGACCATATGTTTTGTAAATAAAGTTTTATTGGAACACCGTACCTATGGCTGCTTTTGTAAAATAGCAGAGTGGAATAGTCTCCACTTTAAAAGATTTAAAAGAGAGCATGTGAGTGAAGAAATCACTCAACTTTTACAATGCTATTGTCACTTCCATGACTCATTTTATTTTCCATCAGAAGCACAACTCTAGTCCTTGCAGGCTCTTATTACAAAGGAAGAAAATGAGACTCAGTAATTAAAGTGAACTGCCTAAGTCCCCATAACTATCTCAAAGCATGTGGAACCAGACATGTGTGTGATTCTCAACACACAATCAATTCATTGCTTCCAAGAAATCAGAAATTATCTATTTTCAGGTTTATTCCAGGTTTCCAGACTGCAACGAGGCAGTAGAAAATGTTGCATATAGGCCAGGTGTGGTGGCTCATGTCTGTAATCCCAGCACTTGGGGAGCCGAGGCGGGTGAATCACTAGGTCAGGATATGGTGACCACTCTGACTAACATGGTGAAACCCTATCTTTAACAAATACACAAAAAATTAGCCAGGCATGGTGTCACACACCTATAGTCCCAGCTACTTGGGAGGCCGAGGCAGGAGAATAGCTTGAACCGAGGTGCCGGAGGTTGCAGTGAGCCAAGATTGCATCAGTGCACTCCAGCCTGGGTGACAGAGTGAGACTCTGTCAAAAAAAAAAAAAAAAAAAAAAAAAGAAAAGAAAAGAAAACAAGAGAAAATAAGGAAGGAAGGAAGGAAGAAAAAGTTGCATGTAAAGTTTCATTAGGTTTTAGTAGTATAATATCTTTCATACAGGAATTGTTTGCTCAAGTACTTTTGATCATTTGTGGACAATGCGGTTAAGATAAATCCTGCCAGGGTACTATGCAAATTTAATGTTTGAATGCATTTCTTTTGAGTATTGGAAGCTCATATAACTTTTTGTGTAGCATATTTGGCAGGGATTCTTTTACTAGAAGTAAGATCGTAAAGCTTATCAGAATTTATTATTTGCACTCCTCAAGATGAGAAATGTTGTGCTTTTGGATTCTATTACATAATTCTGTGCTATGGAGAAAAGGCAATCTGTAACAGACATTTTATTCCACATTTTTTTTTACTATACTTGCTGTAGTCCTATAGATGTAGGCTAGAGAAAAAATAGTAAAGTAGTGGAATACAATATACTTTCTATGTCTTTTTTTGGGAGGAATCCTTAAGAATTAGATGCAAGTAGTTTTGTAAGTATGTGAAATGCAACCTCTCAGTTCTATTTCTGTTTTCTTTCCAACAGTTATTATATTTTCAAATACCTGAGCATGAATGATGGAACTCAGGAATGATAAACATGGTGGCTTAGGCTGCATCAAAAGAAGGACAGAACAGAGTCATCACCCATTCTGAAATGGATGGTGGGTGATATCTAGAAATAGGCTGCCTGGGGCCAGGTGCAGTGACTCACACCTGTAATTCTAGCATTTGGGGAGGTCAAGGCAGGAAGACTCCTTGAGCCCAACAGGCTAGCTGCCCAGGCTATTCTTAAACTCCAGGGCTCAAGCAATCTTTTTTAACAAGACCTCATGTCTACAAAAAATAATAATAATTAAATAAAATAGCCAGACATGGTGGCCTACACCTCTATTCCTTGCTACTCAGGAAGTTGAGGAAAGCGGATCCCTTGAGCCGTGGAGTCTGAGGCTACAGTGAGCTATCATTACACCATTGCACTCCAGCTTGGGTGACAGAGTGACACCTTGTCTTTAAAAAATGTTTTAAAATTAAGAAATAGAAATAAGCTATCTGTTTGCAAATTCTTAATGAGTTATTACGTATGTAAAGTGCCCTGCTAAGAAACGTGTAAATAGTATTTTCTGGGCAAGATGGCAGAATAGGAACAGCTCTTGTCTGTGTCTTCCAGCAAGACCAATGCAGAAGGTGGGTGATTTCTGTATTTCCAACTGAAGTACCCTGTTCATCTCATTGGGACTGGTTAGGCAATGGATGTAGCTCATGGAAAGTAAGCAGAAGCAGGCTGAGGCATCACCTCACCCAGAAAGTGCAAGCAGTGTGGGGCCTCCCTTTCCCAGCCAAGAGAAGCCTTGAGGGACTGTGCTATCTGGCTGAGATACTACACTTTTCCCAAGGTTTTGGAATAGTCAGACCAGGAGATTCCCTCATGTGCCTATATCAACAGGGACCTGGATTTCAAGCACAAAACTGGCTGGCTGTTTGGGCACACACCAAGCTAGCTAAAGGAGTTTTTTTTTGTTCATACCCCAGTGGCACCGGCAACTCCAGTGAGACAGAACCATTCACTTGAAAGGGGGCTGAAGCCAGGGAGCCAAGTGGTCTCACTCAGTGGGTCCTACTCCCATGGAGCCCAGCAAGCTAAGAACCACTGGCTAGAAATTCTTGCCGCCAGCATTGCAGTCTGAATATGACCTGGGATGATAGAGCTTGATGGGGAGAGGGGCATCCACAATTACTGAGGCTTGAGTTAGCAGTTTTCCTGTCACAGACAGCTAAGGACTGGGCAGAATTCAACACAGCACAGCGAAGTGTCTGTGGCCAGACTGCCTTTCTGTATTCCTCCTCACTGGTCAGGACATCCCTGAAAGAAAGGCAGCATCTCCAGTTAGGGGCTTATAGATAAAACTCCCATCTCCCTTGGACAGAGTTCCTGGAGGAAAGGGCAACTGTGGGTGCAGCTTCAGCAGACTTAAACATCCCTGCCTGTCTGCTCTGAAGAGAGCAGCATATTATCACAGGGAGGGTTCTCCCAGCACAGTGCTTAGGCTCTGCTAAGGGACAGACTGCCCTTAGCAGTCTTCAAGTGGGTCCCTGACTTTAATGTCTCTTGACTGGGTGAGATGTACCAACAGGGGTTGACAGACACCTCATATAGGAGAGCTCCGACTGGCATCAGGCTGGTGTCCCTCTTGGATGAAGATTCCAGAGGAAGGAGCAGGCAGCAATTTTTGCTATTCTGTAGCCACTGCTGGTGATACTCTGGCAAACAGGGTCTGGAGTGGACCTCCAGCAAACTGCAGCAGACCAGCCGAAGAGAAACCTGACTATTAGAAGAAAAACTAACAAACAGAAAACAATAACGTCAACTTCAACAAAAAGTACCCCCAAACAGAAGCCCCAGCCAAAGGTTTTCAGCCTCAAACATCAAAGGTAGATAAATCCATTAAAATGAGAATTAACCATAGGAAAAATGCTGAAAATTCCAAGAAAACAGGACGACTATTCTCCTTCAAATGATTGCAACTCCTCTCCAACAAGGGAACAAAACTGAATAGAGAATGAATTTGACAAACTGACAGAAGTAGGCTTCAGAAGGTGGGTAATAACAAACTCATCTGAGCTAAAGGAGCATGTTCTAACCCAATGTAAGGGAGCTAAGAACCTTAATAAAAAGTTACAGGAATTGATAACTAGAATGACCATTTTAAAAAAGAACATAAATGACCTGATGGAACTGAAAAACACAGCACGAGAACTTCGTGAAGCATACACAAGATTCAATAGCCAAACTGATCAAGCAGAAGATAGGATATAACAGATTGAAGATCAACTTAATGAAATAAAGCATGAAGACAATATTAGAGAAAAAAGAATGAAAAGGAATGAACAAAGTCTCCAAGAAATATGGGCTTATGTGAAAAAACCAAACCTACAATTGATGAGGGTTCCTGAAAGTGACAAGGAGAATGGAACCAAATTAGAAAACACTTCAGAATAGTATCCAGGAGAACTTCACCAACCTAGCAAGATATAACAACATTTAAATTCAGGAAATACAGAGAATATAAGAAAGGTAGTCTTCGAGAAGAGCAACCACAAGACAAATATTTGTCAGATTCTTCAAGTTTGAAACAGAGGGTAAAATGTAAAAGGGAGCCAGAAAGAAAGATCAGGTTACCTGCAAAGGGAATCACATCAGACTAACAGTAGTTCTTTCTGCAGAAACCCCACAAGCCAAAAAAAGTGGGGCCAATATTCAGCATGCTTAAAGAAAAGAATTTTCAACCCAGAATGTCATAACCAGACAAACTAAGTTTCATAAGTAAAGGAGAAATAAAATCCTTTACAGACAAGGAAATGCTGAGGGATTTTCTCACCACCAGGCCTACCAGAAAAGAGCTCCTGAAGGAACCATTAAATATGGAAAGGAAAAAGCAGTACTAGCCACTGCAAAAACACACCAAAATGTAAAGATCAATGACAACTGTGAGGAAACTGCATCAAATGATGTGCAAAATAACTAGCTAGCATCATGATAATGTGATCAAATTCACACACAACAATATTATCCTTAAATGTAAATGGGCTATGTGCCCCAAATAAATAACACAGACTGGAAAATTGAATAGAGTCAAGACCCATCAATGTGCTATATTTAGAAGAACCATCTCATGTGCGAAGACATACATAGGCTCAAAATAAATGAATGGAGGAATATTTACCAAGCCTCCCCCAAAAAACAGGGCTTGCACTTCTGGTCTCTGATAAAACAGACATTAAACTAACAAAGATCACAAAAGGAAAAGAAAGGAATTATAAAATGATAAAGGAATCAATGCAACAAAAATAGCTAACTATCCTAAATATATATGCACCCCATACAGGACCCTCAGATTCATGTAACAACTTCTTGGTGACCTACAAAGAGGCTTAGACTCCCATGCCATAATAGTGGAAGACTTTAATATTCAGGACTTGAACTCAGCTCTAGACCAAGTGAAGCTAATAGATATCTACAGCACTCTCCACCCCAAATCAAGAGAATATACATTCTTCTCAGCGTCACATCGCACTTATTCTAAAATCAACCACATAACTGGAAATAAAACACTCCTCAGCAAACACAAAAGAATGGAAATCATAATAAACAGTCTCTCAGTCCACAGTGCCATCAAATTAGAACTAAGGATTAAGAGACTCACTCAAAACTACGCAACTACATGGAAACTGAAGAACCTGCTCCTGAATGACTACTGGGTAAACAAGCAAATAAAGGCATAAATAATGGCATTCTTCAAAATGTACCATAATCTCTGGGACATAGCTAAAGCAGTGTGTACAGGGAAGACAATGTACCATAATCTCTAGGACATAGCTAAAGCAGTGTGTACGGGGAAATTTATAGCACTAAATGCCCATATTAGAAGGCAGTAAATATGTAAAATTGATATCATAACATCACAATTAATAGAACTAAAGAAGCAAGGGCAAGCAAATTCAGAAGCTAGCAGAAGACAAAAAAATAACTAAGATTAGAGCAGAATGGAAGAAGAGACAAGAAAAACTCTTGAAAAAATTAATAAATCTAGAAGCAGTTGTTTTTAAAGATTAACATAGTAGATAGACCACTAGCCAGACTAAAAAAGAAGAAGAGAGAAGAATCAAATAGACAAAATAAAAAACGGTAAATGATAAAGGGAATATCACCACTATTCCTAGAGAAATACAAACTACCATCAGAGAATATTATAAAAACCTCTTAGCTAAGAAACTAGAAAACCCATAAGAAATGAATAAATTACTGGACATATACTCCCTCTCAAGACTAAATCAGGAAGAAGTTGAATCCCTGAATAGAGCAATAACAAGTTCTGAAATTAAAGCTGTAATTAATAGCCAATCAACCAAAAAAAGCCCAGGATGAGTTGAACTCACATCCAAATTCAACCAGAGGTAGAATTCCTTTTGAAACTGCCATTTCAGAAGGAAGACACCATTCCTTATGAAACTATTCCAAATGATAGAAAAAGGGGCAATCCTCCCTAACTCATTTTATGAGGCCAGCATAATCCTGATTCCAAAACCTGGGAGACACACAAGAAACAAAATTTCAGGCCAGTATCCCTGATAAACATCAATGTAAAAATCCTCAATGAAATACTGGAAAACCAAATTCAGCAGCACATCAAAAAGTTTATTCAGCACGATCAAGTCAGCTTCATACCTGGGATGCAAGGCTGGTTCAACACATGAAAATCAATAAATGTAATCCATCACATAAACAGAACCAAGGACAAAAACCACATGATAACATTAATAGACACAGAAAAGGCCTTCGATATAATTCAACACCACCTCATTCTAAAAACTCTCAGTAAACTAGGTATTGATGGAACATGTCTCAAAATAACAAGAGCTATTTATGACAAACCCATAACCAATATCATACTGAATGGGGAAAAGCTGGAAGCATTGCCTTCGAAAATAGGCACAAGACGAAGATGCCCTCTCTCACCACTCCTATTCAACACAGTATGAAGTTCTGGCTGGGACAATCGGGCAAGAGAAAGAAATAAAGAGTATTCAAATAGGAAGAGAGGAAGTCAAATTGTCTCTCTTTGCAGATGACATGATTGTATCTTCAGATAACGTGATTGTATATTTAAAAAACCTCATCATCTCAGCCCCAAAACTCCTTAAGCTGATAAGAAACTTCAGCAAACTCTCAGGATACAGAAAAACATTCTTATACACCAACAGTAGACAAAGAGAGAGCCAAATTATACGTGAACTCCCATTCACAACTGCTACAAAAAAAAAAAAAGGCCTAGGAAGACAACTTACAAGGGAGATCAACTACCTCTTCAAGGAGAACTACAAACCACTTGTCAGGGAAAGAAGAGAGGATACAAACAAATGGAAAAATATTCCAAGCTTATGGATAGGAAGAATCAATGTCATGAAAATGGCCATACTTTCCAAAGTAATGTATAGATTCAATGCTATTCCCATCAAGCTACCAGTGAATTTCCTCACAGAACTGGAAAAAAAAATACTTTAAATTTCATATGGAAAAAAACAAAGCCTATATAGCCAAGACAATCCTCAGCAAAAAGAACAAAGCTGGAAGTATCGTGCTACCAGACTTCAAACTATACTACAAGGCAATAGTAACCAAAACAGCATGATACTGTTATGAAAACAGATACATATATGTAACAATAGAACACAGCAGAGGCCTCAGAAATAACACCACACATCTACAACCATCTGATCTTCAACAAACTGACAAAAACAAGTAATAAGGAAAAGATTCCCTATTTAATAAATGGTGCTGGGTAACTGGCTAGCCATACACAGAAATCAGAAACTGGACCCTTGCTTTACACCATATATAAAAATTCATTCAAGATGGATTAAAGACTTAAATGTAAAACCTAAAAAACATAAAAACCCTAGAAGAAAACCTAGACAATACCATTCAGGACATAGGCATGGGCAAATGCTTCATGACTAAAATATCAGAAGCAATTGGAACAAAAGCCAAAATGGACAAATATCATCTAAATAAACTAAAGAGCTTCTGCTCAGCAACATAAACTACAAATGTGATCTAATTAAACTAAAGAGCTCCTGCTGAGCAAATTAAACTATCATCAGAGTGAACAGGCAACCTACAGAATGGAAGACAATTTTTGCAATCTATCCATCTGACAAAGGGCTAAGGTCCATAATCTACAAGAACTTAAACAAATTTACAGGAAACAAGCAAACCGTCCCATCAAAAAGTGGGTGAAGGATATGAACAGACACTCCTCAAAAGAAGACATTTATGTGGCCATCAAATTTATGAAAAAAAGCTCATCATCACTGGTCATTATAGAAATGCAAATCAAAACCACAATGAGGTATCATCTCACACCAGTTATAATGGTGATCATTGAAAAGTCTGGAAACAACAGATGCTGGCAAGGATGCGGAGAAATAGAAACACTTTTACACTGTTGGTGTGGGTGTAAATTAGTTCAACCATTGTGGAAGATGGTGTGGTGATTCCTCAAGGATCTCAAACTAGAAATACCATTTGACCTAGCAATCCCATTACTGAGCATATATCGAAAGGACTACAAATCATTCTGCTATAAAGACACATGCACACTTATGTTTATACAGCACTGTTTACAATATCAGAGACATGGAATCATGCTCATCAGTGATAGGGTGGATAAAGAAAATGTGGCATATATACATCATGGAATAGTATGCAACATAAAAAAGAATGAGTTCATGCCCTTTTCAGGGACACGGATGAAGATGAAAACCATCATTCTCAGCAAACTAACACAGCAGAAAACCAAACTCTGCTTATTCTCACTCATAAGCAGGAGCCAAAGAATGAGAACACATGGACAAAGGGAGGGAAACATCACATACTGAGGCTGGTCAGGGGCTTGTGGGGAAGGGAAAGGAGAGCATTAGGAGAAATGCCTAATGCATGCAGGACTTAAAACCTAGTGTTGAAAGGTGCCGCAAACCACCAAGGTACATGTATACCTATGTAATAAACCTGTACTTTCAGCACATGTATCCCAGTATATAAAGTAAAATTAAAAAAAAAAAAAGGAAAGAAAAGCAAACAACTGCTACTGGCTTAGTCCCAACAGGCTAAAAAGAAAACAAGCAAAATGTGTAAATAAGACACAGTCTCTGTATTAACTGTCCTGAACATCTTTGTAGAAGATATAAATGTTTTCAGCAAACACTTATAGTACAGGAAAAAGGCAATATACCTAATGCATTCAACAACATATGATCCATTATTTCCTATTTTCCAGGTGTTTTGCTAAAAGCAGACTTCACTCTCTGCTGCTTCATATTACAACATAATTGAAGGATTTTTTTTCCTTGGCAATGGGAAGGTCAATGGTTGGGATCAATCAACCATTTGCCAGTATCATATTGAATTCTACTTTATCCTCCAGTTGTTGATGTTAGAGGTGAAAAAAATATTGAGGACCACACACCATACCGATGAGCTAGGTGAATGTGCTACCACAGACCACTGTCCACACGTTCACAATATCTTGGAATTTTCCAATCCTTGCCTCCACCTTTCGCTGGGTGAGTGATGGGCATAGGTAGCTAGGCTAATGATGGTAAAGATGTGTACCTGCCACAATCACAGGCAGCAAAATGCCTGCCATGCAATGAGCCTGTCTTTGGGATGATACCCATGGTTGAGAAGCTTCTTCTTCACATTGGCCATTTTACCCATATAAATAGTTTTGCTTGGGGGTACCTGAATTCTACCGTGCCACTGTCATTTAGGGCTAACAGTGAGGCAGCATATTTCCCTGACACCTTCATGAGCAAGAACTGGAGTGCATGGGCGCTGGCATGGGTGATTTCCACTCACTCACTTCTCCACCCCTCATGGGAGTGGGAGTACCAGGTGAGGGAGTGCAGGAGCAAGATGGGCAATTTTGCTTGCCAGCAAGAGCAAACTCCATACTGGCCTCACAGCAGCCTCTAGGGAAGGGTGCCTGTGACTCCTAAAGCCCCAGCGGAAGTGGTACAGTGCCTTTTTAGCTTTGCCATCTGCAGATGGTTTAAGCATTAACAGCTCAGTGGAGGGTCAGTATGACAGTTTTTTGTACCAACACTTGTGGCACCCAAGTTCTTGTCCAGCATCCAAGAGGAATGAGATTGCACTAACAAATTGAAGGTGGTAAATGTGAGGGATTTTTTTATTGCTGTTGAAAGTGGCTCTAAGTGTGAAGAGGAGCTGAAAAATGGATGGGGTGTGAAGGTAAGTCAGTCCAGCTGTTTCTGGCCAGACTCCTTTCGGATACTACACTGTCAAGCGTCCCTCTGCAATCAAGCCACTTTTCTCCAATGTCCAACCATAGTCTCTGACATCCAGCTGCTTCTCCTGTCTGCCGGCTGAGCCTGGGGTTCCTACAGGCACAGAATGGGGAGGTGGGATGGGCCCTGAGTGCTTTCGGAAAAGGCAACATATGAGCAGGAAAACAGAGATGTAAGTTCTCACTTCAGGTATGGTTCCAGGTTTTTTGGTTTGAGGGTGGGGTCTTCACCAGGGACCTTTCCTTTTCTGCCCAGAATTTCCCTGCCTCCTGTTTCTATCAAGATATGGGAAAGAACTATACTACTTGGATTGTGGTTCTCCAGTAAGTTCTGCACCAGGGATTGGAGTTGATAGCTGAAAATGTTCAAGATGAGAGAAAGGCTGTCTAGCCTGGGTTGAGCTAAATCATGCAAATTTAGTAAAGCCTTAATCCCCCAGGCTTCAGGCTTCATTCTTAAGGCTCTGAACCTGATTTGGAAGAAAGGCTCTTCCCTCACCCTGAGGTCATCATTCCCAGAAAGCCTAGGACATTGTGACTGACTGAACCTAACACTCTAATAATTAGTGACTACCAGTTTGGTCATTCTTGTAGTCTCATTACCCTAAGTTGAAACAAAAGTATCTCAACAATGAAAAGAAGAGGACCTTATTTTCAGGAACTTAATGGTAAAATAGGAAGGGCCATGAGGACACCACAACATGTACTTCATGGAAGCTTGGAGAAAAGCAGTCTGTATTCTGACTAGTAAAGTCAATTGGGATGAGAAGACTTTTGATCAGGTCTCCAAGACGAGGCACAAGTTCAGTAACTAGATTGCGGGAAACAAGGTTTCCAGGAGAAGGTCATATTGAAGGTCAAAGATACAGGGCATTTTATAGCTTATTCTCCAAAGCTTAAGGTGTATTGTTCATCTGAAACTTAGAATAAATGATAGAAAGTAATGGAATCAAAGCCTAGTAGGATAATCAGATTATAGCTCTGCTAACGAGTGCAGAGAAAGCATCGCTGGTTAATGGCTGCTATGTATTTATTTTTTTTGGAATCCTTAAGAATGAAATGCAGTTCTGTAAGAACATGAAAGGCAGTCTCTCGATGTTGTTTCTATGTATTCTTTCAAACAGCTATAGGAAAAACCAAAACATAAAAATGGTGAAATGTGACATAGTTTTTGAAAAGGCCTGTAGACTGGGCACAGTGGCTGATGCCTGCAATTTCAGCATTTTGGGAGACTGAAGTTGGTGGATTGCTTGAGCCCAGGAATTTGAGACCAGACTGGGTAACATAGTGTGACCCTGTATCTACAAAAACAAAAAACAAAAAACAAACCTGAGTATGGTGGTACATGACTGTAGTCACAGATACCCAAGAGGCTGAGGTAGTAGTATCACCAGAGACTGGGAGGTGGAAGCTGCATTGAGCTGTGATTATGCCACTGAACTCCAGTCTTGGTAACATAGTGAGACTCTGTCTCAAAAAAAAAAAAAATGGCCTGTAACTAAAATTCACATAAAATTATTGAGGTTTTCGGAGCTTACCTATAACTAGATTTAGTAAGGAAAAAGAATATCAATATTGGTTTGACAATTTTTGGTGGCATGGACTCTGATAATGTACTTAATGGATAGTTTACTCTTCCTTCAAGAAAATGCCCCACATACAGAGAGGAGACACATCACAGGGACTCTAATTACATTAAGGACCCAGGTTAAAAATCTAATTTTATTTTTTAGGATGAGGAAAGTAATTTTGCGGGGATAGTTCCTTCTGGAATGTGCCCCATTTGCCATAGACAAAAAAAAAGAAAGAGTTGAAGCAAAAAAAATGTGTCTTTCTTGGTGGTGGATCTCAGCAGGTGGTGGGTCTGGCTACCCAGAAATGATTGTATTCTATGCAGAGTAAGGTCAGCATATGCCAGTGTCCTCTGTGGAACTCATATGTGAAATCCTGTGCTGTAAGTTTTCATGTGTGTCATCTCCTTTCAATCCCAGTACACTATCTAATATAGTTTCCACCATACTCCCTCTAAGAATGAAGATACCACACTTGAGTACTTCCCTGAAGATCAAAGATCTAGCTGATGGTGGAGATAGGATTCAAACTTTACTATCTACAAGCAGTGTTTTTTTTAACTGGACTGCTTTAACTCATATCCTCTTCTGATACTTTAAGAAAGCAGTGATAATATTGTACACATAAGCCCAATTAAAGAAGCCCCAATATTAGTGTTGCTCAGAGAAATGAATGGGGTCAACTCAAATTGTGATGGCTCCAAGTACCAATTTTTCCTTATAAATAAAGAAAATATGTCTTGTTTAACTAGACTGGGAGACTTTTTCAATGTAGCCATGAAATACAAAGCAAAAGGTCAAATTTATAGGTAATTCAATAAAAGAAATTTTCTGAGCTAGTATCAGTTGCCTAATATAGAATATAAGAGAAAGATGTACATCACATAATTACCTAACAAAACAAGTGTCTTCCTATGCTTGCATTAGGAATTGTGCACTGAAATATTACATAGAAATATTTATCAGTTTCTGATGGCTGTGTGAGATGAATCTCCAATGGGGTTTCTCAGTCCATCAAACTCTTGGTTTCTCAGTTTAGCTGTGATTCCTTCTTCATCCAATAAGTGCAGCATACATTTGCAGAATGCTGGTTGTTTCAACCAGCTCACACTTTAGAAAATAATACTGCTGGTAAGACAGTGAGTCATATTATCCCCTTAAGTTTGGACCATAGTGAGAATTTCAACCAAAATTAATTCAAGAAATAATGATTGCACAGCTACAATGTGCTGAGCTGTGTTCTAGATACTGGGGAATACACAAAGATGGCCAATTACAGATTAAATCCTTAAGATGGTTGTAAAGGAGAGAAACCAGGATTAATAAATGCACCCAAATGACTATCATAAAAGCAAACTGATATATCAGTTAGGAGCCAACCAGGAACAGAGGGAATTGTACCAAGAGGGAATTGAATAGAGTGGATTGTACCACAGAGAGAACTGAATAGAGGGGACTTGTAACACATGTGCTGTCAATATGGACAGAGTGAGGGAACTCAGAAGCTAGTAAGAGTGGAAAGCTGACACCAACCCTATACTGGATCATGAAAATGAGAAGCTGATGTTAATAAGCTCACTGAAGGCTGCAATGGTGAAGAGGGCAGGATTTTGAGCCATGCATAGAGAAGGTACATTATAAGAGGGGTGAGAAATATTCTGGATTTCCCCTTTTACCCCTCAGCGAATTTCCTGCTGGTGCATTCTAGCAGGAAGCCTGGTGACATGAATCTTGGAAAATAGTATCTGCATAGCTTAGGATCCCTATGATGCAAAACAGAGTTGGAGAATGGGGAGGACGGTAATTGGGGTGAGGCACTCCAAGGCATGCAAAGACACGAAGTGATAAACTAATCCAACATTATGGAGATTCAAAGAATCTAGGAGTTTGGGCAAAATGAGAAAAAGGATTCCAGGATCCTAGATTGTGGAGGGCTTTGTGTACTTGAGGAAGTCAATTTAGAAATATTTAATATATTTTAAGGAAATTAAAGGCATCTAGAAATATGCTGCATTTTTATCCTTTACTCCCTGCTCAGTAAATAGGACAGCAAACATCTTGTGCATGTATCCTTGGGATAATTTTCAATCAGAGATATATTTACCATCTGAAGTGTTTATCCACTGCTTGCTTTCCCTGCTTTTGTCTTTAGGCTTAGGCTGTTGTCACATGTTTTTCATCCTGATACAGAGAAACAATGAAAACAAAGATAAAGTAGACAAATGAGCTTCCCAATTGGTTTTACTGACTTTTATTTGAGCCTTCTCTCTGAAGATCTCCAGTTATTTAGGCACTAGGCTGAATCTGCATCATGGCATTTTGGTCTCTATAATTTTTCCACCTGGGAGAGATCTATTTCAAGTAACAATCACAATAATCTGGCTTGGTTTTGTGTTTAATTTTTCCTATCTGGACAACCCAGAAGGTTTTGGATGATTTCCATCAAGTGGAAAACTTCTCAAGAAGAAAAGCATGTCTGAACTCTGGATCAGGGTTGGCAAACTTTCTCTGCAAAGGGCTGGGTAGCAAATATTTTTGGTTTTCTGGGAGAGACAATGTCTGCCACAACTACTGCACTATGCTGTTGTAGTATGAACGTGCCATAAATGATGCATAAACAATTGGACCTGGCTGTGTCCCAATAAAACTTTATTTACAAAAAAGCAGGTGGAGGGCCACAGTTTGACCACAACTGCTCTAGATTCTAGATGTTATTCATGAAATGCACATATACGGTATATCTATCTGCAAATATCCATGGTCAAACTTCTTTCTAATAAAAAGGTTTTGTGTTCTTTTGTTGTTGTTATTGTTGTTGTTGGCTGTGGATAAAATCAATAGTGTGAAAAAAAGATATTTTCCCTGGCAACCCTTTAAAGTTAAAATTCAAATGGGCCATCCTTTAGTTGACTTTGCTTGATTATAATGTTAATACTTATTCATTTACTTATTTATTTATTAAGATGGAGTCTCACTCTGTCACCCAGGCTGGAGTGCAGTGTTGGAATCGCAGCTCACTGCAACTTCCATCTCCCTGGTTCAAGTGATTCTCCTGCCTCAGCTCCCCAAGTAGCTGGGATTTACAGGCATCGGTTAACTTTTTGTATTTAGAGTAGAGAGAGTTTTGCCATTTTGGCTAGTCTTATCTAGAACTCCTGACCCTGAGGTGATCTGTCTGTCTCAGTCTTATAAAGTGCTGGGATTCCAGGCATGACCCGCTATGACTGGCCTTTTTATTCTTTATTTTAAAGAAATACAATTTATTATGACACTAGTATGTAATAATAATGGATATTACTATGCCCACATTACAAATTGAAAAGCTAAGGCTCAGAGGAAATAAGTGATTCACTTTAAGTTAAAGACCCACTGTTATTAAGGGAAGGAATTTAAAGAGACTGAGATCCATGGACCAAATGTTTCAAAATCTACTACAAAAATACTATTAAGTGTTGGGCACAGTGGCACTTGCCTGGAATGACAGAAGTTGGGAGGCATAGGCACCAGGATCACTTGAGTCCAGTAGTTTGAGACCAGCCTGGGCAACATAATGAGAACTGGTCTCTACAAAAAGAAATCATAAATTAGCTGTGTATGATGGTAAGTACCTGCAGTTCCAGCTACTCGAGAGGCTGAGGCAGGAGGATCGCTTGAGCCCAGAAAGTTGAGGCTGTGTTGAGCTACAATATGATCATGCCAGTGCACTCCAGCTTGGGGAACAGAGCAAGACCCTGTGTAAAAGTAAATAAATAAATAAACAAATAAATAAATAAATAAATAAATAAATAAGTCTACATTTTTTGTGAAGCATATTATGCATTTGATGCATTTGGTAAGAAAAGCAACTTATTTATTTACTTATTATTAGTCTTTTGAAATGCAGTCTCAGTCTGAGGTACTGAGCCCAGAAAAGAAAAGCAATGTAAAATGCCCTTATTGAATTTAAAAGAATAATGAAAGAGTATAGTGAAGCAGATGTCGTTCTATTTACAAGAGTGATAGATAATGAGACTCTCTCCTTTCCATTTGTCCTTTCCTCTCAGTCAGGTTTGCTATCATGGAGGCTGCCCTTAACATAAACAGCAGGGCCCCAAATGCCAAGAAGGATACCTAGGAAAGTGATCATTCATGCAGTGTCCACTTTGGAAGAAATTTAGTAGACACTTGAACTCCGGCAGTGCCGCTTTGATACCCCATCGGTGCCAACTCAATTACCTGCTGTTTCTGCAGAGGAGGTATTTGTTCAGAAATGCTGGTGGGGTAAGCTGTGCTTCCAGATCCAATACTCAATTCAATGAGCTGAAATTAACTGCCTCTCTGCAGCTAGAGAAAAAACAAGCCTCCCTTGCCATTTCCACAATGGTAAAGCAAATTAATTTATTTGCACACACTCTGGAGAACCTCAGATTTTCTCTACAACCCCAGGAATTCCTTGGCACAAAAGAAAGATTCCTTCCCATCTCTTGACTAGCTTTTGCCCAAAAGAGAAATGTAACCTATGGGGAAATGGTGGGTGGATACAGGGTTTATCTAGGGAAGAGACTGAAACAGGAATCATCTCAAGCATTGTAAGAATTACTGAGTAACTTGAGGTCTGGCTATGGAAGAAGAGAGATGATATATTTTTGGCTTCAAATGATTTAAGAGTTTCTTTAAAGGAAATTGTCAAAATTTCCTTTATTTTGTATTGTATATTGTAAATGCTCTAATCTGTTCTTCTATAAGAACCTGGGTATCACAAATGATAAATGAGATGGCAGATTGGCATTTCATTTTATGCAATTTGAAAATTGATGAGTCATAATTTACTGGGTTGATGTTTAATCAATTCTTAAAATCAATTGTTGCAACAATGTGTAATTATTGAGTTCCTTCTAGCTACATAGCATTTTAAGGTGCAATTTATACACTTAAAGAGGTGGAACAAGAACAATATTCCGTACACAATAGTTTCTTTACAAATATCTGTATCTGTTACAGATACAGACTTGTATCTGTAACAGATACAGACTTGTATCTGTAACAGATACAGACTTGTATCTGTAACAGATACAGACTTGTATCTGTAACAATCTTTTTTTTTTTGCTTTTCTTTTCTTTTTTCTGAGGCAGAATTTCACTCTTGTTGCCCAGGCTGGAGTTCAATGGCATAATCTTAGCTCACTGCAACCTCTGCCTCCAGGGTTCAGGTGATTTTCCTGCCTTAGCCTCCCGAGTAGCTGGGATTACAGGCGTGCACCACCATGCCAGGCTAATTTTTGCATTTTTTTGTAAAGACGGGTTTCACCATGTTGGTCAGGCTGGTCTCAAACTCCTGACCTCAGGTGATCCACCCACCCCAGACTCCCAAAGTTCTGGGATTACAGGCATGAGCCACCATGCCCAGCCAACAATCTTACATGGTTGGTAGAGTAACCCACTTTTTTACTTTTGTACAAAACCATTCCCTATTAATACCATGAAGAAAACAAAAGCCATGTTGTAAACTCTAAACCTTAGAATCCACAGATGAAAACTTTTTATTTCAGATAGTGGAGTAGACTGTTTGATGACAAAGTCTTAGCGAGACACATATGGAGCCTGAAATTAAAAAAAAAAAAAATCAGTATGAATCCATTGAAACACTTCCAAAGTGGAAACTAATTTTGGAATTTAAAGGCTTAGAGAAAGAAAAAGAAGTTATTTTCCCAAGAGCAAAATATGGGTTTTTGCCTTAGGACAATTCTAACTTAGAATGATAACTTCATCTTCCATCAGCACCTTGTTATAGTTGATGTAAGATGAAGACTTATGGTTTAGAGATCAAACACAAATTCTAATCTTGCAACTTAAAAAAAATGATGCTCTTTATGAAAACATAAATGTACTGAAAACTGCTTTGGCTATTCAATTCTTAAATGAAGGTGACCTCCAACAAGGAATAAGAAATACCAGTACCACAGGTACATTAGAAAATCTAGTTAAGCAGAAAAATGAATTGAAGACATCATAGCCTGAAGAATAGGTAAGGTTTAATAAGGATAGTTGAGCCTGTGGTGGTCAACCTTTCTATATTTTTATTGGGAGGAAATCATAAAGGAAAAAAGAAGACTTAAAGCATTACATGCTCCAGGTTGTGGCACTAGAAAAAGCTTTAGAAATAATATATTTTCTTTTAAAATAATTCAGCCAATGCTATCTTCTGTCTAGAGGATATTTTAATGTGTGACTTAAATAATGCTTAGTGAACTCTCTGGGTCAAGAATTGGTCATGGAAATAAATACACAATGATAAGTATTTAGAAGGAATAAATCACTGCATACACATTTTTATAAGTTTAAATTTGAAGGAATTTTGGCATTTTTAGTATGCATTTAGGGGTATGTCTAGACCAAATGCATATGAGACACGTCTATTTTTCCCTCAAATATGGAAACACCAAGATATGGAATTTGTCCTTGTAATTATTTAAATTTAACATAGCCACTTTAGTAATAAAGCTGCAATATAGATTGTTGGCAAAAAATACTTTATTTAGCTGCTACATAGTTAGGTTTCCTGAGGCTGGAGGCTGCCTTTCTTTACTATGTGAACATTGTGAATGAACCACAGGATTTTGCATGTCTAATGTTTGAGTTTTTGATGAATTTGTGACATGTTATTGTTTATTTTTTATGAAATCCTTACAGCAATCTTCAAAAAAAGGTGCCTGGATTTCAGGTTGATCTAAAAGTACAGTTCAGTTCTGCCTTACATTTTGAGTTTTGGAAACTTCTTAGAGATGTGTCCAGGTGACATTTAGGTCTTAAAAGAAATCACAGCAAATTGGGGCAGTGAGAGTCACCTGGAGACCTTGAGATTTCTAATACTGAGCAACAAGTTGAGTGTATCTTTAGATTACAACAACTACATCCATGTTCTTTTTTTTCTCTATAGATTTTGATGAGAAAATATTGAAACCTGTTTCAGAGTCTGTCAATTTTTTACCTAGACTCGGTCAATGTGTTATTTAATAAAATTATTCTGGTATTTCTTTTCTTTTCTTTTTTATGCATGACATGAACATTTTTAAAAGTAATTGTATCAGAACCTAAATTCTCCAGCATCTTTTTTCAATATCAGCCATATACATACATAGGTATGTATACACACACATATAAACACATATACACATGTTTATATGCAAATATGTATATACACATACAAACATAAATATATGTACACACATGAATAAACATGTATGTACAGATGTGTATACACACATATATAGACATGTATACATATATACACATGTATGCACACATATATACACATGTGCCAACACATATGTATTACAACATATCTTAAATGAAAGAGAATCCTTTAGAACAAATGCAGAAATGAACATTATTTGACTCCACATGTGATTTACTCTAGATACCTAAGTTGTGGTCTTACCAAAGAGCTTCACCTGAATGTAATCATGAGGAAGCAATAAGGCAAATACTGAATAGAATACAAATCGCAATAAGGCAAATAATGAAAAGAATACAAATCCAGTATTTTATGAAACAACTAGCCTGGACTGTTAAAAATGTCAATACTGTGAGATGATGAACCAGAAACTTGGAGGGCCAATTCTAGATTAAAAGAGTTTTGTTTTTTTTTTAATCAAAAACAAAAGCCTATTGCAATAAATACCAAGCATGATCATTAATTGATGCCTGAATTTAAATATACAGAAAAGAGATTTTTGTGACAACAGACACTTTTGAATATAGAATGTTACAATAGATAATACCATTGTATGAATCTTAAATATCTTCAGTGTAATATTTATAGTACAGTTACATAGACTTATGTCTCCGTTCTTAGGAGATACATACTAAAGCATCAGTAAAGTGTCATCAACTTCAAGTAATTCAGAAGGTTGTGACTATATATATTATAAATATATATAGTATTATATATATTATAAATATTATATACTATATATTATATATAGTATATAAATATAAATGTATTATATTTATATGTTCTGTATTATTTGCATATGAATTATATATGTATTTGTTGATACATATATAATATCAAATACAGACTGCATAAGCAAAAATAGTAGAGAGAGAGCAAATGTGAGAAAATGGTAAAATAATAATTAGTAAATCTTAATGAAAGGTATAGAAGTATTTATTGAATTATTATTTCAACTTTTCTGTAGATTTGACACTTTTCAAAATAAAAACAAGGAAAGGGGATCAAACGCAAATCCACTCTCAAAGAGCTATGGAATAGTGGAAACTTATGAGTACTTCCTATAGTACCGCTTCCCTGCCTAGCTATACCCTACGATTTTGTTGCACCATATTGTCTATATATTATAATACAATTCTCATTGTTTTCAGACATAGCAACTGATTTTTTTTTTAATCCTCAATAATGATTTTTTTTTTCTAGTCTCCGACAGTGGCTTTCATTCTGGGAAATAACCAAATAACTCAAAGCCAACCCTGGTGAATATGGTGAGTTATCAAAATGGCAGCATGACACAGTAGGAAGCGAATAGAAAGAGAGTTGGAAAATTTGACAAACACTGTGGGCTCAGTAGTAGCTCAGAGATTCATGTTCATGGGACAGGGAGCAGGTAAGCAAATCTCCCTGCCTAAGTTTTCTTATGTGCCTGTTCATGAGCTAACACAACACATGTGAAGGTGCTATGCATTAGTGAAGGTCAACACAAATGATGGGACTTACAAATGTGATACAGGAACCTAACATAACAAACACCAGCAAACAGGGAAGTACTGTCATTGTTAAAATTCAGGTATTCTTGAAGCAAGAAGGTGGGTGGTTTTTGGTATGTCATGTTTTCTTTTTATTTTTTCATTTGAATTTTCTAATTGACAAATTTATGAAGTCCATAGTGATGTTTCCATAAGTGTAATATATAGCGATAAGATCAACATCATTAACATAATCAGCTTCCCAAATATTTATCATTTCATTGTGTTGGAAATGTTCAATATTCTTGATCCACCTATTTGAAATGATATTGTATATTATCATTAACTACAGTCATCCTACAATCGTGTAGAACAAAAGAAGTTATTCCTCCTCAGGAACTTCAAAAATAGTTGAGACACAACATTCACAAATAACACTTGGATGCATAGTTTGGGTCCATTCGTTTAAAAGTGCTGCATTAAGAAATACAGCATGCATTTATGTAGATTATATTTGTATGTACATAAGCACTCATGTATACAGAAATTAAAGTGTCAAGTGATTTCTTAGAAGTTGCTAAAATGTGGGAAGCTCATGAAGTGGAATGAAATTAAATAAGAGCAAACAGTAATTCATTATATCTGGAATAAATGACAAATATTAATTCATTATATGTGGAATAAATGTGCAATTTTCAGTGGATAAGTTTGGACAGATGATGGCGTGTTCAACAGAAAACCAATACAAGGAAAAGATTTTGAGATTTGGCAGGCTAAACAAGTAAGAATCCTGCAGAAAAGGTCACCCTTTAGGTAATACTATATTGTTTCTATTATTTAATGAGTTGCTTCTCAAGGATTATTTTTTCCTGTAATCGTCCTTCATACTTCTATGTTTGAGTCACAGGAATCTTATCAATTAACTTTTTTTTTTTTTTTTTTTTACTAGGAGAAGGAGGAAAAATTTGGCCACATTTTTTCTGACTTCAAGTTTATTTTCTTCTTGTAAAATCATCATTCCACTTTTGCCTGATGGCCACCAATATCTATGAAATAGTAGCAGCATATTTTACTACCTTTCCTTTTCTGTAATTTTTTTTTCACCTAGACCCTGATTCATGTAAGCCACATTCTCCATGTTCTTCCCTCAGAGTCTGATTCGTTTTTGTTTGTTTGTTTGTTTTTGCTTTTGTTTTTTTTTTTGTTTGTTTTTTTTTTTTTTTTTTTTTTTTGAGACGGAGTCTCGCTCTGTCGCCCCGGCTGGAATGCAGTGGCACAACAACGGCTCACTGCAAGCTCTGCCTCCCGGGTTCACACCATTCTCCTGCCTCAGTCTCCCGAGTAGCTAGGACTACAGGAGCCTGCCACCACGCCCAGCTCATTTTTTTATTTTTAGTAGAGACGGAGTTTCACCCTGTTAGGCAGGAGATGGTTTCAATCTCCTGACCTGGTGATCCTCCCGCCTCCGCTTCCCAAAGTGTTGAGATTACAGGAGTGAGCCATGGCGCCTAGCCCTGATTCTGTTTTAACTGCCCATCTCCAAAGAGTTCAGTTGTTCCCATGTGATGTTACCTTTATTTAGTAAGAACACATGCACCAGTTATGAAAAGATGACCAATGGAAATCTGACCTCATACTCTGTAGCATGCAAGCCCTTCATCCCTCACACCCTTCTGAGTTCACTTGGGTATTGCCTATTGGGACGATGACAGTGAAACAAGGAATGGCTGGTTCACATCAGAAGGAGAAATTTGTCCTGTATAAAAATGCCCTGTGAAGACGGCAAACAACCCAGATGTTCATTGACTTATAAATGGATAAACAAAATTGCTATATACATACAATGGTATATTATTTGGCCATGAAAAGGAATGAAGAAGTAAATACAAGCTACAATATAGACAGACCCTGATGATGGTGTGGTAAGGGAAATCCCATTGTAAAAAAGGAAAAATATTGTATGATTTCATTCATGAAATGTCTACTATAGACAAATCTATATAGTCACAGAATTAGATTAGTAGTTGCCTAGTGTTGTGGGGATGGATGGAGGAACTTAGGGAGGGATGACCAAGGGATGGATAAAAATGTTCTAAAATTGATTGTAGTGATGATTACACAGAATATGAATATTCTGAAAACCCTGATATTATACATTTCTGGGGTGAATTATAGGATTTATGAATTTTACTTTAATAAAGTTGTTACTCTACGAAAAATATTGTTGAAGGCAGACTTTGAGACAATGTTCTGCCAGGCAGAACACTGGGCATTGGAATGGGTGACATTCCTTAGTTCCTGATTTCTTTTTTCAGCCAAAGACTTTTTGTGCTAACACCTGCAAGACATACACCTGCAAGGCTTATAAAAGATGTTTATGGTGTGGCGTAAATGCCCACTGCTCTATGGGCACAAAGGGTAATGCCTACTCTAACTAACGCCCCAAGCAGGGCTCAACATTATTCCAGTTTGTTGTTTTGGATAACTGTATACACAAGAACCAGAAGCATTGCTACTCAGGGAAAGACACATAACTCCAAGATTGAGTGTCTCTCTTGGTTCTTCACCAGCCACAAAAATGAATCCATTTGCATATGATCAACATATAAAATAGCAAATACAGTATTTCATGAAGACATTGTTTTTTTAGTTAACATTTATAACTGTTTCTTAATAAAGTCAGTCAGTAAAAACAATACAGTTTCTTTAACAAATTTATCATTTAGAAGACATTTTATGGTGGGTTCATTCTTACTTCAACTTTTGTTTTCATATAACTATATCAAATGCTTTCAGGACACTTGAAATAACTCACTAAATCAAGAATTCTTGGGAATAAGTTGGAAGAACACTGTTCTAATTGATTCATTGACCCTTTAACTTGGAGTAACTCAATTTGTTTCCTTGTCTTTAAAATGTACCTGCTTCTAGTGGGCTGACCTAGTTTTTTTGAATTCATTTTTCAATCTGTATGCATGTGTGTGTACATATATGCACATATATACATACATATGTTGTCAATTATGTGTTAAGAAGACAAGAAATGGATGTAAGAGTGAGAAATAATGTATCCTTTAATGTCAAAACCACCTGTTAAGGATGGAGATTGGGAAAGAGAAGACCTGGCTGGATCCAAACTCCAAGAAAATTTTCAGGTGCAAAATTTTAGCAGGAGCTATGGAAAGTTAATTATATGTGTAAGAAAACAATATTTTTGAGAACTTCCTGATCAATCCTGGTGTTGAGAAATGATGGAAAGAGATGAGAATAGAGAAATCTTTGAGAAACATGAAGCTAGGAAATCCTTGGGGTTTGGGTAAATTAAGGACGTGTTTTCTTAAATATGAGTCATGAGAAGGTTTTCTTTTCAAATTGTATTTTAGATTTAGCGGGTACACATGAAGATTTGTTAGCTGGGAAAATTGCATTATGTAAAGCTGGCTTAGAAGTTGTTAATGTGCCTTCTCTGTGATTGTCTACCTCTCTAACCTCCCCAAGTCAAATCTTAGTAGAGCCACAGATTGCTTGCAAGAGTGGAGTGTCATAGCCAACTTTGGAAGTGACACTCAATGATCCACACCTCCTGATCTTCATGCCATTGTGTATTGAGTGTGGGCTAGACTGGTTTCTACTGAATAGAAGTGTGGGATAGGACACCTATTCTGAGGTTAAATTATAAAATAGCAAGTGCCATGCCTTCTATCTCACCACTGTATACTTTCTTGCCCTCTCACTTAGTCATTCTGGTGAAGCCAGCTGCCATGTAGCACTACACAAACTAGCAAATAATAAGGACAATCTCCAGCTAACACCAGGGAGAACTTGAGGCTCTCAGTCCTCTATCCTGCAAGAAAATGTGTCCTTCCAACCACCCATTATGTGAGTCTGAAAGATTTCCAGGGGAGATTTGAGATGACCATGGAGCTGGCTGATACTTCTAAGAGATTTTGAACCAGAAGACCCAGCAAAGCTGTGCCTGGATTTCTGAACTACAGAAACTGTGAGATAATTAATGCTGTTGTTCTAAGCCGATGAATTTGGGGATAATTAGGTTATGTAGCAATAGATTCCTGGGTGTGGTGGCTCATGCTTGTGGTCCCAGCACTTTGAGAAGCCAAGGCAAGAAGATTGTCGAGGAGTCCAAGATCAGTCTTGGCAACATAGTGGAACTGCATCTCTGTAAATTTTTTTTTTTTTAAATGTCTAGGCATGGTGGCACATGCCTGTAGTCCCAGCTACTTAGACGACAAAGGTGAGAGAATTGCTTCAGCTCAGGAGACTGACGCTGCAGTGAGCTATGATTGTGCCATCACACTCCACCCTGAGTGACAGAGTAAAACCCTGGTTCTTAAAAAAAGAGCAATAGATGACTAATACATGGTAATTCAGTGAAAATAAATAAATTATAGGCATAAACCCAGGATGCTGTGTGTCAGATAGCACATGTTACCTGGAACAAAAAAATTGAATTAACTCATTACTATTCAGGTAAAGGCATTTGAAGTCAAATTGGAATATAAAACATAAGTATCTTTAAACAATTTAAAAATGCCATAAACATTTCAAATATCATTTAATTTGCAGTGGAGAATCTGAGGATCTCTTAGTTAGACCTAAAGCACAGAAATATAAACACTGGAAATAATGAACTAAAATTTTAAGTCAGCCTTTTCTTATATATTTTAAAGCAATTATAATATTTGGTAAATATGCCTTAGGAAGGAAAAAGTCTTGTATCTTGAGAAAGTAGCATCTTCTACAGAAGAATCCTCTTTTAATCGAGGTGAGTAAAGGATGTTAAAAAAATACAGTATGTTCTCTTGGCCAGGCATGTGGCTCATGCCTATAATTCCAGCACTTTGGGAGGCCAAGGTTTGCATATCACTTGAGCCCAGGAGATGGACACCAGACTGAGCAACATAGCAACACCCCATCTCTTCAAAAAAATACAAAAATTAGTGTGACATGGTGGCATGCACCTGTAGTCTCAGATACTCTGGAGGCTGAGGTGGGAAGATTGATTGAGGCCAGGAGATTGAAGCTGCAGTGACCCCTGATTGTGCCAGCCTAGGTGACAGAGTAAGATCCTGTTGCAAAAATATATATTTTTTCAAATATATATATATATATATATATATATATATATATATATATATATATATATATATCTAGCACCACAAGAACACAAGGAACAAGGAAGTCTTCTAGAGAAACTGGTGAGGTGGGGGCTGAATTTCCTTTTAAAATTTAAGTTGTGCAAGATATGCTTATCTATTAGTATCTAATTCTTTCTTCTGTTCAATGAAAGAAATAAACAAAGAAAGAGATAAAGAAAGAAAGAACGAAAGAAAGAAAGAGAAAAAGAAAGAAAGAGAAAGAAGGAAAGAAGCAGGGAAGGAGGGAAAGAAGGAAGGAAGGAAGGAAGGAAAAGAAAGAAGGGAAAGAAGGAAGGGAAAGAAAGAAAAAAAAAGGAAAGAAAGAAAAGTGTCTCCTATATCTTTAACTGTTAACTGCAATTTAAAAAATTTCATCTCTAAGGAAAGTATCCTGTAACCCTGAAGTATATGATAACAGAAAATCTTGTTGAATTTTTTTTTTTTTTTTTTTTTTTTTGCTGTAGGTAATTGGGCTTTCCTTGATTTTAGCGGTAAAATTTTGCTATAGGAAATTGAATATTCTTACTTAGAATGGACTCACCAATCACGCTTAATTTCACCACCAATGATTACCTATCTCTCTCTCTCTCTCTCTCTCTCACACACACACACACACACACACACACCATATTGAAGCAGGAAATTTTCCCAGACCCCTTTGTGGGTGGGAACTGGAATGCATGGGTGCTGGCATGGGCAAACTCCACTCACTGGAACCCACTGCTTTCAATCACTCCAGGGAGGGAGCACACAGGTGAGCAGGTGCAGAAGGTGGAGTGCTTTTGGGTATGCCTTTGGGTGCCAGTAGGGAGGAACATCGTGCTGGCCTTGCAGCTGCATCTAGGGGGGTGCCCACCACCCCTGAAGCCTGAGAAGGAGTGTTACAGTGGTGTTCCTTTAGCTTTGCTATCCTATTGATGGCTTAAATATGAATAGTTCAGTGGAGGATGAGTATGACAATCTTTTGCAACCATACTTGTGGCATCTGAGTTCTTCTCTGGCATCCAGGAGGAATGAGGTTGCACGAACACATTGGAGATGATAAGTATGGGGTGTGGGAGATTTTATTGCAGATGAAAGTGGCTCTTAGCGGGAAAGGGAGCTGAGAAAGGGAAGAAAGTTGGAAGGTAATCTTCAAACGCTGCACCATCAAGCCATCCTTCTCAAGTTAAGCTGCTCCTCCCTAATGTCCAACAGTAGACTCTAATGTTCAGCTGCTTCTACTCTTCTTCTCTCTCTAACAGTGGAGCCTGGGGTTATGTGGCCACAGGATGGGGATGGGGCAGGCCATGGGTGGTTTTAGAAAGGGCAACATTCAAATGTGAAAACAGGAATGCAGGTTCTCACTTTGGGTGGTTTTAGGCTTCGGGGTGGGGACATCACAGCAGACCCCACTCTTCTGCCCAGAATTTCCCTGCCTCCTGTCTCTGTCAATACCAAATTTATCTCGTGGTCAGCATGTTTCAAAAATCTTGAAATTGTGCCATCCCTCTGCAGATAACTTGAAATACAACATGATTTTAGTAGATTCAAAACCAAACACAATACAAATTCTCATTCTTTCCTTGATCTTAAAGAAGGCCATATATGGATAATCAACCCTTTGTAATTTTCTTTCTTCAGCACCAAGCCTTCCCTTTTCCACCACATTCAGTCAGTCTTTCTTGTTGTAGAGGAAGGAGTTGAGGTCAGGAGGACCCACGTTCTAACCGTACTCTGTCACTAGGAATGGCCAGGTCACTTCCAATACTTTTTCTTTTTTTTTTTTTTTTCTTTTTTTTGAAACAGAGTCTCACTCTGTTGCCCAGGGTGGAGTGCAGTGGTGCAATCTCACCTCACTGCAAGCTCCACCTCCTGGGTTCATGCCATTCTCCTGCCTCAGCCTCCCAAGTAGCTGGGACTACAGGCGCCCGCCACCATACCCAGCTAATTTTTTGTATTTTTAGTAGAGATGGGGTTTCACCATATTAGGATGGTCTCAGTCTCGATCTCCTGACCTCGTGATCTGCCCACCTCGGCCTTCCAAAGTGCCTGGATTACAGGCATGAGCCACAGTGCCCGACCCCGATCCTCTTTCTAAGAATGATGAGTGAGTTTAAATTTCTTTCCATTTATGTTCCTAACTAATATATATTTTCAATGCAAATTTTCACTCATACAAGTTTTTTTCTGCGTTTAAATCTCATGTCCATTAACCCAGTTGTCTTCCTTTAGTTTCGTTTCTAGGGTAATACAGTATCCTCCACAAAGATCTTGCTCTCATTTCTGCCCCATACCCTACCTCTTACATTTTAGGACCACACCAAGTAATTATTTTAAACCATGGGTTTGACTAATCACTTGTTAGTTGAAAGACACTCCTCAGTTTCCTGTTTTTCATCCTCCAGGGACCTTTCCAATCCTACTACAGTTATATTTTCAGCCCTAGTATCCCTACTAGCTGGTTTACAATATCTTTAATTATCGAGAGCTTTTCATCAGTTTCATACTATTTTCCCTCTTAGTGATATTGTTTCCATTTCTGTTTGGAAGTAAAATTCACATAAGCAAATTTTCACACAAAGAAATATAACAAAAATTTAACATATCATAAAATTTTCACCTAACAAACATTTTCAACTTTTTTTTTCTTACTATACTTTAAGTTTTAGGGTACATGTGCACAATGTGCAGGTTAGTTACATATGTATACATTTGCCATTCTGGTGTGCTGCACCCATTAACTCGTCATTTAGCATTAGGTATATTTCCTAATGCTATCCCTCCCCGCTTCCCCCACCCCACAACAGTCCCCAGAGTGTGATGTTCCCCTTCCTGTGTCCATGCGTTCTCACTGTTCAATTCCCACCTATGAGTGAGAACATGTGGTGTTTGTTTTTTTCTCCTTGCAATAGTTTACTGAGAATGATGATTTCCAATTTCATCCATGTCCCTACAAAGGACATTAACTTATCATTTTTCATGGCTGCATAGTATTCCATGGTGTATATGTGCCACATTTTCTTAATCTAGTCTATCATTGTTGGATATTTGGGTTGGTTCCAAGTGTTTGCTATTGTGAATAGTGCTGCAATAAACATACATGTTCATGTGTCTTTCTAGAAGCATGATTTATAGTCCTTTGGGCATATACCCAGTAATGGGATGGCTGGGTCAAATGGTGTTTCCGGTTCTAGATCCCTGAGGAATCACCACACTGACTTTCACATTGGTTGAACTAGCTTACAGTCCCACCAACAGTGTAAAAGTGTTCCTATTTCTCCACATCCTCTCCAACACCTGTTGTTTCCTGACTTTTTAATGATTGCCATTCTAATTGGTGTGAGATGATATCTCATTGTGGTTTTGATTTGCATTTCTCTGATGGCCAGTGATGATGACCATTTTTTCACGTGTTTTTTGGCTGCACAAATGTCTTCTTTTGAGAAGTGTCTGTTCATGTCCTTCACCCAGTTTTTGATGGAGCTGTTTGTTTTTTTCTTGTAAATTTGTTTGAGTTCATTGTAGATTCTGGATATTAGCCATTTGTCAGATGAGTAGGTTGTGAAAATTTTCTCCCACTTTGTAGGTTGCCTGTTCACTCTGATGGTAGTTTCTTTTGCTGTGCAGAAGCTCTTTAGTTTAATTAGATCCCATTTGTCAATTTTGGCTTTTGTTGTCATTGCTTTTGGTGTTTTTATGAAGTCATTGTCCATGCCTATTCCTTCTGAAACTATTCCAATCAATAGAAAAAGAAGGAATCCTCCCTAACTCATTTTATGAGGCCAGCATCATCCTGATACCAAAGCCTGGCAGAGACACAACCAAAAAAGATAATTTTAGACCAACACCCTTGATGAACATTGATGCAAAAATCCTGAATAAAATTCTGGCAAACTGAGTCCAGAAGCACATCAAAGAGCTTATCCACCATGATCAAGTGGGCTTCATCCCTGGGATGCAAGACTGGTTCAATATACACAAATCAATAAATGTAATCCAGCATATAAACACAACCAAAGACAAAAACCACATGATTATCTCAATAGATGCAGAAAAGGCCTTTGACAAAATTCAACTACACTTCATGCTAAAAACTCTCAATAAATTAGGCATTGATGGGACATACCTCAAAATAATAAGAGCTATCTATGACAAAGCCACAGCCAATATCATACTGAATGGGCAAAAACTGGAAGCATTCCCTTTGAAAACTGGCACAAGACAGGGATGACCTCTCTCACCACTCCTATTCAACATAGTGTTGGAAGTTCTGGCCAGGGCAATTAGGCAGGAGAAGGAAATAAAGGGCATTCAATTAGGAAAAGAGGAAGTCAAATTGTCCCTATTTGCAGATGACATGATTATATATCTAGAAAACCCCTTGTCTCAGCCCAAAATCTCCTTAAGATGATAAGCAACTTCAGCAAAGTCTCAGGATACAAAATCAATGTGCAAAAATCACAAGCATTCTTATACACCAATAACAGACAAACAGAGAGTCAAATCATGAGTGAACTCCCATTCACAATTGCTTCAAAGAGAATAAAATACTTAGGAATTTAACTTACAAGGGATGTGAAGGACCTCTTCAAGGAGAGCTGCAAACCACTGCTCAAGGAAATAAAAGAGGATACAAACAAATGGAAGAACATTCCATGCTCACGGGCAGGAAGAATCAATATCGTGAAAATGGCCATACTGTCCAAGGTAATTTATAGATTCAATGCCATCCCCATCAAGCTACCAATGACTTTCTTCACAGAATTGGAAAAAACTACTTTAAAGTTCATATGGAACCAAAAAACAGCCCACATTGCCAAGTCAATCCTAAGCCAAAAGAATAAAGCTGGAGGCATCATGCTGCCTGACTTCAAACTATACTACAAGGCTACAGTAACCAAAACAGCATGGTACTTGTACCAAAACAGAGATATAGATCAATGGAACAGAACAGAGCCCTCAGAAACAGTTCCACATATCTACAACTATCTGATCATTGACAAACCTGAGAAAAACAAGCAATGGGGAAAGGATTCCCTATTTAATAAATGGTGCTGGGAAAACTGGCTAGTCATATGTAGAAAGCTGAAACTAAATCCCTTTCTTACACCTTATACAAAAATTAATTCAAGGTGGATTAAATACTTAAACGTTAGACCTAAAGCCATAAAAAACCCTAGAAGAAAACCTAGGCATTACCATTCAACTTTTTTTTTTTTTGACATGGTCTTGTTCTGTTGCCCAGGCTAGATTGCAGTGGCATTCATAGTTCACTGCAGCCTTGACCTTCCAAGCTAAAGTGATCCTCCCATTTCAACCTCCTGAGTAGCTGGGAGTACAGACTCCCACCAGAAGCCTGGCTAATTTTCATTTTTTAACCTTTCTTAGAGACAAAATCTCTCTAGGTTGCCCAGTCTGATCTTGAACTCCTGGGTTTAAGTGATCACCCTGGCTCAGGCTTGCAAAATGCTGAGCTTTTGGATATGATTCACAAAGCCTAGATAACTTAAGATTTTTTAACCTAACAAAGTTAACTTAACAAATTGGTATGTGTGCAATACAATTTTGTTGACTCTAGGTACAATGTGGCATAGCAGATCTCTACAAGTTGTTCGTATTGCTAAACTAAAGCTTCATGCCCATTCATTATTTGGTTGTCTTTTAAATTGACCTTCTGTAAAGGTAAATTTACATCCCATTATATGGGAAAGCCCCATGTTCATGACCTTGAAGGTTTACTTTTATGATTTGCATCCTCTTTCTTGGTGCACAGGGGATACACTCCATCCATACCTGTCAATATATTGCTAAACATAGAATGCTATCTCAGAGCTGAGTAAGTGGTAAGGCTGACATTATTTTGGTGGAGTTGTGATGGAATAGTGTAGGTACATGTCTAGTAGAGTGTTCAGTGAGGTGTAATTCTTATGACATCCCTCATGGTACAAAAAGAGATCAAACATCAAAACATTGGTTTTGCCTGGTGTTTCCCCCTAGTGTTCAGCTACTATTTGTAATCACTTTTATTTTATGTTGCCAGGGATTCCTGGAAGATGAGATTTCCTTTTTCTATGTGAATGTAACAAATCAATATAAATTTGGCATCTTAAAACAATACCCACTTATGAGCTCATGGTTTCTGTGGATTGGACCTCCTAGCATAGTATGGCTCAGTTGGTTCTCTCCTTTGAGTCACAAGAAGAAAATAAAATTGGAGGCAGTGCTCTCTTCCTTCCTGGGAGCTTGACCAGGGAATTGTTTCCAAAATCATGCAGGTGGTTTGGGAGAAGGCAGTCGTAGAACAGCTTGTTTATTGACAAGCTTCCAGGGGGTCCTTGTTGTTTTCTGGTTTATGGCTCCCTTTTAAGCCAGCAACTATAGGTCAAGTCCTGCTCATGCTCAGAAGCTTTCTGCCTCATTCTTCCTCTGCCTACCTCTTTCACACATCTCTTTTATGGCCCCATCATTTTTTAAGGGCTCATGTGATGACACTGGGCTATCTGCATACTCCAGGATATTCTAGTTTATGGTCCACCAATGAGTTACCTTAACTCCATCTGCAAGGTCCCTTCACAGCAGACTCGAGTCATGTTTGAGTGAATAACCCGGGGAAAGGACACTTGGGAGGATGTCTTTTGAAGTGAACTACCAAGATGAATAACAGCCAACCCCATGTATACGGAAATATCTAGAGCCAAAATCAAACCAACAATGGAATGATAGGAGAAGCCAGAGGCAAGGTGGGGGTAAATCAATGCCAGGTGTTAAAGCATGTGATCCTCAGATTCAGATTATTCTTGTGATTCAGAGCAGAGGAAGAAATGCAGATACCTCTCTTTTGAAGTAGCAGGTAAATGTAGCAAATGGGTTGAGAAAGTAGCTGTACCTACACTTGTGCTCTGTTGTACTGTTCTTTAGCGCTATTGAACCTCATGTCATACTATGTGTTTACCTCTGTGAAAGACAATATAATCTCGAGACCCCAAACTTAGCATACCAAAGGGAAAAATGAAGCTTGGAAGCTGATTCATGCAAAAACTGCTTTTCTTTTTTTCCTAAATTGATAGCTGCAATTTCACATCCCTGTGTCATAGTCTCATCCATAAGCCAGTTTCCCACAATGACAGAAAGCCATGATCTCCTCAGATGGCCTCTCTCACAAATTGCAAACAGGTAAATTCCTTGTGAGCCCCCAAATTTTTCAGGATTCATATCCCCAGTATGACGTATCCCTAAAACCAAACTCTGTTGAATCTCTTCCTAGCAATGTCAATTACTGGCTTATTTTCCCAGGTACAGGAGAAGGACAAGACTAGAAATCATTCATGCATCCATCCCAAGATAAATGTGGGACAGACTTTTTCTTCTATTCCCTCTTTCTGCATGTTTATCCTATATTAAGTGTAGATTTACTGAGTGTGGGATGAATGGATGATTGACTTTTCCCCTACCCCCTTTTCAACTGTAAAATGTAGATTCACTGAGCACTAACCAAAGCCTCACAAGAATGCAACCCACTTGTCTCATTGCTTGCCCATCTTTCTTTTCTTTCCCCCTTCCCCTATGTTTTCCTTTTCACCTTTAAATACTGAAGTTCTCTAAACCCCTTTAGAATAAGTACAGGTCAAGATGTTCCCATGATATGTTTTTTGCAGGGTGTGTCCTCAAACCAGACAAAATAAACCTCTCATGGATCCAGATCTGCCTCAGCCGTTTTTTGTTTTTGGTCTACACATCCTAGTATTTTCTTTCAATATTCTTTCTACTGGAGATTTTTTTTTCCCTTGGAATGTTTTTGAAGTTGTCCAACTCATTCTTCAAGAGAAGACATGTGTTTCCTCTTCCAGGAAACCTTTGCTGGTCCTCTCTGGCCACGTTTGCTGCATCTGCCTCAGTGTTTCCATAAAAGGAGCTGCCCTCTTCTATTCCCTGCATCACACATTGCAGTTTTTGCCTGGCTATCTCTAACTGTAGATGCTAACTCCTTCATCTGTATTCTGTACAGCCTCTCAAAGGTACCTGAGATACAGTCAGCACTAAATCAATATTTGCAGAAAAAAAGTGCATTATGATTAAACAGCAGGTTGTTGATCAGTTGTGTTGTTGAACGTTGCTAGTGAAAAGTGCACATAATTATTATGCACAGTTTTAGTGGTTACATAGTGAACTCAAGAGTTTAGAGGATTTCTTTAGAGCTAAATGATTTTTTTTTTGTGGATAACAAAAGTAGAAAAACAACTAAATTTAAATATTTATGGTACGTTAATTTGCTAAGCATAGCTAGCCAGAAGAAGAATGCCTGAGAAAGCAGCAAATCAACCCCAGGGAGAAAAAAAAATGTCTGCAGAGTTGAAGCTAATTTGCCATAACTAATACTATAACTTCCATGGAAAATGTTAGTAACAAAAGATTGCCACTGGATTCTTGGTCCTTTGAGAACTTAGATTTATCACACACTCTACCATTAAGGTTGTGTGGGTAAATGAGGTTTTGAAAACTCTCTGCAATCATCCTTGGTTGCTTTGAGTTGAGTCTTTGTCAAAAGTAATATTTTACCCAGAAGAGTAATTTGCAATTTGCACAAAATCATTTAAGATACCTTTGTGTATGCTTTGCATCTTGGCATTTGGTCAACTTCCTAAGTGCCTAAAGTATGAAAAGGCAGCCTCATTGATTTTAGCAGTAAGACAGAGAATCTCAGTGCTTTCAGTAGTTTGCCTTCAAAATAGTTATTTTAAATGCTCCATAAATTAACTGGCATGGATGGTGCCAGGAATTATTATTATTTAATAGTAACAATGATCTAGCTGTCTGTTTATTTTCTATTGCAGATATAACCAGTGACCATACACTAAGCAGCTTGAAGTGAATCTCATGTGTTATCTGTCAGTATTATAGATAAGAAGTCAGCCTGGGCAACATAGTGAGAACTTGCCTCTACAAAAAAAATAAATACATACATACATAAGGAAAAGAAAAAGAAACAAAAAGAAAGGCCAAGCATGGTGGTATGTAACTATGGTCCTAGCTACTTGTACTTGGGAGGCTGAGGTGGGAAGATCTCTTAAGCTCAGGAGATCTAGCCTACAGTGAGCCATGACAACAGTACTGCACTTCAGTCTTGGAGTGTTTCACTGCTTCTTATAAAGAAGGAGAGGGAGTTATCTAGGTGGCACGTGGCTCAACAGGGTTCTCTGCACTGGGTTTAGCTACAGCTGACCTACTTTTTCTCATGCTTCAAATTGTTCCTGCCTCCTCTTCTGCTGCATTTCTCTGAACACAGCCAGGAATGCTTCTCTGCCTTTGAAGGCTCATGTGATTAGATTGAGCCTACCCAGATAATTCAGGATAATCTTTTTATTTTAACGGCCATGGTATAGATGTCTACAAAGAGCCTTTGGTCATGGTATGAATTTGCATTGGCTACCATAACAAAGTACCACAGATGGGGTGACCTATGCAACAGATGTTTATTCTCCCACAGTCCTGGGGGCTGGAAGTCCAAGATCAAGGTGTGGACTGGGCTGGTTCTTCTGAAGGCCTCTCTCCTTGGCTTGTAGACCCCATCTACTCCTTGTGTCTTCACATAACCTCCTCTGTGTGTGTCTGTTGCCTAATCCACTCTCCTTATGCCTAATCCACTCTCCTTAATCCTACTGGATTAAGGCCCACTCTTGTAACCTCATTTAAAATTTTAAATTCTCATTTTGAACCTCATTTTAAATTCCTCTGTCAAGGACCTATCCAAATACAATCATATTCTGAGGTTCCAGGGGTTAGGACTCCAGCAAGTAAATTTGGAGGACACATGATTTAGCTTATAAAAGCCATAAAACATAGCATAATCAAAGGTTCAGGGAATTAAAACATGGATACTGCGAGGAGGAGATGTTCTTTAGCCTACCACAAATTTAAACTCTTGAAAAACAGCAAATAATTGGGTGTATCATGAGAACTAACACCCCAAAATTCTTGACATTTTTTGTATCAATGATAAATGTTTTCATGAACAGCTACTGGATTATACCTGGGACAATCTGGCTTCCTGAACCCCCAGTAAAAGGGCTCCCTCATATTTATGTGGGATAATATGCAAACTAAGCTATAATTCATAATCTTTTTTTTTTTTTTTTTTGAGATGAAATCTCACTGTCATCCAGGCTGGAGAGCAGTGGCACAATCTCAGCTCACTGAAACCTCCACCTCCTGGGTTCAAGGGATTATCCTGTCTCAGACTTCCCTGGGACTACAGGCATGTGCTACCACATTTGAGTAAATTTTGTATTTTTAGTAGAGATGATGTTTCACCATGTTGGCCAGGCTGGTCTTGAACTCCTGGCTTAAGATGATCCATCCATCTCAGCCTCCCAAAGTGCTGGGATTATGGGCATGGGCAGTGTGCCCAGGCCAATGAGTCATAATCTAACCATCACTGACTTTTCGTATCTTGATATAAAAAAAAGTCTTCTAAATTTAATTATTTTTAGTGTTAAATAATTTACATTTTATCTTATTATTGAGGTTCTTGGTACCTGGTAAAGAGATTTTGTTCTGTCCAGTTGAGTAGCCTTTAGCCAATATGGCTATTTAAGCTAAAATTAGGATTTAAAAAAATTAAGCAAAATTTAAAATTCATTCTCAGATGTATCAGCCACTTTAAGATATCAAGATCCTTGTATGACTGATGGTTTTGATCCTTCACCTTATTAATATGGAACATTTCCATCATCACAGGGAGCTCTTTGGTTAACACCAGTCTAGACAGTAATATTGTGATTTTTTAATGATGAGATTCTCTCAAGCTCATTTAACCTGATAAGAACATTACAGTGTGGATACAGATTTATTACAGCAATATTTATGTCGATTAATTTATTTAAAGGATAATTATCTATTAAATACAAAGCTAAAGAAATTAATACTGCCATTTATATTGAGCATGTCAACCCATGAGAAACCATAATTTACAGAAGATAAATCTGTCTGTTTTGTGTGCTTGGTTCAATGTTTTAATGGGTTTCCAGGCAAGTAATGCTGGTTTTCATCCAATATTGGTGGATTACATGAAGTTGACTCCCAAACACTTGGCTTCCAGTTGAACATTCTTATTCATGATCTTTCTCTAAAACAAAGTTCAAGTAAAAATTGCTGAACTGTGAAAATTACCTCCTGATGTAGACACAGTCATCACTTTATATAAAGATAAAAAAATCCTTTAATTTGGAGTGTATTAATGCAACCTTGGGCTTTTGTGTATTTTCTAGGTGTTAAAGAGGTGCACAGCCTCATAAAAGCCCTTTAGGTTTGTCTATTTATGGATACTACCAAATGCTTACCTAACTTTAATTTGAATTCACCTAACCCATTGATGTCATCTAAATTTAATTATTTTTAGTGTTAAATAAACATTGATGTTTTAGCACAAATTTTAAAGCTGAACAGATCTTTGAAACAAGTGATGATTTTGTATATCCCCTGATGATAATTTACAATGATAATGTGTGGTTTCTTCATGAATTTCTAGAAATGAGTGTTATTGGAATAGAAACAGAGGAATGGATCTGTGAAGGATAGCCTGTTTTTGGCTTCTCTATCAGAAAGAACAGAATCTCTTTATCAGGTGATATTAACCTAAATAATAAGGTAAAATTTAGATTATTTAACACTAAAACATAGGTTTGGATGACTTTTTCTGTATTCCAAGGTATTTAAGATTAGTGATGATTAGATTAAAAATCATAGCTAAGTGTGCACAGTATCCTGAATAAATATGAAGGAGCCCTTCTTTTGAGGTTTCAAGATGCAAGACTGTCTCAAGTATAACGTAGTGGCTGTCTAAATAATATTGGCAGCTCATGGCCTGATCAATATCTGTGTACCTGGAATTTGGTGAATATACTCTTGGTATTTATAAGGCCAGTACTGCCCACATGTAATGGGCAATGGCTAAGCCTGTACCTATCTCCCTGGTTGTGTGACTCCATGTGTATAAAACTGGTATAGAAAGATTTTCTCTGCATGTGAATGAGAAATCCCACATCATTGGTATCTTGTCATCTCCATCTATTAGACATCAATAACATGGACACATTTTACCACCTACAATTTTTCTCTAGCCCAAAATACATCCAGCATGGGAGGATTCCTGCCTCTACATGATGAAACCTACTTTTTTGTTCTCAGAGGTGTAGAAGAAAGCTCTAGAATTAAAATGTCAGGACCTCATATCATGACACACCCACCCCCATTTTTTTTTGGTGTTGGGTGGGTCATTAAACTATTCTGAGCATCTGATTAAAACAACAGACAAAAACAACTATCAATTCAGGTTGGTGGAAATACTAAATTTAATGCACATAAGACAGCAAGGCCATATGCACTTTTCCTGTAAAACATCAAACTCTGAGGATTCTTGGGCAAGATGGCCAAATAGCAATATCTCCAGTTTGCAGCTGCAAGAAAGACCAATGCAGAAGGCAGGTGATTTCTGCATTTCCAACTGAGGTACCCGGTTTATCTCATTGGAACTTGTTAGACAGTGGGTGCAGCACACTGAAAGTGAGCAGAAGCAGAGTGGGTCATTGCCTTACCCAGGAAGCACAGGGGTCAGGGAACTCCCTCCCCTAGCCAAATGAAACAATGACACACTGTGCCATGAGGGACAGAGCTATGCAGCCCAGATACCATGCTTTTCCCATGGTCTTCACAACCCACAGACCAGGAGATTCCCTTGAGTGCCTACACCACAAGGATCCTGGATTTCAAGCACAAAACTGGACAGCCATTTGGGCAAACACTGATCTAGCTGCAGAAGTTTTTTTTTGTTGTTGTTGTTATTTTTTTTTTTTTTAATGTATCCCAGTGGTGCCTGGAATACACCAGTGAGACAGAACCATTCACTCTCCTGCTCTCCTGGAAAGGGGACTGAAGCCAGGGAGCCAAGTGGTCTTGCTTAGCAGATCCCACCCGCAAGGAGACCAGAAAGCTAAGATCCACTGGCTTGAAATTCTCACTGGCAGCACAGCAGTCTGAAGTTGACCTGGGATGCTCAAGCTTAATGTGGGGAGGGGAGTCCGCCATACTGAGGCTTGAGTAGCCTGTTTTCCCTTCACAGTGTAAACAAAGCCTCTAGGAAGTTCAGTCTCAGCGGATCCCACTGCCCTGCCTGAAAGTCCCTGTAGCTAGACTGACTCTAGATTCCTCTTCTCTGGGCAGGTCATCTCTGAAAGAAAGGCAGCAGCCCATCAGAGGCTTATAGATAAAACTCCCATCTCCCTTGGACAGAGCACCTAGGGGAAGGGGCAGCTGTGGGGGCAGCTTCAGCAGACTTAAATGTTTCTGTTGCCAACTCTGAAGAGAGAAGTGGATCTCCCAGCACACTGCTTAAGCTCCACTAAGGGACAGACTGCCTCTTCAAGTGGGTGCCTGACCCCTGTGCCCCCTGACAGGGAGACATCTCCCAGCAGGGTTTGACAGATACCTCACAAAAAAAACCTCCGGCTGGCATCTACCAGGTACCCTTCAGGTAGGAAACTTCCAGACGAAGGAGCAGGCAACAATCTTTGCTGTTCTGCAGCCTCTGCTGGTGATACTCAGGCAAACAGAGTCTGAAATGGACATCCAGTACACTCCAGCAGACCTGCAGAAGAAGAGCCTGACTGTTGGAAAGAAAACTAACAAACAGAAAGCAATAGCATTGACATCAACAAAAAGGACAACCACATATAAACTCCATTGAAAGGTCACCAGTAACTAAGACCAAAGTTAAATAAATCCAATAAGATGAGGGAAAAACAGTGCAAGAAGGCTGAAAATTCCAAAAACCAGAATTCCTCCTCTCCTCCAAAGTGTCGCAACTCCTCACCAATGAGGGAACAAAACTGGATGGAGAATAATTTGATGCATTGACAGAAGTAGAGTTCAGAAGGTGGGTAAAAACAAACTCCTCTGAGATAAAAGAGCATGTTCTAACCCAATGCAAAGAAGCAAAGAACCTTGATAAAAGGTTAGAGGAATTGCTAACTAGATTAATCAGTTGAAAGAAGGACATAAATGACCTGATGGAGCTGGAAAACACAGCAAGAGAACTTCATACAACATACACAAGTATCAATACCTGAATCAATCAAGCAGAAGAAAGGATATCAGAGATTGAAGATCAACTTAATGAAATAGTGTGAAGACAAGATTGGAGAAAAAAGAATGAAAAGAACTAACAAAGCCTCCAAGAAATATGGGACTATGTAAAAAGACCAAACGTATGTGTGATTGGTGTACATGAAAGTGATAAGGAGAATGGAACCAAGTTGGAAAATACTTCAGGATGTTATCCAGAACTTCCCCAACCTAGCATAATAGGCCAACATCATATTCAGGAAATTGCATCAACTAATGGGCAAAATAACCAGCTAGCATCATAATGACAGGATTAAATTCACATATAACAATATGAAATTTAAATGTAAATAGGCTATATGCCCCAATTAAAAGGCACAGACTGGCAAATTGGATAAAGTGTCAAGAACCATATATGTGCTATATTCAGGAGATCCATCTCATGGACAAAGACACACATAGGCTCAAAATAAATGAATGGAGGAAAACTTACCAAGCAGATTGAAAGAAAAAAAAAATCAGGGTTGCAATCCTAGTTTCCAATAAAACAGATTTTAAAACAACAAAGATCAAAAAAGAAAAAGAAGGTCATTACATAATGGTAAAGAGGTCAATTCAACAAGCAGAGCTAACTATCTTAAATATATGGGCACCCAATACAGGAGCATTCAGATTCATGAAGCAAGTACTTAGAGACCTGCAAAGAGACTTAGAGTCCCACATAATAATAGTGGAAGACTTTAACACCCCACTGTCGATATTAGACAGATCAATGAGACAGAAAATTACAAGAATATTCAGTATTTGAACTCAACTGTGGACCAAGTGGACCTAATAGACATCTACATAACTCTCCACCCCAAATCAACAGAATATACATTCTTTTCAGGACCACATACCACTTATTCTAAAATCAACCACATAATTGGAAGTAAAACATTCCTTAGCAAATGCAAAAGAACAGAAATAATAACAGCCTCTCAGACCACAGTGCATCAAATTAGAACTCAGGATTAAGAAACTCACTCAAAACTGCCCAACTATGTGGAAACTGAACAACCTGCCCCTGAATGACTATTGGGTAAATATTGAAATTAAGGCAGAAATAAGTAAGTTCTTTGAAACAAATGAGAAAAAAGTCACAATGTACCAGAATCTCTGGGAGACAGATAAAGCATTGTTTAGAGGTTAACTTATAGCACTGAATGTTCACAAGAGAAAGCAGGAAAGATCTAAAATCAGCACCCTAACATCACAACTAAAAGAACTAGAGAAGCGAGAGCAAACAAACTCAAAAGCTAGCAGGCGACAAGCAATGACTAAGATCAAAGAAGAAATGAAGGAAATGGAGACATGAAAAACCCTTCAAAAAATCAATGAATCCAGACTGGTTTTTTGAAAAGATTAACAAAACAGATAGACCACTAGCCAGACTAACAAAGAAGAATAAAAGTAAGAATAACCAAACAGACACAATAAAAAATGTTAAAGGGATATCACTGCTGATCTCACAAGAATACAAACTACCATCAGAGAATAGTATAAACACCTCTATGTAAATAAACTAGAAAATCTAGAAGAAATGGATAAATTCCCATGAGTAGACTAGGAAGAAGCCAAATCCCTGAATAGACCAATAACAAGTTCGGCAATTGAGGCAGTAATTAATAGTCTACAAACCAAAAAAAGTACAGGACCAGACAGATTCACAGCCAAATTCCAACCGAGGTAACAAGCGGAGCTGGTACCATTCCTTCTGAAAGTATTTCAAATAATATAAAAAGAGGGACTCCTCCCTAACTCATTTTATGAGGCCAGCATCATTCTGATAACAAAACCTGTCAGAGACACAACAAAAACAAAATTCCAGGCAAATATCCTTGATGAACATTGAAGCAAATATCCTCAATAAAATACTGGCAAACCGAATCCAAGAGCAATTTAAAAAACATATGGACCACGAGCAAGTGAGCTTATCCCTGGGATGGAAGGCTGGTCCAACATATGCAAATCAATAAATGTAATCCATCACATAAACAAATCCAATGGCAAAGACCACGTGATTATCTCAAAAGAGGCAGAAAAGGCCTTCAATAAAATTTAACAAACTTTCATGCTAAAAGCACTCAATAAGTTAGGTATTGATGGAACATTTGTTAAACTAATAAGAGCTATTTATGAAAAACCCACAGGCAATATCATAGTAAATGGACAAAAGCTGGAAGCATTCCTTTTGAAAACTGACATAAGACAAGGATGCCCTCTCTCACCACTCCTATTCAACATAGTATTGGAAGTTCTGGCCAGGGCAATCAGGCAAGAGAAATAAATAAAGGTATTCAAATAGGAAGAGAGGAAATCAAATTGTCTCTGTTCGCAGATGACATAATCGGATATTTAGAAAACCCCATCGTCTCAGCCCAAAATCTTCTTTAGCTGATAAGCAATGTCAGCGAAGTCTCACGATACAAAATCAATGTGCAAAAATCACAAGCATTCCTATACACATATATTAGACAAACAGAGAGCCAAATCATGAGTGAACTCCCATTCACAATAGCTACAAAGAGAATAAAATGCCTAGGAATACAACTTACAAGGGATGTGAAGGACCTCTTCAAGGAGAACTACAAACCACTGTTTGAGGAAATAACAGAGGACACAAACAAATGGAAAAACATGTCACACTCATGGATAGGAAGAATTAATATTGTGAAAATGGCCATACTGCCCAAAGTAATTTACAGACTCAATGCTATCCCCATCAAGCTACCATTGAATTTCTTCACAGAATTAGAAAAAAGCTACTTTAAATTTCCTATGGAACCAGCAAAGTTCCTGTGTAGCCAAGATGGTCCTAAACGAAAAGAACAAAGCTGGAGGCATCATGCTACCTGACTTCATGCTATGCTATTGGGCTACAGTAACCAATACAGCATGGTTGTGGTACCAAAACAGATATATAGACCAACGGGATAGAAAAGAGGCCTCAGAAATAACACCACACGTCTACAGCCATCTGTCTTTGACAGACCTGACAAAAAACCAAGCAATGGGAAAAGGATTCGCTATTTAACAAATGGTGTTGGAAAAACTGTCTAGTCATCCCCTGGACCCCTGCCCTACACCTTATACAAAAATTAACTCAAGATGGATTAAAAATTTAAATGTAAGTCCTAAAACCATAAAAACCCTAGAAGAAAACCTAGGCTATACCATTCAGGACATAGGCATGGGCAAAGACTTCATAACTAAAACACCAAAAGCAATGCCAACAAAAGCCAGAATTGACAAATGTTATACAATTAAATTAAAGAGCTTCTGCACAGCAAAATAAAATATCATCATGGATAACAGGAAATCTTCAGAATGGGAGAAAATTTTTCAATCTATCCATCTGACAAAGGGCTAACATCGAGAATCTACAAAGAACTTAAACAACCTTACAGGAATAAAACAAACAACCCATCAAAACGTGAGTGAAGGATATGAACAGACACTTCTCAAAAGAAGACATTTATGTGACCAACAAACATATGAAAAAAGAAGCTCATAATCACTGGTCATTAGAGAAATGCAAATCAAAACCACAATGAGATATCATCTCACACCAGTTAGAATGGTGATCATTAAAAAGTCTGGAAACAACTGATGCTGGAGAAAATGTAGAGAAATAAGAACACTTTTACATGGTTGGTGGGAGTGTCAATTAGTTCAATCATTGTGAAGACTATGTGGTGATTCCTCAAGGATCTAGAAGCATTTAACCAGCAATCCCATTACTGCATATATACCAGAAGAGTTAAAAATCATTTTACTTTAAAGACAGGTGCACACATATGTTTATTGCAGAACTGTTCCCAATAGCAAAGACTTGGAACCAACCCAAATGCCCATCAATGTTAGACTGGATAAAGAAAATGTGGCACATGTATAATAAGGAATACTATGCAGCCACAAAAAGAATGAGTTCATGTCTTTTCCATCATCATGGATGAAGCTGGAAACCATCATTTTCAGCAAACTTACACAGGAACAGCAAACCAAACACTGCATGTTCTCACTCATAAGTAGGAGTTGAACAATGAGAACATATGGCCACAAAGAGAGGAACATCACACACTGTGACCTGTGAGGGGGTGGGGAGAGAGATAGGGGATAGCATTAGGAGAAATACCTAGTGTAGATGACGGGTTGATGGGTGCAGCAAGCCAGCATGGCACATGTTTACCTACGCAACAAACCTGCATATTCTGCACATGTATCCCAGAACTTACAATATAATTTTTAAAAAGTGTAGAAAAAACACTTTAAATTGTAAATATTTTCGGCTTTGCAGGCCATCTGGTTGTCTTATAGCTATGTAACTCTGCTGCTGTGGCTTGAAAGCAGCTGTAGATAATATCTCAACAAATGGGCACATCTGTGTTCCAATAAAGCTTTATTTACACAAAGCAGGTGTCTGTTGGTATGTAGGTAAAAATTCTGTCACTATGTTTTTCCTCTACTTTCATACGACAACAATCATCAGCACAGAAGAAGACTTCTGTGACCAAATGTGTAGGGTTTTTACCCACACAAAACAGTGTACACCATCTGGTTGTCCTCTAATTCAGTTCCAACAGTCTCTACACACAGATAGCATGAAATCCTGCAAGTTAAGGACTCAGTCCCACAGACCACACTCTTCTTTCCCCCAGTCACAAGTACAGGCCTCTGCAACTTCTGACCAAGCAACTTCTAGTTGGGGTTCCCACAATCTCCTCTTTGGGTTTGATTAATTTGCTAGGTGGCTCACATAACTCAGGAAAACCCTTACATTTAGTGGTTTATTAGGAATGATATTTTAAAGTGTACAGATAAACAGCCAGATGAAGACACATAGGGCAAAGTCTGGGGAAGTTACTCAAGCGAAGAGTTCTGTCCCCGAGGAGTTGGGGTGTGACACTGTCCCAATGCTGGATAAGCTTTTCATCCCGCTTCTGTTGAACTACATTTGTTCAGCTCTACAGGGGCCCTCTGAACCCTGTCCTTTGGATTTTTAAGGAGGCTTCAGGACATAGGATGATTAACTAGACCATTAGGCATTGGTGATCAACTTAATCTTTGTCCCATCTTCCCTCTCTGGAGGTAGGGCATGCAGCTAAAAGTCCCTACCCTCTAATCCTGCCTTGGTCTTTTTGGTGACCAGTGCTACTCTGAACCTATCAGACAAAAGACACATAAAAGACAGCACTTAGGAGATCCCAAGGGCTTTAGGAGTTATAAGCCAGAAACTGTGCATGAAAACCAATATGTATAAAATATGTATAAATGCCCTAACACCATAGCCAGATTTGCCCTGGGATGTAGATTGTAGACTCCTGGTTTATAGCATCTAATATTGTTTGGCCAAAAATATCATAGTTCACCAGGGGACACTGCCATCTAACATTTTATGTCCTTCTCTCCCCTTAAGTCTCCTTAATTTTAACACTCATGTTTATAAAGTAACATTTTCCTACTTTACCAATCATATTATTTACTTTTTTCACTTATATTTTTTGCTTAGGATAAAGGAAAACCCTATATTTCTTATTTACACAGTTTCCAAAGTCACATGGAAAATGAACCATAGTTGTCCACAACTTTAAGAACTGGAAATAGTCTAGAAATAATTATCAAATTTATTCTACCTTCCAGGTGTTTATTATCTATCCATGTTGGATTTGGAAGCTTTAAAGTATTTAGGAAAGCATTGTCATTAAAAGATGAAGTTATTATCAGAAGGCTGTCACAATAAGCTTCTCAAATATTGAAGAAGAAAGTCTATAATTTCTGAGAGCCAACACAATGAACAGTTTGCTGAGACTTCATCCTTTGAAATGTGGTGGCTTATTTCTTAAATCATGCCTGTGCTGTTACGATCGAGTGAAAATAAAAGTGGGATGTCTAGATCCCAACTTGTACCTGCTATAAAATTTACAGTATTATTTTTTTGTGTCTAATTTTCTGACAAGGTCTAAGGATGTGTCCATCTGAAGAAGTTTAAACATTAGCTGCTTCTATGTGGTGAGGCAAAACACCAGCACACAGCTACCAACTTCCAGCTCAATATTATTACTAACGAAATGCTGCTAATAGTTATAAGATACACACAGAGATGATTATAGAGTCCTCCCCACAGGACAAGAACATGCTATTGTGAATAGTGCTGTGTAATGAACAAATTGTGAATAAACAACGTACTGTGAATATGCTCATGGCAGCTGTGTTCACAATAACAAAGATGTGGGTTCAACCCTAATGCCCATCAATGATAGATTGGATTAAAAGAAATGGTACATATATACCATGGAATTCTATGCAGCCATAAAAAGGAATAAGATTATGTCCTTTGCAGGGACATGGATGGAGTTGAAAGCTGTTATCCTCAGCAAACTAATGCAGGAACAGAAAACCAAATACCGCATGTTCTCATTTATAAGTGGGAGCTGAATGATGAGACCACATGGAGGGGAACATTGTATACTGGGGTCTGTCAGAAGGTGGAGGACAGGGGAAGGGAGAGCATGGGGAATAACTAATGGATGCTGGGGTTAATACCTAGGCAATGGGATGATATGTGAAGCAAACCACCACTGCACACATTTACCTGAGTAACAAACATGTACATGTACCCCTGAACTTAAAAGGTGGAAATTAAAAACAACAACAACAACAACAACAACACAACAACAGGATAAGATTTGCTAATATCTTCTATCTGTGACTCCTCACAGTAAACCTAGATGCCTATTGTGTGACAGATGAAATGGAGATTTAGGACAGTCAGTAATTTGTGTTACTTTTAAGGGAGAGCCAGAATCCAAATATTTGTATAAATGATGTAGGTTTTGGGCTACAAATGGACCAATCTATCACCTGCGATTCCTTGATAAGGATAGTGCCCAGGAATGAAATGAGGAGCTGCTGGTGTATGACACAGGATATGGTGAGACTCTGCGGTGAGTGAGGTATGCTCTAGAAGCCTTGTGAGGACTCTGTTGCAAGCAGTGACAACTGCTCTGAGAATCTGTGACTATCCTGAGGTTGACCTGATAGGGCCAGGAGATTGCATCCCTTCTTAGGAAACAATCTGGTAGCCATTCATAATCCATTTATCTTGATGATATACTGATTGTTGTGTCTAATTGAGGAAGAAAATGGAATAAAAATGAATAAGAAAAGCCTGGGTTGAAAAGTTATTGGCAAGCTAATTTGAATGGAGTATAATTAAAAATATGTAAGGAAGTTCCCCTATAAGACAAGAGCATGCTATTGTAAATAGTGCTGCATAATGAATATATTGTAAATAAGGCATATATTGTATTTCTGTCTCATTGCTGCAGGGGTTCCTGAAATCAGTCTTCTTTAATCCTAGATATCGAAACTCCCTGTACTCATGGTGGGCAACCCCACACTCTATGCCGGTTTTGTGTTTCACTATGTAGATGCAGCTGATGTTTAAAGTTCTACAGTTGCAGATATCCCTAGATCTTGTTGGAAAATTCAGCACAAAAACCTAATATTGTAACTTTCATAGCACCTACAAGGTGGGGTCTAGACCTACTAGGGACCTTACAGAGGCAGGTTCTTATTACCATGGTTTCTCCTGGTGTGGTCTTTTCTTTTTTAATTTTAGAGACAGTGTCTCACTCAGAGTTCAGTAGTGTAATTATACATCATGGCAACCTTGAACTCCTTGGCTCAAGTAATCCTCCCACCTCAGCCCCCTGAGAAGCTGGGATTAAAGGTGCTTGCCACCTTGAAGAGAGGGGGACTTGCTACGTTGGCCAGGCTGGCCTCAAAGTCTTGGGCTCAAATGATCCTCCCACCTCAGCCTCTTGAGTAGCTGGAACTTAAGTTGCCTGCCAGCTTGTAGATACTAAGTCTGGCTATGTTGCTCATGGTGGCCTTGAACTCTGTGTTTAAGTCATCCTCCCACTTCAGCTCCCTGTGTAGCTGGAACTGAAGGTGCCTGCCACCCTGCAGAGAGGGGGTCTCCCTACGTTACTCAGGCTGGCCTCAAACTTTTGGGCTCAAGTGATCCTCCAACCTTATATGAGTAGCTGGAAATGAAAGTACATGCCACCTTGTGGAGAAGGGATCTTTCTATGTCACACAGGCTGGGCTCAAACTCTTAGGCTCAAGTGATCACCCCACCTTAGCGTTCTGCATAGCTGGAACTAAAAGCACCATGCCACCTTATAGAGATGTTGCCTATGTTGCCGAGGCTGGCTTCAGACTCCTGGGCTCAAGCAATCCTTTCACCTCAGCCTCCTGAGTAGCTGGAACTAAAGGTGCTTGCCACATTTTAAAGATGGGGTCTTGTTACCCAGGCTAGCCTTGAAATCTTGGGCCCAAGTGATCCTCCTTTTCAGCCTCCCAAAGCACAGGGAATACAGGGGTGAGCCACTCCCTGGCCATGTTCTTTATTTAATATCTAATTCAAGGCTATCCTTTCAGGAACCTTTTGGGCTGTCTTCTAAGACTGGACCTCAGTGCTGATTCTGTGTGGTTCTCAGCTCCCTTTCTCTCTGCAGACCCCTCCCCTTTGACTCTTTCATGATAAACCCCCTGCTTCAACAATAGGAAGAGGGTGGAAATCAGTTTGTCTTGTTGTCCACAGCAAAGTGCTGTGATTGCTATTATGAATCAAGACTACACCCTGGAATGTTTTTTGTCCTTTGAAGGTAATGAACATTCCCTGTACACATCACACACAAAAAAAATCCATAGAATGTATAATTGTTAATCACAATTATTGTGGTATATAATCACAATTGTTATGATATTATCACTCTTAGCACTGAGTGAAGTCCTCCAAATGATAATAGCAGCCATGATAACACTTATTATGCTGTTGATGCATGCCAGATATTTAATCTTCAAGGCAACATTATGAGGTGAGTATAACGAGTAGCTCTACTTCATATAAATGGAGAATTGGGACCTCTGTACTAAGTATGGAAAGCTGAGCAACAGAAATGTTAAGTTGTCAGCCAAGTGCAGTGGTGGCTCATGCATGTAATCTCAGAGATTCAGGAGGATGAAGCAGGAGGATCATTTGAGTACAGGAGTTGGAGACCAACCTGGAAACATAGCAATACCCCATTTCTACAAAAATAAAGAAAATAATTAGATGGACATGGTGGTGCATGTCTCTAGTCCTAGCTACTCAAAAGGCTGAGGCAGAAGGATGGCTTGAGCCCAGGAGGTCAAGGCTACAGTGAGCCATGATTGCACCACTGCACTCCAGACTGGATGACACAGTGAGATCCTCATCTCCGAAAATTTTTTTTAAAAAATGAAATGTTGAGTTATTGAGTCAAAAGTCCAAGGGCTAAGCCATAACACAACTCTGCTGTTTAGCTAATTTTAATTAAATTAAATAAATTAATATTGAACCATGTTTGTCTGGTGCAGGTACAGGGAGCATGAGTAACATCCATCTTGCATCGAATTCACTTTCTGATACTTCACTTACTGCTGTATGAACTTGGACAAGAACGTAACCATTCTGTACCTCTGTTTCTCTATCTGGAAGGTGGGAATGAAGTAACAATGTGCAACTCTAAGGGCAGGCATGAGTTAATTTATTAAATACTTATAAGAATCATGATATACATTCACTCCTCATAAACAAAGAAGTTAGCTAAGGTTTGCAAATGCAAGGTCTTGATAAGACTGCAAGAGATTGGGAACTGACATGGTTGGCAAGACCTCATTTGATTATCAAAGTCTTTGGAAAAGAATTTTGGGGGCTTTTCTGACGACCCGTGTAAGAGGCAGACTTACATGAACTGTCCCTCACCTTGGGCCCAAAAATATCAAGATCCTGATGTCAACCTGAATATTAGCACAGATTATTAGGTCATTGAATAAATTCTTGAAAGCAAGGCTCTAAAAATAAAATGAAATGGAAACTCATGTTTTAAATATTGATGATTCTGGCACCTCTGCAGGCCTTTGACATAGATGTTGCTGCTGTAGGCTGAATTAATTAATTAATTTGCATCAGGCCTCCAAAACTCAATGTGCTTCTTTCTAAACTAAAGTGCATATTCATAAACAAGTCTGTAAGACAGATGGCAAAGTAGAACATCCCACCCCACCTCAGTTTCCATCAATTCAGTGGCTTCAGTTTCAAAACACTTACGGAATCTTTTTGTGCTCTGGCATTTTCAATGCATAATGGAAAGACATTTAGGGAAATTTATTTGTCACTGGGAGACTTCTAAAAGTCAATACAAAATATCCCTTTAAGCTATTGGCATTACAGTATAGGCATATGTGGCTTATGGTGGTGCAGAAATCTCTTTCCAACATTGTTGTAGAAAAAATTTGTGGAATTTTTTTGAGTCAAGGTCTTTTTTTAGTGGTTATCACTGATGAGAGTGCAGATTTTTCATTTTATACTTTAATCTTTCTATTGGTAATTAAGTTGTCACTATGTTAACTGTTCGTGGGTAAAGATGGAAAAGCCAAAATCTTGGAGACAAAGATCAGTGCTCATGTTTACCAAGTATTTGGAGGAGAGAGAAATAGGGTAGAGCTCAGAAGAATTTTAGGGCAGTGTAGCCACTTTGTATGATACTGAAGTAGTCATTATATATTTGTCCAAACCCACAGGATGTAAACACAGAGTGAACCCTAATGTGAACTATGGACTTTGGGGGATAATGATGTGTCCTTGTAGGTTCACTGACAACAAATGCACCACTCTGGTGGAAGACGTTGGTAGTGGAGGAGACTGTTTGTGGAGGGGTAGGGGGTAGATGTGAACTCTCTGTATCTTCTTCTCAATTTTCCTATGAACTGATATTAAGAAAATAAAGTCTATTAAAATTATATAAAACTCAAACATCAGTGTCTACAAATAAAATTTTGTTGCAACACAGCCACATCCATTTCTGCAAAGACAGAAATTTGTAGTACTTGGTCCTTCATAGAGAAAATTTGGTGATTTCTTCTGGTGATCCCCTGGGTTATCCTATAATTCTGAGAAAGACATCAACATGATCAAAGCAAGAGTAGTCAGTTTAGCTTTTCTGCATTATTCAGAGAGCTTTTTGAGCTGGATCTTGAAGAATCCAGCTCTAAATTAAGGAAGGAAGCCAATAGTGCCTGGTTGAGGTTTTCAGGATCTTTCTGTTGTCTTCCCTCATTGTTATTATATTCTGTAGCATTTACTAGGACCAACACACATCCCAGAAGGCACCTTGGTCAATTACTTAAAAAAAGTAGACGTAGGACACTAATTTCTCATGTTGCCATTGAAAAGAGACAGCCTCACTTGCATAACTGAGTTTTTGACAATGTAATTTGTTTGTTTTAATTAATGTCCAGTATAGAATTTTCACTGTTGTTCCCCATAATGGCATAAATATATAAAGTCAATATATAATGTCAATTGCCCAAAAAGACACTTTTTCAAATACATTGCCTAATGCCAAATTACTCATATAAGGATAAGATTTCAGCCTTATGATTTTGTAATGTGTCAACCTGCCTAGACTAAATTACTTTTCCTAGAATCCTCCCACCTGTGTGTTTCTATCTTCTGTGTCCCACAAAAGCCATTTTTATCCTGGTTTTATGATGAAGCAGGGACCCCCTCTTAAAGGCCTTATCAAAGTCAAGAAAAATCTCGAGTTCCTTCAAGGGAAATTCCAGGTAGTTGGCTAGCCTTGAAAAGTAATTAAGCAGCTTGATATCCAAGAAGGTAATGGTACTTTAACAACAAAGGAAGCTAGAGCCAGGAGATACTAGGTTACCTATAGGAACTAAAGATAATATCTTAACATAAGTCCTTGAGTTGTTTTTCAGAAACCCAGAACCCCAGAAAATGCATTCACTGGCATGCAGACCTCAGTTAAGGGGCAACCACTTAACTGGTTAAGAATGTAACCACCATTCTTTATTTTAAATGTCTTTCTGAGGGGGCTGGAGGAAGTCATGTCCATGAGCCAGAGCTATCTTTCTTTTCTGCCCAACCCAATTTTTAAACAAAGCTTCTTTTCCTTAGCCAAGAGGCAATCTTTGAATCAGCCTGTGAGTCCCCTGCTTCAGGATATCCTGCCTTTTAGGGCAAAAACAATGTGTAACGTTCTTGAATTGATTTAAAATTGTACTTGTAGCTTCTGCTTTCCTGAAATTTTCCCCTGCATTTACAAATCCTTACCTGTAAGCCGCTGGCAGGTGGGGTCTTGGGCATGAATCACCCAATTTTCCTTGCTTGGTGCTTGCAAATAAATGCTTGACTTCCTCTCGCTGCCATCCTAATGTTAGTGTTTGGCTTGCTGTGCCAGGCAAGCAGACCGCCATTCAGTTCTGTAACAATATTAGAGCAAAAGTGAAACTGCAGCCATGTTGCTTTTTGAAGTCAAGATTGGGGAAACAAATGAGAGCTGTGGTAGCTCATGCATGTTGGCTCTTACCTGTGGTCTCACCTCCTTTGCATAGGAGTAGCCATGGGACATGAAGCTGCTCTAACTTTTTGTGGACACTTTTTCAGGTGTGCATTCAGCTCTACGGAAAACGGGGCAAGCTTTTCCTGCAAGATGTCCTGGCATTCAAGTTGACGGCAGAGAAATACAGACATGGATCATAGATAGCCCTGTTTCTAGATCATGCCTGTGGCTCCAAGCTCATTCTCATTCTCCAATTTTATAGGCAGTTTCCACTTCAGGAATCAAGGATTTCCCTTGTGAAAGGAAAATAAAAACTTGGTACCCCAATTTGCTATGCCAAAAAAAATTAAGCTAAAAGCTGAGTCACGCAAGAAGTGGCCTTTTCCTTTGCTCCTAAGAAGATAGCTATGGATAAAAGCCACAGGTGTCTGCTCTGTGTTCACCAGATCTTACGTAAAGTGCCCATTTACTGAGTCCAAGAGGAATACACAGTTACCTGCTCATTTTCCCTTGCAAACCCCAGACTAATGTGACCATACCCTCCCTCCTGTCTCTCCAGCCCACATTTCTCCTTTAAATATTGAAGCCCTTCAAATCATCTTTGGAGAAAGGCACAGACCACAGACAGTTTCTGTGATTCGTGTTGATCTCTTCTGGACATTTCCTTCATCTTGGCAAAATAAACTTCTGAGTTGATTGAGACCTGTGTCAGATACTTTTTGGTTTATACCCACAAGGAGAATCCAGCCTGCCTCATTGCCCAACTGCACTGGGAGTTGCTTGTGGTCTTTTGTGAGCTGATTGGTCATGTTAATCACTTTCTTCTTAGTTGGAAGATAGAGTTAAGAGCTCAGTGATGTGGTTTTTATATTGTTTCCTGTCCTTCCATGCAGGTGGGTCACCACCACTTCCCTATATGGACAATAACCTCCTCAAAACAGGAACATCACAGTCTACTTTCATGTCCTTATTCCTTTTCTGATGCCCTGAAATATATAAATGCAGGGTAGCATGGTTACTCAAGGTGCAAACACATGCTTCCTTTTGAGTCAGGTGAACTAACACTTGAACAATCAAAAGCAATGGTCACCATGACATACAGAGTAGTGCAAACAGACTCACTCAAAATGCAGTATGTGGATGGCAGGCAGGGCTTTAAATTGCATATCTCATGTACTTGATTGCAAATGAGGAAAACTGTAATAGCCAAAGCTATCTATCATACAGGTTCTGGTACTAAACACCTAAGCACTCATTGTGTTGTGTCAAGTAAAAACACATCTAGATGTAGGGAAGGAAAACTTTATTCAAAATGATTATTGCAATAAAGAGGGACACTATTCTAATAATGGGAAGGGGAGTATTGGTATGCAGCATTACACAGAGAGTAAGATCTTCAAGCATGTCAAAGGTTAGGCAGAAAGGAGTTTAGAGACAAACTACTAGAAAGGACCAGACATGGGCGAGTGGGTGGTGGCATAATTGGACTAGACAATATCTTCCTTGTGGTAATGTCAGTTAATTCTCTGGAAAGGCCCTTAAGAAGGGTCTATGCCCTGGCTCCAACTGAGATTGGGTCAAAGTTCAGGATTCTCTGAGTGATGCAAAGAAGCTTACATGAACTAGGTCCAGTCCTGTGAATAAGCATTGCAATCCAATGCATCTGTGGAGCCACAGTTTAGCTAAACTTTTATGAGACAAAAAATAGGAATTAAAAGATTGATGTGTGTCTTTGTTGAAAGTGACAATAAAAGTGGAAGGACATCCATGAATCTTCTCTAAGGCATAAGAGAATGGTGTTTTTTGCAGTAACTGCTTTCTCAGAACACACAAAACAGGTAGAGGGGGTATTTCTTTACTGTTACTGTTTTCCTGGAGCACAAGTAAAATTTAACATTGTCAATTGCATTCATTAATTCTGGTTCCTTCAATAGCCTTCTAAGTCAGGGCTACCCATGTTTAACATGTATTGTTGTGTGTACACACACACACACAAAATCACACACACAGAGGTAGCGGAAGAGAGAGAAAGAGCGAGGGAGAGCTCATATTTACACTGTGCACTGGAATACATGAGTGACGTTATTGAGCCAAGTCTCTCTACACTGGTGTACGATTAGGAAGATGTCCTCTAAAATAGGTACTATTATACCCATTTTTCAGAAGTTCAGAATGAATCTCAAAGTGGTCATATGAACTTCTCTAAGGAAGATCTACATTTTTAACTTTTCTAACTTTCCTACTTAATAGAAAGACAAGTGTCAAATTTTACTGGCACTGGATTCCAGGCTTTCTGTCTTCTATATTTTTACCCAAAATAACCACAATAAAAAGAATGGTTCTTAGTTTCTGAGGCGGTGTGCTTCATGGATGTCAAAGCAAAAAAACTTGAGGACAAGAAGACAGAAATCTAGAAAAGTAGGATGAGCATTCACTCCCATCATCTCGATGTAAAACTGCAACCTGTCATGTTTTCCCTAACAGAAGGTAGAGATTCAGTTGTGGGTGTTGGCTGGAGTAAGACATAAAAAACTTGAGACGCAAAGGGAGCTTTATGTTTGAGGCAAGGTTGCAAAATATCAAATAAAAGTCAAAATGACATCCTTCCATTTTCTCTCAGGTTGCTGTTTTTGGCATTTTTCTGCAATCACAGTATGATGAGAAGGAAGGTACGTCTGTATCAAACTCCACGCATAAGTAAAAGTAATTGCCCCTGTGATAGATCAGCCTGATAGGGAAGATTCATTTCATAAGCAAACAAAAACCTGAGAAAGTTCTGCATGCCGACTGGCAATAAAAATTTTTAAAAAGGGCTAACAAGCACTGTTTCCCATGCCTTCCCCTTTCTGTCTTACCTGTCATTAAAATGCATCCAACTGAGATGTCAAATACTTTGCAGAATCTCCTCATCCACAAAGCAAGACCAACACTTAAACCAAATTACAAAGGTTTCTAGATGGTCTGATTTAGAAAGAATATATTGAACCACAAATAATGGATTCATGGATTTTCCACGCTTGTCAGGAATATCAATAATTATGGTTTAATTCTGCAATGGGAATTACTTATGGGTGCCAGCTAATCAGGGCCAGAGGAGCTGGTCCTGACTGGCTTTTTCTTGTGTGTGCTCGGATGTGGCCAAATATCTTTCTAGATGACAAATGGGTCATGCCAGGGGGTGTAAACTGTACAGGTTTTAAATGTGCCATGCTATGTTGGCTGTTGTTAAGAAAAGCTTCAGAAGGGGCAGGCTGAATTATCCTGCATCTTTGTCCTGGGAAGCTAAAGGTCAGATCACTCTGTGGTCATGGGCTGGCAGTGAAATGAAGGAGGAGGAGTTTGCTTCTGGGACATTGACAGAAAAAATGACTTTAATCTGATATTCATAAACCATAGCAACTGGCAGTTGAAAAAAATGATTTAGTAACAGATACCAACATGGTAGAAGTGAACAAAAAGGAACACCCCAAGGTGGACACGTTACAAAAGCAAGGGTGAAACTGGTTTACCGAAACTCTTTGTATCCTTACTTCTAGGATGTGATTGTATCTTTTCCAAAGCAGTGGCATCTTTTAGAACAAAATATGAGGAGGTATTTATTGTGGTTGGCTGTGAGGGAAATGCAAAGAACATCTCTGAAGCAGATGTTTTCTATTTAAAAAAATACATTATTGCCTCGGCAAAATTCCTCTTTTCCTTTCCTAAGACTAGGCGAAATTCATATTTTATGTGACTGCTCTCCCAAATGGGATGATGTTGTCAGCTATGAGTTACCGAAGATGCCTCTTTTGTCTCCTTCCCAGAATACACAAAGCAAAGGTCTAAATGTGATTTTTGGTGAATATGTACTTTTTTTTGTTGTTGTTTTCAAATGAAAGATGCCAAGTGGGGAAAATGAATGTCTTAATCCTATATTCCCCTCCTGGAGAATCTGTGCCACAGGGAAATGGAAATGACAGTGGAGCTCAGTGATCATGTGGTTCAGCTCTCTGCCTCTTCCTCTACCAACCACCTTCCCTTGCTCTTCCATCAATCTCCACTTTCCTACTTTTGTGCTGTTGTTCCTCTCCCTTCAGGTTCTCCCAGAGGTGCACACCCTCATTTATTTATTCAGCAGGCACACAAACAGATTACCTTGAGTTTGCAGCAAAGCAATTATATTCTTAATCAAGTCAAGTTGAATGAACTCAGGAAATAGATTACATAGTTTTTTGTTAAGAGTGAGCATCTCTTTGAAAAAGACCATAATATGTCTCCAGTTGTGTATGACCAGTGGGTCTTGGGATGACTCAAACTCATTTAGCTGTTTTCTAAAAGTCACAGACAATGCTTTTCCAAATAATTCAAATTATTGGGGTAAAAAAAACTTTTCTCTTCTAAGATATTTAAATTGCTTTAAATTTTATTTTAAAATTATACTTTAAGTTCTGTGGTACCTGCACAGAACAGGCAGGTTTGTTACATAGGTATACATAAGCCATGGTGGCTTGCTGCATCCATTGACTCATCACCTACATTAGGTATTTCTCCTAGGCATCCATAAAAATGTATGAGTTTATGTCATTGGCAGGGACATGGATAAAGCTGGAAACCATCATTCTCAGCAAAGTAACACAAGAACAGAAAACCAGACACAGCATGTTCTCACTCATAAGTGGGAGTAGAAAAATGAGAACACTATCTCTCCCCTAGCCCCAAACCCACCAACAGGCTCCAGTGTGTGATGATCCCCTCCCTGTGTCCAAGTGTTCTCATTATTGACTCCAGGATATAAAGGTTATTTCTTTTTGGAAAGATACTTGGAGATTTAAGTAACTCATCCAGTAATTTTTAACATTGTTCATTTCCAACATTGAAATCAATTTTTCACCCTTTGAATAACTTGGACTAAGTTTCCCCTCATGATGTTTTTCAATGAGCCCTTTACATTGAAATAATGATTCACATACATCCTCTCTTCTAAAAGGAGGAATTTGGAGTTTATCTCCCCTTCACTTGAAGATTTGTAGGTTATCTGCATTAAAGATGAGTTATTCTAAATCATATCCAGGTAATTAATCAATTGCTATTAAACCACAGTAAATTGTGCTGTGCTGGGTTTTAATGGCAAACATTTTTCTACCAAAAAACAAATGCTGCCAGACCTACTCTAAAGGTCCCTGATGCAGTATCTCTTCATCAGCATGCAGAGCACTTATATTTTCAATATGATAATTAAAGGTAAAATGTTTTTTATTAATAGTACTGAGAATATTTTAGTCTTAATGCCACAGAGAGGGAATTAAGATAACACGAAAGATCCACCTCTAAGAGCACACACTGCTGAAAGAATAATACCTAATTTCTACATTGAACATTTGGATTGCTTTCTTTGGGGATTATGTTTTATTTACTGGTGAGGAAATGTCTCTTTAACTATATTTAAACTGATGTTGCATGAATATTTAAAATGATGGTTTCAACCAGAGAAAGATTTTCATTGTGGAATGAACAACAGAAGAAAATTCCACTCGACTTTCTCTGAAAGATTGCAAAGCTTTAAAACCATTCTCTTCAACATTGGTATTCACCACCTTACTTATTAAAATAAGTAGAGTGGGAATAAATAGCCTAGCACTGGTCCTTTATATCCTTGCATTAAAAATGAAATGAGATAAGCCCTTCAAGTATGTAAAGCAATAACCTAAAGGCTGAAATGTATTAGTATAATGGCCACAGTGATACCTTGCCTGTTTTTAGAATTTTATATACACTGAATCCTCAAAACCCCTCAGCAAATTGATTGTTATGGCAACTTTGCAAAGAAGGAAACTGAGGTGAGAGACATTAAATAATTGCCTGGAATTCAAATTAAATAAGGCAAGGAAATGGATTAGGAATCCAGGTGGGTCTACTGAGTGTGAGTTTGTAATGATACACCCAATCATAGAGGAATTCTCTCTTCTTCAGGAGGAAGAAAATTCATACCCACTAATCCACAGGATCAGTGGATCAGGGACTTAGTAAAAATAATTGTAAAAACATTTATTAAGCACTTGCATATAAAAACACAGAGTACCATGAGAAGAAAATTGTACAGAGCTAGGCAAGGCAGGACTCCTTTCAAAAGCAAATAATACATGGGAGAGAAACAAACTCTAATAATTATAGAAAAAACTTTTTGTTAATAAGAAAAAAAATTTAATCAGGATACTACATACTCTAAGGATGAGTTTTAATTTTTAATTTAATTGTTTTTATTTTATTTATTTTTTATTTTATTTTATTTTATTTATTTGTTTTATTTTATTTTTGGAGGTGAGGTCTCACTTTCATTCAGGCTGAATTACAGTGGTGCAATCACAACTCACTGCACTGTCCATCTCCTGGGCTCAGTCAGTCTTCCCACCTTAACCTCCAGAGTATTTGGGACTAAAGGTGGGTGCCACCATAACTATTTTTAGAACTTTTTGTAGAGATGGGGTCTTGCTGTGTTGCTCAGGCTGCCTCAAGTCATCCTCCCACCTTGGCCTTCTAAAATACCGAGATTACAGATATGAGTCACCATGCTCAGCCTTCTAAGTATGACTTTTAACTATTTTGTTTATTTGTTTGTTTTGCAAGAGAACATCATAATCCTGTCAACACAATGTTGTTTAAAATTTATACTCTTATTTCTTTAAATATAAAGTTTAATTTTTAAGGGCTCCTTAAATTCAGGTGTGACAAATCTTTGGTATTCCAACTTACAGCTACTGTTTCTGGTATAGGGTTGGGGTTTTTCCAAAAATAAATAAATAAAGTCCATATGTAAGACTGTCTAAAAATTGGTTAGTGTCTTTCTTTGGCATTTTTCTAAAATTTAGCATCACTGCCAATCAACTCTAGAAATGGCTATCTTAAGGTCTAAAACAACACTGCATAGAGATTCACAAGATGAGGGAGAAAATACAATCATATAACCACATTTTGGTGAATGACAGATCATATATACAATGGTGGTACTATAAGATTTTGGTATTGTATTTTAACTGTACTTTTGCTGTATTTAAATATGTTTGATCACAGAAATAATTTAATCCCATATTTTTTCCTGTACATATTCTTTGTTTAAAAATGATTCTAATACTGAATTTTTACGGTACTGTTTCATGTTTAAATATGCTTGAATACATAAACGCTGACCATTGTGTTACAATTGCCTGTAATATTCATTATGGTAACACACTGTACAGGTTGTAGCCAAGGAGCAATAGGCAACATCACACTGGTGCATCACAGGCTATGCTGCCTAGGCTTGTGTAAGCACAAGCTATGACATTTAAGCAATGAAATCACCTCATGACCCTTTCTCAGAATGTATCCCTCTAGTTAAGCAATGCGTGACAATCAGATTCCCTTTTAGCCTTTGACATTAAGGCATTTATACTCTAGTAGGCAAGCCAAATTTCACTGAAATAAAAGGGACCAATATAAGAAAGTATATTTTCAACTTCCAAGCGTCTTCTAAGTGATAATTTCTGGAGGGAACACAAGAAGGGAGTGAGTGATGAGAACTGTAGGTTTGGTTCCCATGCTATGGTTGGCACAATAATGCAGAAAATAAAATACAATTTCAAGATCCTCTAAATTTATGATGTCAAGGAGGGACTTAACCCCTGGAAAGTGAGTCATGTAGCATGCTTGCAATTCTGCTTCTTAGATAATAGCTTAACTATCTTCTTTACTGCTCTTGTTCTGTAAATGACTAGGAGAGACCAGAGACTAGGCCTTCCCCTTCCAGTTACTGATCTTTGTTATAGATTAACTGTCTCCTTTATTGTCCTGTACCTAACTCAGACCAGATGGTCTAACCCAAAACCCCTTCCCAGTCACATCCTCAGTGTGCAATGTTAAATACACCTTTCCTCAAAGAATAAGTCTACCTCAACTAATCAGATCACTGTAACTGCATCAAATATCATATTGAAAGATGTTGAAGTTCTGTTAAAATTCTCTGAACATTGTCTATATAAGCAATCACAAACTTCCACATTTTGAAACACTGACCTCCATTATTTGGAATCTGTGATTCCCAGGACAGCCTGTCTTTAACTTTGTGCCTGAATAAACCCTCTTTAACTAGTTTCTGACCTTTTTAATTAGAGATGGCAATAATGACCTCCCAAAGATGTCCAGGTCCTAATCCTCAGAAGATACAATTATGCTGTTACATGGTAAAGGGAAAAAATTGTTGCTTATTTGATGTTAGGTTTATTTAATGTTAGGTTGATGTTATTTGATGTTGCACATCTAGTTAGATGTGTAACTTTGTGTTCATGGGCAAACAGCAAGCCTATGATGTAATTACTTGTTTCTGTGATGATTGAGGTATATAGGAAATATAGTTTATATTTTTCCCCTGTTTAATTCCAAACTTTAGTGTTTAACACTTACTTAACCAACATCAAATAAAAACCAATTTTTTTTTGGTTGTAGTTACCATTGGGGCTGTTAATCTGCTGACTGTGAGGTGGGGAGATCCTCTTGAATTATAAGGTGGGACCAATGTAATCACAGGATCCTGTGTGATGGAAGAAGGAAACAGAAGAGGTCAGAGTCAGAAAAAAAGATGTGAGGACTGCACCAGAGTCAGAGAGAGGCCACATTGCTGGGTTTGCAGAAGAAGGGAAGGGACCATGAGACAAACAAACTTGGCGGTCCTTAGAATTTGGAAAAAGCAAGAAACTACCATTTCCATAAACATCTGCAGTTATACAATCCTGCCAACAGCTTGATTTTACTCCAGTGAGACCAGTTTTGCCTCCCAGTCTCCAGAACTGTAAGGTAATACATATCTATTGTTTTAAGCCATTCTGCTTTTGGTCGTTTTTTACAGCAGCCACAAAAAACACAAATACACATGGAAATACCTGTTCCAAAAACACTGCTCTTAGACATTGCAAGTGGACTCATGCTTCTTTCCTTCAAAAGGAGTCAACCTTACCTTTCTGATGCTGCAGTGGAGAGCTGCAGTCTGGTGTGGATAAGCGTATCCTGGGCACCATGCCATGGTGTAGACAACCCTTCACACTTAGTCTCCACCTAGAAAGCAGGGGTCATGACTTGCCATGTTGGTGTTCTGTTGAATGCTCTGTGAATAATTAATAAAGATAAAAAGAGGACACATATAAACACATACTGAAGCACTTAAAAATCGAGTTGTGTGAGTAATCTCAATGTTGCCAAAACTCAACCACACTACTCCAGGACTGGTCAGCTTTGTCCTCCAAGGAGGTTGTTAGAAATGCAGAATTTCAAGTCTTCACCACAGACTGAGTTAATTAGACCCTACATGTTAACAAGATAAGAAGGAAGTTCCCATGCAGATTTAAGATTGAGAAGATCTCCTCTAGGCAAGTGGCTCTCAACTATAGCTGCACATTGTAAATCAAGGTCAGCATCGGTTTTATTGCTTTAAGGAGGTGTCCTTTACATCAGCATTTTACACAAAGAGCTCCTTGGGTCATTCTAATGTGGAGCCAAGAATAGGAATCACTGTTGAAGCATCAACACTGTTTTTCACAGAAGTTGGCTTTGTATAGACCTACGGGGCCAGCCATCATTCACCGAATATCAATCCTCAATCCAAGATGTACCATATTCACGGAATAACCACTTTCTCTTGTCAGTCCTTTCTTCCTTCCTTTTTGGAGAATGTATTTCAGGTGCTACCTTCCTACAAAATGTAGAACATATTTCTCCCTGCAAGATAATCTTATATTATTTAAAGACATGTTTCTGAGTTGAAATATAAAGGTGATGTTTTAAGAAGTAAAGAATACTTATCTTAGAAAACACTAAAAATTCTCACTTCAGTGTTGTGAAACTCAAATTATTATTTAAAAATGTATATAAAACTTCACTGCGAAACTCAAATTATATTTTATTTAAGAATTGGTATGAAACGTTGTAAGGGCATATGTCACAGATTTGCTTATTTTGAAAGTAAACTGTAGAGTACACAAACAAAATGAATGGTTAATTTCATAACATTCCAATTCTTAGAAAGCTAGAGAAAATATTCTTATCTTAGAGAATTAGTAGTTATTGTGTGGTCACCTGTCAAGGCAAAATGAAACTAAATTTCAAAATTTATTAAATAAATGTGAGAGTTATTTGCTCTATCAAAGCATATACATTTGTTTTAGATTTTGCTATTATTAGGGTATGGAAGGAAGACTTTTGTAGAGTTGTTGTATTGACATCTTTTATGTTCCTCAATATCCTTTCTTCTCCAACACTTACACTGTCACTTCTGTGTGGTGCTTTATCCGAGTATAACTGGACAACAGTCTTCCATGCTGCTTGGCTTAGGGTTTCTCTGACATAGCATAAGACATCCACAAAGCCCACCACTCACGGGCAGCCACAGATCATAGCGCCAATGGCGCCACCCTTGGCCACTGCCTATCAGGAGCTGTAAAATAAGTGGTTTACCCCTTTGATGTCTCAGATAGACAATTTTAAGGTGTATTTCAGAGGCTTTTCAGAAGGTCCCTGACAGGATTGAACATGTGCTATTCTGGAGGTGGATGAGTCAATGAAGCATCATTGTACTGGGTGTTCTCTATTTTATTTCCTTTGTTCTAGACGCCTTCTTTCTGGAACTACATTCTTACCTAAATTATCCACCCACAAGCTTTTCCCACCACTGTTAAGGGAAGCCTGGGTAAGACTATAATCACATTATTTGCTTATCTTTCTTCCTCATTAGCTTGCATGTTTCTCTTGTAGATGAAGCTTTTTACTCACGTATCTTTGCAGCCCCTCACAACTACTGCACAAAATAAAACAGGCACTCAAAAATTATTTTCTGGATCGGTGAATGGATCTCAGGGTCTACTTCTCCAAGAAGTTTACTTCTGATAGCTCTAGCTTTTTTTTCCAATGCTAACATGCTTCATCTGCCCTTTCCAGCATTTTTCTGTAGCATATCAAGGACTTAAGTACTGTTTACTGCAAGATATTTAAGCACTTAACTCTTGTTCATGGCTTGTGTTTCAGTTTCAACTTGTCTATTCATTTTGCAGACGATTTCCTGAAGACAGAAATTCATAAAATTCATTTCAAGTAAGAAAACATAGGAAAGTACTTGGTCAACAGTAAAAGATACACAAGTGGTAATGATGATTGTGATGTAGATGGTGATGATGGTGATGGTGATGAAGATGATTGTGATGATGACGGTGATGATGATTGTGGTGGTGATCATGGTGATGGTGGTGATGATGATGGTAATGGCAATGATGATGATAATGGTGATGATAATGATGGTGATGATTTTGGTGATGGTGATGATTGTGATGATAATGGTGATGGTGAAGTTGGTGACAGGGATGATAATGATGAAGACGACGGTAATGATGTTGGTGATGATGGTGATGGCAATGAGGGTAATGATGTTTCTGATGGTGATGGCAATGTTGGTAATGATGATTGTGATGATGACGATAGTGATGGTGATGATGATGATGATGGGGATGATGGTAATATGATGGCAATAGGGGGAGTGATGATGACAATAATGATAGTGTAATGACCAATAGGCAGACATCCTATATTCAGTATAAAAGCAGAGTTCAGATATTAGCAGACTTCCATGGTTAACTTTTTTACCTGAGGGTGGGTCACATAGGAAGGTCTGTCTCTATGCAAGGCAAAGGGAAGTCATCATGTTCAATTCCAATTTCCTTAATTTCTATAGCAATAATAGCTCTATTGTTTCACCATCATCACATATTATCCCAGTTGGAATCCATGTGTCTCATAGGAAGGCAATCGACACATTTTCATTTACACCTCAAACTGGCTTATCAAAGGAGATTCTAGCACTTTTAGTAAAAATCCTGTCATTTACAACTAGGCGTTAGCTAATCTAAATAAGTCAGGCAGAGGAAGATAAATACTGCATGATCTCACTGATGTGTTGAATTTTAAAAGTTGACCACATAAAAGCAGAAGGTAGGACAATGGTTACCAGGACTGAGGTGTGGAAAAATTGGGGAGATGATTGTCAAACAGTACAAACTTTTAGTTATGATGAAAGATAAACAGGTTCTGGAGAACCAGTGTACAGTATGGTGATGATAGTTATCAATACTGTATTGTATGCTTGAAATGCACTAAAACAGTAGGTCTTAAGTGTCCTCACTACCCATACACACATACACACACACACACACACATGCTAACTATGTGAGGTGATAGATGTGTCAAGTAAATTTATTGTGGTAATATTTCACAATATATACACATAGGAAAGCATCAAATTGTGCAACTCAAAGGTATATGATTTGTAAAGATCTATTTATAATACTGTCTCCTTATTTTGCTGTACTCTGTATTCTAAATATTTATATTATTTTTTGTTAACGCTACTTTCTCACTATTCATTGGGAAATAGGTTAGATATATTCATATGGTCCTGTAATTGTTATTTTAAAGTATGGATATTATAATTTAAATTGCTTTTTTGCTTCTAATATGTCACTAAATCTTGTAGCTACATATTTAACCATTAACTAGTATACGGAAGTTCAATGATTATACAATGGCAAGACCCTACCTCCTCTTCCACCAATATATGTTAAACATAGAATTAAAGGAACAAAATTAAAATGACTATCCATTGAAGGATAAAATAATTGGTCAAAACAGGTTAACTTGAATGTCATTAGGAAAAAATGGTACTAAATTCAAAATCATTAGTGATGAAAAAGTAATTTTAGAAAAAAGTACAGTATTATTTTCTTATAAGAAGCTTAACTTAAATATATGAATTGGCATGTGTGGAGAAAATGCCCAATATCGGTTCACTATTACAGATTTACAGGAGGTTATCTGTACCTTACAGAAAAGTAATTGCACGGTTAGGTGTGAATTATGGGAACAACATAATTATTAGACATTCTAAAAAGCATGATGTCTCTTCAAATAAAATATCATGTTACTTATGTTCCACTTTTAGCACACACATAACTGCTTTTGCTAATTGATAATCATTATTTGTTATTACTGAAAGTTTGCTTGAGTTTGGCTTATTGATTTTTCCCCCATTTCTTCCTGATCTACCTTTTTGTCCTCCGTCTCTTTATTTCCTGCCTTCATGCATCTGAAAAGAGATGACTATTTGGAGGGTTAAATTATTATGAGGTGGTCATGATATGAGAAAGGTTACAACACAGAGGGTTACTCCACATTTGTACTCAGAAAATTCGTCAGTTGGAAAAACAAAAACAAAACAAAACAAAAAAATGTTTCTTCTGTTTTCCAAGAAAGTAAGCAATTTCTGGACATTTCCCTGGGTAAGATAATGCCTGAAGCTTCTTGATAAAAAGCTAAAAGAAGAAATTTTAGAAACTACGAAATAGAGGCATTTGCAATGTGCTATGGTGTTCACTCAGGAATAACATTTTGCTCTTCATTTAATAGCAGGGCCCCATCCTGCCTAACAGATTGACACCCCGTCTCTACTAAAAACACCAAAAATTTGTTGGGTTTGATGACACACATCTGTAGTCCCAGCTACTCGAGAGGCTGAGGCAGGAGAATCTCTTGAACCTGGGAGGCTGAGGTTGCAGTGAGCTGAGATCCTGCCACTGCACTCCTGCCTGGGTGACAGAGCGAGACTCCGTCTCAAATATATATATATATATATTATATATATATATATATATATATATATATATATATATTTTATATATATATTATATATATATATTATATATATGGAATATATATATATTTTATATATATATGGAATATATATATGTGGAATATATATATGGTATATATATGGAATATATATGGAATATATATGGAATATATATATGGAATATATATATGGAATATATATATGGAATATAAATACATACATATATATATATGGAATTGCTATTGGAAGGCAAATTGTTTATATTCATGACATCTGTGTTGTTTTTAAAAATGGAATTCTAAAACTTATGAAATATGTGAGATTTGACCTTATTTTGGAAAAAAAAAAATTGATCATTGTCTGGTAGCTATAATGATCTGGCAAAGTCATGATAATGTTTCTTAGACTACATGGCAAATAAAGCCTAATGCCAAAGACACACAATTGATCAGATGGCATTGCTTCTTGGGTCTTGAATAAAAAATATTTTATAATGTAAATGATTCTTAAGGTTATCATACGAAAAACATGTTTTTGCCATTTAGTTTTTGGTTCCATATGAAAAAATGGCTCTATATTATGAAAGCACATTTTGGAATCTTTCAGCTGACAGAGACTTTGGGATTAAAGATATCATTATCTATAACCCACAAAAGAATACTCGTTTCTAATATATATGCCCACAAAACCAACAACACTGGTTTATAAAAAAAGAGAGAGTGTCTCATTATGAGCTCAATTTTCTATAATCTGACACTGTGTGAATATAGTTCAAGATGGAAATTTCTTTCATTATAATTTTTTAAAACTGCTATGACCTTGTCAGCCACATTGAAATAACTAGAAGCAAAATTTATGCTTAAAACACACTGAATATGTACATTTATTAGAGAAGTTAATAGTATTTGAAATGAGCCATATTTCACTCTATGATGATCACAAAAACTTTGAGCCACACAGCATAGTCATTATAGGGATTGATCCAATGTATTTTATTTCATAAAGGAGTACAGGTACGTTTTACTGTACAACCACATTCTCCTGAATCTAGGTACTAGGAATATAGGAGCTGGAGGTAAATTATCTAATATAGTTAGCAGAAGTTACATTTCCTTAACACTATTCATGGATTACCTAGGGCAAATTATGATTCATTCTTTATTGCAAAAAAAATTCATTTTATGTAGCAAATTATGTCTACGACTAGTATTTTAGTTATTATTTCCCCTAATGTAGATTTCCAAGGGTACTACATGCCCACTAATATTTGGAAAATATTGACTAGAATTGCAATAGCAATTTGGTTCCTAATTTTCCTGTTACTGCATTTGTGGCATTCCTAAAAGATATCACCCACTTAGAATGCATGTCTTATTTTATTAAGCTATTCTCTCCATGAGAAAAGAGGAGTAGCGAAGCTGATATAGTACACTTCATGTTTCACTCTCAAATCACATTAAAAAAAAAAAAAAAAAAAAGGCCTTAAGTGGTTTAAGCAGCCACACACACAAAGAGTGGCATATAATGAGAAGCATTGCAGTATCTGCAGAGGCCACTAACTGAGAATGACACAAAGGACATAAAAATAGAGAGCATACCTTGAATCTGAATTTTTAGGGGGTATACAGTGATGTATAGAGAGAGACAGTTGGCTCTGAAATTAATCAGATATTATAATTTGCTGTTTTTGTCATAATTTTAAATTTTTAACTATTATAGGCATTGTATATATTGTATGGACATTGTATATGTTTATGAAGTACATGTGATATTTTCCTGATTCTACTCTTTTAGTTATTTTGAAATATACAACAGTGATTAACTATAGTCACCATACTGTGCTACTGAACACTAGATTTTATTCCTTCTATCTAACTGCTATTTTTGCACCCGTCAACCACCCCCATTTTATCCTCCCTTCTGCATCACTCCCTTTCTCAGCCTCTGGCAACCATGATTCTACTCTCTATTTCCATGAGTTCAATTTAAAAAAAATAGCTCCCACATATGAGTGAGAACATGCAAAATTTGTCTTTCTGTGCCTGGCTTATTTCACTTTACATAATGTCCTCCAGTTCCATCCATGTTCTTGTCAATGAGAGGATTTTTTTCTTTTTTATGGCTGGATAAATTTCATTGAGTATATGTGGTGCCAAGCAAGAATGGGCTGCTTGGGGACCCAGCAAGCTCCCAGGACCTTTCCGCTGCTTCCTCTAGCCCTGTATTTCACTTGGCTCCCTAACTTGACTCAACACCAGGTGAAGTCAGAAACCTCTCCTGCAAAGAGACATTCAGCTTCTCCAGGGGAGGTGTGTGTTCAGGAGAGGAGGATCTACCTTTGCCACTTCCACAGTTGGGGCACTCACAGTATTTGAGTTGTCTCCCCAGTCCTGCAAAAGCAGTCCACTTCCTTCAGAAGGTGTGTAGGTCCTCTCAGGATTGCTGGTTTCTTCTTGCAGTTGATCTGCAGCTAAAACTCACAATGCAAGCCTCTGCATGCTGCTCTGTTGAGAGCTGCAATCCAGTCCTGCTTCCTGTCAGCCATTATCCATTGTGTATAGGTACCTCATTTTCTTTAGCCATTCATCTCTTAATGATCACTTATGCTGAATCCATGCCTTGGTTATTGTGAGTAGTGCTGCAGTAAACACGGGACTGTTGATGTCTCTTCCATATACTGATTCCCTTTCTTTTGGGTGTATACCTGGTGGTAAGATTACTAGATCATACGGTAGTTCTCTTTTTAGTCTTTTGAGAAGCCTCCTGACTACTCTCCATTGTGGCCCAACTAATTTACTTTCCCACTAACAGTGTACAAGTGGTCCCCCCCCTTTTTTTTCCACATCCTCACCAGCATTTGGGTAATTTCATCTCATGCAACTTCATCTGACTGTGTTCTTTCATTTATTCTTTCCACAATTTTTAAGCATCAGTGCTGTGTCACGTAGCATAGTAGGCTTGAAGAATAAGAAAATGTTTCTGGTTTCAAAGATCTTGCAATCAAATAAGAAAGACAGATAAATAAATGAAGGGTGAAGGCATAGTGCCATGGCACCTGGAGGAAGAAACTGCCATGAGATGCTGCTATGAAAACTTCAAGATGGTTGGATGGATTCTTACCCTATCTCATGTTCCATGAGAAGCAGAGGTCAAGACAAGAGTAAACATGCGGGGATTTTCTTCTGCAAAATGCCAGTGTAAGAGAAAATGAAGAGAAAGCTATTTGCCTCTTCTTCTGTCTCTTCCATTTTTATATAAATGGATTTGTTCAATGGGTGCCTGTATTGACTGTCTTTTTCAGTTGGCGTGATGTTTTCAACATGTATCTGTGACGTAACATGCATTGGTACATCTTTCTTTTTGTTGCCAAATAAAATTTCACTATATAAATTATCACATTATATTCATCCATTCATCAGTTTATGCTCTCTCACTTCATTTTACAATCTCAATATACAACCTCCTGATTCTTATGCTAGTTAAAAAAGATCTGTCCTGGGCCGGGCGCGGTGGCTCACGCCTGTAATCCCAGCACTTTGGGAGGCCGAGGCGGGCGGATCACGAGGTCAGGAGATCGAGACCATCCTGGCTAACACGGTGAAACCCTGTCTCTACTAAAAATACAAAAAATTAGCCAGGCGAGGTGGCGGGCGCCTGTAGTCCCAGCTACTCCGGAGGCTGAGGCAGGAGAATGGCGTGAACCCCAGGGGGCGGAGCCTGCAGTGAGCCGAGATTGCGCCACTGCACTCCAGCCTGGGCGACAGCGAGACTCCGTCTCAAAAAAAAAAAAAAAAACAAAACAAAAAAAAAAAAAAAAAAAAAAAAAAAAAAAAAAAAAAAGATCTGTCCTCAAGTTTTCCTATCTCTATCATTGTGATCTCTTTCCTCTGACACAATTCTTGGTGTTTGTTCTCCAGGACCATAATAGGTACTGTGAAGATTCACAGTTAGCTCCTCTGACCTCCCAGCTCTAATTTTCAGCTGTTGGACAAGACCCAGTCTAGCCACTTACCCCTGACAATTATAAGGGCATGATTTTCTTCCAGCCTTCCCACTTGTATTAAACCAAAGTGGGCCACCATATTTCTTTCACTGCACATGGAGCACACTCGAATGTGCCCCAGAATCTCTGATAGGCATATTTATCTTGCATGTAGTTCATCACTCTCTGATTTTTGCTTAATTAAGTATCAAATTCTGTAGAAGTTCAGTTCAGGAATTTCACTTCTGTGTGTCCAGTGAAGCCAATACTGCACCAACAAATGCTCAGGTAATAAGAATAAAATCTGGGGAAGAGACGCAAATCAACTATCTGAAGTCAGAAGAAAGTAAATACAAGCGGGCTGATTTTGGAGGGAAGTTGGTACCTGGATAAAACAAACCACAATTTTGAAGTTTCCATTCTTACAGATTTTAGCCAGAATATACATCTCAATTAACACTTCAGCTAAAATTCATATAGAAAGCCTATGGCTTTTCTAGCCAGAAGAAATTAAAGAATTGGGGGCAACTATATGCTTGGAAAGTGAAGGGGTACATCCCAAAATGAATATACTCACACACAAAGAACCCTAAATTCTGTGTATACATTTGTCTCAACTCTCTAGATGAGACGTATACAACATAGTCAAATAATCTCAAACAAAAAATAACTAATTTGAAATTGTATCTTCCATCCAGAAACTGTGTAGGTATTTGGTGTCTAATGAAAGTATTTTCCAGAAAAAGGGATCTCAATACAGATCTCAAGAGAGGGTTCTTTTATCTCACTCAGGAAGGAATTTAAGGCAAGTCACTTGTGGTAAAAGAAGCAAGTTTATTAAACATATATTGTTATGGGTATTGGGACATCTGGACTTCCTTTTGTTGTAGAAGTGTTTCCTGGTAGGTGTCTTTAGGTTGTTTCTTCAACTATAAACATCTTCCGACCATAGTCATGACTGACCAGAAATATGCCTTGCTAGTTTTAAGATGGAGTTGATTTTTAAATGGTGTCACTCTGACTCTACTAGAAGCCTGCTTCCTTACAAAAGCAATTATCTGGTTAAATGCATACACACACACACACACACACACACACACACACACACACACGTTATACAAATTAATAGGGCCCTCAGTAACCTCAAAATAACATTTCCAATATTCACAAAAAAGTCAAAAGTTACTCAAAATACAATGAATGGGGAATATGGGATACATCCTCAAGAAAAAAGACCATCAACAGAAATCAGCCCACCTTTCCATCAAGAGGAACCAGATGTTGGAAATACAGGACAAGGTAGTTGTCTGTGACAGCCATTATAATATACTTCAGATGGATAAGGAATATATTCCAAGATGACTGAGAAAATAGAGAATCTCAGTAGAAAAGAAGGAACGATGGAAAAGAAAATCCAAGTGGAAATACTGAAAGTGAAAAATATAATACCTGAAATAAATAATTAACTGAATGGATTTAGCACAAGAATGGATAGAAAAGAATAAGTTATCCTAAAGACAGATTTCTAGAAAGTATTGAGAATGACAGAGGAAGACAAGAGACATTGCAGGAAATAATCATACCACCTGAATCAGTATCACAATGTAGGAACGATTTAGCTAATGTGTAGTTGGAATCTCGGGAGGAGAAAGGGGTGGGGAAATGCTACACTAAATATGATTGAATAAAATTTCCCCAATGCAGTGGTTTATACCCACATTCAAAAGTTTAATAAACATCAACAGAATAAACAGTAAGAAAAGCATATGTAAACACAGTGGAGTCAAACTGCTGCAACACAATGGTAAAAAGAAAATCTTGAAAGCTGCCAGAGGAAAATGATGAATTATTTATGCTTTAGATAATTGCCCAGTCTGCTTCACAAATATGGAGACAAAAAGACTATGGAGCCACATTTTTGACATGCTAGTTAAAAATTATTGAGTTTTATATTAAGCAAAAGTATTCTTTAAGACTGAAGGTAACAAAAATTACTTTTAGGGAAAGGAAAACTAGAACTGCATCACTTGCAAAACTGAATGATATGAAAATCTAAGAATTGAAGGTAAAACTTAGATCTTAGAATGAGTAATATCAGAAGTGGTAAATATCTAAGTAAACGTAAAAGCCTGTGTAATGTACAGTAAGCTGGGGGGGGGAGTTAGTAAATGAACCTGAATATTTGTGAGTTTTCCACATTTTATGTGTGGTGGTACAATATTAACTTTAGGCTATGAAAACCTAAGAATGTGTGTATTCCCGGTATTAGCAAGCCAAGATGGCCGAATAGGAACAGCTCCAGTCTACAGCTCCCAGCGTGAGCGACGCAGAAGATGGGTCTGCATTTCCATCTGAGGTACCGGGTTCATCTCACTAGGGAGTGCCAGACAGTGGGCGCAGGTCAGTGGGTGCACACACCATGCGTGAGCTGAAGCATGGTGAGGCAATGCCTCCCTTGGGAAGTGCAAGAGATCAGGGAGATCCCTTTCTGAGTCAAAGAAAGGGGTGATGGACGGCACCTGGAAAATCGGGTCACTCCCACCCGAATACTGTGCTTTTCCGACGGGCTTAAAAAACGGCTCACCATGAGATTATATCCCGCACCTGGCTTGGAGGGTCCTACGCCCACAGAGTCTCGCTGATTGCTAGCACAGCAGTCTGAGATCAAACTGCAAGGGGCAGCCAGGCTGGGGGAGGGGCGCCCACCATTGCCCAGGCTTGCTTAGGTAAACAAAGCAGCCAGGAAGCTCGAACTGGGTGGAGCCCACCACAGCCCAAGGAGGCCTGCCTGCCTCTGTAGGCTCCACCTCTGGGGGAAGGGCACAGACAAACAAAAAGACAGCAGTAACTTCTGCAGACTTAAGTGTCCCTGTCTGACAGCTTTGAAGAGAGCAGTGGTTCTCCCAGCATGCAGCTGGAGATCTGAGAATGGGCAGACTGCCTCCTCAAGTGGGTCCCTGATCTCTGACCCCCATGCAGCCTAACTGGGAGGCACCCCCCAGCAGGGCACAATGACAACTCACACGGCAGCGTACTCCAACAGACCTGCAGCTGAGGGTCCTCTTTGTTAGAAGGAAAACTACCAAACAGAAAGGACATCCACACCAAAAACCCATCTGTACATCACCATCATCAAAGACCAAAAGTAGATAAAGCCACAAAGATGGGGAAAAAACAGAACAGAAAAACTGGAAACTCTAAAAAGAAGAGCCCCTCTCCTCCTCCAAAGGAACGCAGTTCCTCACCAGCAATGGAACAAAGTTGGATGGAGAATGACTTTGACGAGCTGAGAGAAGAAGGCTTCAGATGATCAAATTACTCTGAGCTATGGGAGGACATTCAAACCAAAGGCAAAGAAGTTGAAAACTTTGAAAAAAATTTAGAAAAATATATAACTAGAATAACCAATACAGAGAAGTGCTTAAAGGAGCTGATGGAGCTGAAAACCAAGGCTCCAGAACTACGTGAAGAATGCAGAAGCCTCAGGAGCTGATGCAATCAACTGGAAGAAAGGGTATGAGCGATGGAAGATGAAATGAATGAAATGAAGTGAGAAGGGAAGTTTAGAGAAAAAAAATAAAAAGAAATGAGCAAAGCCTCCAAGAAATATGGGACTATGTGAAAAGACCAAATCTATGTCTGATTGGTGTACCTGAAAGTGACAAGGAGAATGGAACCAAATTGGAAAACACTCTGCAGGATATTGTCCAGGAGAACTCCCCCAATCTAGCAAGGCAGGCCAAAGTTCAGATTCAGGAAATACAGAGAACGCCACAAAGATATTCCTCGAGAAGAGCAACTCCAAGACACATAATTGTCAGATTCACCAAAGTTGAAATGAAGGAAAAAATGTTAAGGGCAGCCAGAGAGAAAGGTTGGGTTACCCTCAAAGGGAAGCCCATCAGACTAACAGCGGATCTCTCGGCAGAAACCCTACAAGCCAGAAGAGAGTGGGGGCCAATATTCAACATTCTTAAAGAAAAGAATTTTCAACCCAGAATTTCATATCCAGCCAAACTAAGCTTCATAAGTGAGGGAGAAATAAAATACTTTACAGACAAGCAAATGCTGAGAGATTTTGTCACCACCAGGCCTGCCCTAAAAGAGCTCCTGAAGGAAGCACTAAACATGGAAAGGAACAACTGGTACCAGCCGCTGCAAAATCATGCCAAAATGTAAAGACCATCGAGACTAGGAAGAAACTGCATCAACTAATGAGAAAAATAACCAGCTAACATCATAATGACAGGATCAAATTCACACATAACAATATCAACTTTAAATGTAAATGGACTAAATGCTCCAATTAAAAGAAACAGACTGGCAAATTGGATAAAGAGTCAAGACCCATCAGTGTGTGCTGTATTCAGGAAACCCATCTCAAATGCAGAGACACACATAGGCTTAAAATAAAAGGATGGAGGAAGGTCTACCAAGCAAATGGAAAACAAAAAAAGGCAGGGGTTGGAATCCTAGTCTCTGATAAAACAGATTTTAAACCAAGAAAGATCAAAAGAGACAAAGAAGGCCATTATATAATGGTAAAGGGATCAATTCAACAAGAAGAACTAACTATCCTAAATATATATGCACCCAAAACAGGAGCACCCAGATTCATAAAGCAAGTCCTGAATGACCTACAAAGAGACATAGACTCCCACACATTAATAATGGGAGACTTTAACATCCCACTGTCAACATTAGACAGATCAATGAGACAGAAAGTCAACAAGGATACCCAGGAATTGAACTCAGCTCTGCACCAAGTGGACCTAATAGACATCTAGAGAACTCTCCACCCCAAATCAACAGAATATACATTTTTTTTCAGCACCACACCAAACCTATTCCAAAATTGACCACAAACTTGGAAGTAAAGCTCTCCTCAGCAAATGTAAAAGAACAGAAATTATAACAAACTATCTCTCAGAACACAGTGCAATCAAACTAGAACTCAGGATTAAGAATCTCACTCAAAACCGCTCAACTACATGGAAACTGAACAACCTGCTCCTGAATGACTACTGGGTACATAACGAAATGAAGGCAGAAATAAAGATGTTCTTTGAAACCAATGAGAACAAAGACACAACATACCAGAATCTCTGGGAAGCATTCGAAGCAGTGTGTAGAGGGAAATTTATAGCACTAAATGCCCCCAAGAGAAAGCAGGAAAGATCCAAAGTTGACACCCTAAAATCGCAATTAAAAGAACTAGAGAAGCAAGAGCAAACACATTCAAAAGCTAGCAGAAGGCAAGAAATAACTAAAATCAGAGCAGAAATGAAGGAAATAGAGACACAAGAAACCCTTCAAAAAATTAATGAATTCAGGAGCTGGTTTTTTGAAAGGATCAACAAAATTGATAGACTGCTAGCAAGACTAATAAAGAAAAAAAGAGAGAAAAATCAAAGAGACACAATAAAAAATGATAAAGGGGATATCACCACCGATCCAAAAGAAATACAAACTACCATCAGAGAATACTACAAACACCTCTACGCAAATAAACTAGAAAATCTAGAAGAAATAGATAAATTCCTTGACACATACACTCTCCCAAGACTAAACCAGGAAGAAGTTGAATCTCTGAATAGACCAATAACAGGAACTGAAATTGTGGCAATAATCAATAGCTTACCAACCAAAAAGAGTCCAGGACCAGATGGATTCACAGCCGAATTCTACCAGAGGTACAAGGAGGAACTGGTACCATTCCTTCTGAAACTATTCCAATCAATAGAAAAAGAGGGAATCCTCCCTAACTCATTTTATGAGGCCAGCGTCATTCTGATGACAAAGCCAGACAGAGACACACAAAAAAAGAGAATTTTAGACCAATATCTTTGACGAACATTGATGCCAAAATCCTCAATAAGATACCGGCAAAATGAATCCAGCAGCACATCAAAAAGCTTATCCACCATGATCAGGTGGGCTTCATTCCTCGGATGCAAGGCTGGTTCAATATACACAAATCAATAAATGTGATCCAGCATATAAACAGAGCCAAAGACAAAAACCACATGATTATTTCAATATATGCAGAAAAAGCCTTTGACAAAATTCAACAACCCTTCATGCTAAAAACTCTCAATAAATTAGGTATTGATGGGACGTATTTCAAAATATTAAGAGCTATCTATGACAAACCCACAGCCAATATCATACTGAATGGACAAAAACTGGAAACATTTCCTCTGAAAACTGGCACAAGACAGGAATGCCCTCTCTCACCACTCTATTCAACATAGTGTTGGAAGTTCTGGCCAGGGAAATTAGGCAGGAGAAGGAAATAAAGGGTATTCAATTAGGAAAAGAGGAAGTTAAATTGTCCCTGTTTGCAGACGACATGATTGCATATCTAGAAAACCCCATTGTCTCAGCCCAAAATCTCCTTAATCTGATAAGCAACTTCAGCAAGTCTCAGGATACAAAATCAATGTACAAAAATCACAAGCATTCTTATACACCAACAACAGACAAACAGAGAGCCAAGTCATGAGTGAACTCCCATTCACAATTGCTTCAAAGAGAATAAAATACTTAGGAATCCAACTAACAAGGAATGTGAAGGACCTCCTCAAGGAGAACTACAAACCACTCCTCAAGGAAATAAAAGAGGATACAAACAAATGGAAGAACATTCCATGCTCATGGGTAGGAAGAATCAATATCGTGAAAATGGCCATACTGCCCAAGATAATTTACAGATTCAATGCCATTCCCATCAAGCTACCAATGACTTTCTTCACAGAATTGGAAAAAAACTACTTTAAAGTTCATATGGAACCAAAAAAGAGCCCACATTGCCAAGTCAATCCTGAGCCAAAAGAACAAAGATGGAGGCATCACACTACCTGACTTCAAACTATACTACAAGGCTACAGTACCCAAAACAGCATGGTACTGGTACCAAAACAGAGATATAGATCAATGGAACAGGACAGAGCCCTCAGAAATAAGCCGCATATCTACAGCTATCTGATCTTTGACAAATCTGAGAAAAACCAGCAATAGGGAAAGGATTCCCCATTTAATAAATGGTGCTGGGAAAACTGGCTAGCCATATGTAGAAAGCTGAAACTGGATCCCATCCTTACACCTGATACAAAAGTCAATTCAAGATGGATTAAAGACTTAAACGTTAGAACTAAAACCACAAAAACCCTAGAAGAAAACCTATGAATTACCATTCAGGACATAGGCATGGGCAAGGACTTCATGTCTAAAACAACAAAAGCAATGGCAACAAAAGACAAAATTGACAAATGGGATCTAATTAAACTAAAGAGCTTCTGCACAGCAAAAGAAACTACCATCAGAGTGAACAGGCAACCTACAAAATGGGAGAAAATTTTCACAACCTACTCATCTGACAAAGGGCTAATATCCAGAATCTACAATGAACTCAAACAAATTTACAAGAAAAAAACAAACAGCCCCATCAAAAAGTGGGCAAAGGACATGAACAGACACTTCTCAAAAGAACACATTTATGCAGCCAAAAAATACATGAAAAAATGCTCATCATCACTGGCCATCAGAGAAATGCAAATCAAAACCACAATGAGATACCATCTCACACCAGTTAGAATGGCAATCATTAAAAAGTCAGGAAACAACAAGTGCTGGAGAGGATGTGGAGAAATAGGAAAACTTTTACACTGTTGGTGGGACGGTAAACTAGTTCAACCATTGTGGAAGTCAGTGTGGCGATTCCTCAGGGATCTAGAACTGGAAATACCATTTGACCCAGCCATCCCATTACTGGGTGTATACCCAAAGGACTATAAATCATGCTGCTATAAAGACACATGCACAGGTATGTTTATTGTGGCATTATTTACAATAGCAAAGACTTGGAACCAACCCAAATGTCCAACAATGATAGACTGGATTAAGAAACTGTGGCACATATACACCATGGAATACTATGCAGCCATAAAAAATGATGAGTTCATGTCCTTTGTAGGGACATGGATGAAATTGGAAATCATCATTCTCAGTAAACTATCCCAAGAAAAAAAAAAACAAACACTGCATATTCTCACTTATAGGTGGGAATTGAACAATGATATTACATGGATACAGGAAGGGGATATCACACTCTGGGGACTGTTGTGGGGTGGGGGTGGGGGGAGAGATAGCATCGGGAGATATACCTAATGCTAGATGACGAGTTAGTGGGTGCAGCGCACCAGCATGGCACATGTATACATATGTAACTAACCTGTACAATGTGCACATGTACCCTAAAACTTAAAGTATAATAAAAAAAAAAGAATGTGTGTATTCCCTATTGTAACCACTAAAGATAGCTCAAAATCCAATCAATAATTGATAGTAGAATCTAAATACCCGATTAATGAAATAACTTGTTCTACAAATCCCCCCAACACAAGTTTACCTGTGTAACAAAACAGCGCCTGTACACCTGAACTTAAAGGTAAAAAAATAAAATCACAAAAGTCGTCAAAAAAAGGGACAAAAATAAAATCAAAAGATAAATATTAACTTATAATAAATATTGATGGATTAAAAAAATTCAATAAAACAAATAGACACAATGGGTCAATAAGCAAAAAATACATAGTCTATAAACATGTATTTTATACATAGTCTGAATGCAAATGGATGGGAAAAAATATACTGGTCAAGCAGCAAGCACAAATGTGCTGAAGTGACTGCATTAATATCAGATGGAAATGGTAATATATGTCTCCAAAAAGACTTTATAAGAATGTTTATGGCATAGATTTACACCTAGTAGCCTGCAGTTTAAAATTCTCCAAGTGAAGCATTAGTCACAGTAACCAAGATATGGAAACAACCTGAATGTCCATCCACAGATGAATCGATAGAGGAACTGTGGTACATACACACAATGGAAATATTATTCTCCCATAAAAAAGAAAGAAATCCTACCATTTGCAGTAACATGGATGTACCCAGAGGACCTTATGCTCACTGAATTAAGCCAGCCACTATTGGACAAATACAGCATGATTCCACCTATATAAGGCCTTTAAAATAGAACGGCGATTGCCAGGGATTGGGGGGAGAGAAAATTGAGAATTGTTTTTCATGGGTATAAAGTTTCAGTTGTGCAAAATAAGTTCCAGATATTGCTGTAAAAAATAGTACCTGCAGTTAACAATGCAGTATGGTGCATTTAAAAATATGTAAAGAGAATATATCTCATTCTAAGTGTTATTACCACAAAATATGTAAAAGGAATACATCTCATTCTAAGTATCTTTACCACAAGGAAATTTTCAGAAGTGTTGGATTTGTAATTTTTAGGACCTTGATTTTGATGGGGGTATCATGGGAATATACATATGTTCAAACTCATTGAAAGGTCTACATTAACTGTGTGCAATTTTTGGTATATCATTTGTACCTCAATAAAGCTTAAAGAAATTATCCAAGTATACTTTAATTGGAATATGTAACCAAATAAATAACCAAAGTTTGGTATTTTCATACAAATATGTACTCTGGAATACAAAGAATAGACTAACAGTATACTTAAGAAATAGAAAAATCACAAAAGTCTTCTGCAGAGTTAAAGAAATATTACACAATAGAATGTGTAGTGTATTTTTCTACTTAAAGAAAGTTTCAGGATGGGAAAAACTAATCTATACTGGGAAAACCGGAAGATAGCTGTTACCTCTGAAGGGGGTTGAGATGGTGTTGCTGAGGCTAGACTTGACTGGAAAGAGAAAGACAACATTTCTCTGAGTTGGCAGTATTTCCTATCTTGAAAGGGGTTTGGTTTTGCAGATGTACATATTTGTCAAAACTCAGAGAATGTATGTTAATATGTGTGCATCTAATTTCATGTAAAATCTACATCAACAGCTATAAATAAATATTAATATGTAGTTCCTGTTTTGCATGCTAAAAAATGTAAAAAGAAATGTACTTATGTGTGAAATTTGCTTTGAAATGAATCCAAAAATAAGATGGGTGAATGAATGCATATAGGGATGCATAGGTAGATAGATATTTCATGGAAATAGTACACTAGTGTATGAACTTAAGAAGACTATTTATAGTAAATTAAAGGGAGCATCCAACCTACCACATATATTGTGGTAGGTGGACGATTACTTTAAAATTTTTTCAATGTTGCCTTATGTCTGAAATTTTTCTTAAATAAAATATTGAGGTCAGGGACTGTCAGCTCAAATTCTATTTTCTGTTTGAAGCCTTGATTTGAAGTTCTTGCTTTGTTTCCCTAAAATCCTGTCCTGTTCATTCACTCAGCAGTTCAGAATTTAGACACTCTTGGTGCATAACATGTATCAGTCTGTTATACATCTTTGTAAGTGTTTTTCTGCTACCTTCAAGAGATTGCAAATCACCTAAAGAAAAAATGGTATGTTCTTTCACTTTCTTTTTCTAGTTCAGAGCATACAATATCCCCTAGGTTCTTTATAAGTGTGTATTAATATTAATAAGTGGCTTTTTTGTACCCTAGAACTAGACAGTTATTAATATTATCAATTCATAACTTAAGAAGAGCTACACTGTGTGTTTCTTTCAAAATGTCACATGTACCTCATAAATATTTACTACCATTATATATTCATAATTGAAAATAAAAATAAAAATAAACAAATAAAAAAGTAAAAACTGCATCACTTATTTAAAAATACTATAACAATTTTCATAACACTTTTATGGTTGGAGGAAGGTAAAACATTTATCTCCACGTAGTTTTGTTTTTTTAAGAAAATGAAACGATCTCAGCATTTGAGACCAAAAGTGCACTGTGTTGGGTGGAAAACAATGAAGCCCTGGAAATATAGAGTCAATTCTTTCTGATCTCTCTGTAGCCTCTACAACTTCAGGAAGACTAGAGCTGGTACAAATGGAAATTTCTCCTTTGGGCTCCAATTTAATCTAGTCATCTCACTAAAATGCAGATGCTTTAAACTTTTGCATAATCTGAGAACCAAGTTGTCTTTTTCCATGTAGTGAGAACCTTATCCTGACTCACTGAGAACATTGACAATTGAATAGTCATCTGAAATTATACAAAAACATAATAAATCTGAAGAAAGATGAGGATATATGTATAATTGTCCCGGGCAGAACTAAGAATCACAATTTGTAACTTTACTGACAAACACAAACCCAGGATGGTACTCTGTAAGCAGTTCTCAGATTATCTGTTTCATTGTTTTGATTCGTTTGTTTCTTTTCTGCAAATAACATGAACCGGTGCTATTTCTGTATTCATTCACTTTGCCCTGTATTACAACATTTTCCCCCAAGGTTTTAATATTTTTCTCTTGGGTCTCAATGATTCTGCAACTTTTACAATGGTATGTATGCTTTTGAAGTCTTAGTTTTGTTTTGTTTTGTTTTGTTTTAGAGGGAGTCTTGTTCCGTCACGCAGGCTGGCTGAAGTGCTATGGTGCTTTCTCAGCTTACTGCAACCACTGCCTCCCAGGATCAAGCAATCCTCATGCCTCAGTCTCCAGAGTAGTTGGTACTACAAGAGCATGCCATGACACCTGGCTAAAGTTTGTAACTTTAGTACAGACGGGGTTTTGCCATGTTGGCCAGGCTGATTTCGAACTTTTTTTTTTTTACCTTATATCCATCTTTATTAATTATTATTATTATTATTATTATTATTATTATTATACTTTAAGTTTTAGGGTACATGTGCACATTGTGCAGGTTAGTTACATATGTATACATGTGCCATACTGGTGTGCTGCACCCATTAACTCATCATTTAGCATTAGGTATATCTCCTAATGTTATCCCTCTCCTCTCCTCTCAACCTCACAGCAGTCCCCACAGTGAGATGTTCCCCTTCCTGTGTCCATGTGTTCTCATTGTTCAATTCCCATCAATGAGTGAGAACTTGCAGTGTTTGATTTTTTGTTCTTGGGATAGTTTACTGGGAATGATGATTTCCAATTTCATCCACGTCCCTACAAAGGACATGAACCCATCATTTTTTATGGCTGCATAGTATTCCATGGTGTATAGGTGCCACATTTTCTTAATCCAGTCTATCATTGTTGGACATTTGGGTTGGCTCCAGGTCTTTGTTATTGTAAATAGTGCCGCAATAAACATACATGTGCATGTGTCTTTATAGCAGCATGATTTATAGTGCTTTGGGTATATACCCAGTAATGGGATGGCTGGGTCAAATGGTATTTCTAGTTCTAGATCCCTGAGGAATTGCCACACTGACTTCCACAATGGTTGAACTAGTTTACAGTCCCACTAACAGTGTCAAAGTGTTCCTATTTCTCCACATCCTCTCCAGCACCTGTTGTTTCCTGACTTTTTAATGATTGCCATTCTAACTGGTGTGAGATGATATCTCATTGTGGTTTTGATTTGCATTTCTCTGATGGCCAGTGATGATGAGCATTTTTTCATGTGTTTTTTGGCTGCGTAAATGTCCTCTTTTGAGAAGTGTCTGTTCATATCCTTTGCCCACTTTTTGATGGAGTTGTTTGCTTTTTTCTTGTAAATTTGCTTGAGTTCATTGTAGATTCTGGATACTAGCCCTTTGTCAGATGAGTAGGTTGCAAAAATTTTCTCCCATTTTGTAGGTTGCCTGTTCACTCTGACAGTAGTTTCTTTGTTTCTAAATTATAAGCTCATTAAAATTCCCTAGAAGATAATCCACAGTATCAACAACCTTCAGTTAATAATATGAATAATATGTAAATAAATTATTATCTGGATTTAACAAAGAAAACTTGCAATGCAGGAGTAGGTTTATGTTTCCTCTGCATCAGTCATTTGAGAGAAATATCTTTAAATATGAAATTGCAAAACCGAATCCTGTTTGTGTCTTTGTCTTTGATAATGTTCAAATATCAAGGCTCATAAGTATGATCTTCAACAAAAAGGAGCATAATGGAAAAAACTGCAATATCTTTTGAAGATTTTTAACTCAGGCTGGGCACAGTGGCCCATGCCTGTAATCCTAGCAGTTCTGGAGGGCAACCTGGGTGAATCTGCTGAGGTTAGAAGTTTGAAATCAGTTTCTCTTGTGGTTTGTTTTATCCAGGTACCAACTTCCCTCCAAAATCAGCCCGCTTGTATTTACTTTCTTCTGACTTCAGATAGTTGATTTGCGTCTCTTCCCCAGATTTTATTCTTATTACCTGAGCATTTGTTGGTGCAGTATTGGCTTCACTGGACACACAGAAGTGAAATTCCTGAACTGAACTTCTACAGAATTTGATACTTAATTAAGCAAAAATCAGAGAGTGATGAACTACATGCAAGATAAATATGCCTATCAGAGATTCTGGGGCACATTCGAGTGTGCTCCATGTGCAGTGAAAGAAATATGGTGGCCCACTTTGGTTTAATACAAGTGGGAAGGCTGGAAGAAAATCATGCCCTTATAATTGTCAGGGGTAAGTGGCTAGACTGGGTCTTGTCCAACAGCTGAAAATTAGAGCTGGGAGGTCAGAGGAGCTAACTGTGAATCTTCACAGTACCTATTATGGTCCTGGAGAACAAACACCAAGAATTGTGTCAGAGGAAAGAGATCACAATGATAGAGATAGGAAAACTTGAGGACAGATCTTTTTTTTTTTTTTTTTTTTTTTTTTTTTTGTTTTTTTTTTTGTTTTTTTTTTTTTTTTTGAGACGGAGTCTCGCTGTCGCCCAGGCTGGAGTGCAGTGGCGCAATCTCGGCTCACTGCAGGCTCCGCCCCCTGGGGTTCACGCCATTCTCCTGCCTCAGCCTCCGGAGTAGCTGGGACTACAGGCGCCCGCCACCTCGCCTGGCTAATTTTTTGTATTTTTAGTAGAGACAGGGTTTCACCGTGTTAGCCAGGATGGTCTCGATCTCCTGACCTCGTGATCCGCCCGCCTCGGCCTCCCAAAGTGCTGGGATTACAGGCGTGAGCCACCGCGCCCGGCCCAGGACAGATCTTTTTTAACTAGCATAAGAATCAGGAGGTTGTATATTGAGATTGTAAAATGAAGTGAGAGAGCATAAACTGATGAATGGATGAATATAATGTGATAATTTATATAGTGAAATTTTATTTGGCAACAAAAAGAAAGATGTACCAATGCATGTTACGTCACAGATACATGTTGAAAACATCACGCCAACTGAAAAAGACAGTCAATACAGGCACCCATTGAACAAATCCATTTATATAAAAATGGAAGAGACAGAAGAAGAGGCAAATAGCTTTCTCTTCATTTTCTCTTACACTGGCATTTTGCAGAAGAAAATCCCCGCATGTTTACTCTTGTCTTGACCTCTGCTTCTCATGGAACATGAGATAGGGTAAGAATCCATCCAACCATCTTGAAGTTTTCATAGCAGCATCTCATGGCAGTTTCTTCCTCCAGGTGCCATGGCACTATGCCTTCACCCTTCATTTATTTATCTGTCTTTCTTATTTGATTGCAAGATCTTTGAAACCAGAAACATTTTCTTATTCTTCAAGCCTACTATGCTACGTGACACAGCACTGATGCTTAAAAATTGTGGAAAGAATAAATGAAAGAACACAGTCAGATGAAGTTGCATGAGATGAAATTACCCAAATGCTGGTGAGGATGTGGAAAAAAAAGGGGGGGGACCACTTGTACACTGTTAGTGGGAAAGTAAATTAGTTGGGCCACAATGGAGAGTAGTCAGGAGGCTTCTCAAAAGACTAAAAAGAGAACTACCGTATGATCTAGTAATCTTACCACCAGGTATACACCCAAAAGAAAGGGAATCAGTATATGGAAGAGACATCAACAGTCCCGTGTTTACTGCAGCACTACTCACAATAACCAAGGCATGGATTCAGCATAAGTGATCATTAAGAGATGAATGGCTAAAGAAAATGAGGTACCTATACACAATGGATAATGGCTGACAGGAAGCAGGACTGGATTGCAGCTCTCAACAGAGCAGCATGCAGAGGCTTGCATTGTGAGTTTTAGCTGCAGATCAACTGCAAGAAGAAACCAGCAATCCTGAGAGGACCTACACACCTTCTGAAGGAAGTGGACTGCTTTTGCAGGACTGGGGAGACAACTCAAATACTGTGAGTGCCCCAACTGTGGAAGTGGCAAAGGTAGATCCTCCTCTCCTGAACACACACCTCCCCTGGAGAAGCTGAATGTCTCTTTGCAGGAGAGGTTTCTGACTTCACCTGGTGTTGAGTCAAGTTAGGGAGCCAAGTGAAATACAGGGCTAGAGGAAGCAGCGGAAAGGTCCTGGGAGCTTGCTGGGTCCCCAAGCAGCCCATTCTTGCTTGGCACCACATATACTCAATGAAATTTATCCAGCCATAAAAAAGAAAAAAATCCTCTCATTGACAAGAACATGGATGGAACTGGAGGACATTATGTAAAGTGAAATAAGCCAGGCACAGAAAGACAAATTTTGCATGTTCTCACTCATATGTGGGAGCTATTTTTTTTAAATTGAACTCATGGAAATAGAGAGTAGAATCATGGTTGCCAGAGGCTGAGAAAGGGAGTGATGCAGAAGGGAGGATAAAATGGGGGTGGTTGACGGGTGCAAAAATAGCAGTTAGATAGAAGGAATAAAATCTAGTGTTCAGTAGCACAGTATGGTGACTATAGTTAATCACTGTTGTATATTTCAAAATAACTAAAAGAGTAGAATCAGGAAAATATCACATGTACTTCATAAACATATACAATGTCCATACAATATATACAATGCCTATAATAGTTAAAAATTTAAAATTATGACAAAAACAGCAAATTATAATATCTGATTAATTTCAGAGCCAACTGTCTCTCTCTATACATCACTGTATACCCCCTAAAAATTCAGATTCAAGGTATGCTCTCTATTTTTATGTCCTTTGTGTCATTCTCAGTTAGTGGCCTCTGCAGATACTGCAATGCTTCTCATTATATGCCACTCTTTGTGTGTGTGGCTGCTTAAACCACTTAAGGCCTTTTTTTTTTTTTTTTTTTTAATGTGATTTGAGAGTGAAACATGAAGTGTACTATATCAGCTTCGCTACTCCTCTTTTCTCATGGAGAGAATAGCTTAATAAAATAAGACATGCATTCTAAGTGGGTGATATCTTTTAGGAATGCCACAAATGCAGTAACAGGAAAATTAGGAACCAAATTGCTATTGCAATTCTAGTCAATATTTTCCAAATATTAGTGGGCATGTAGTACCCTTGGAAATCTACATTAGGGGAAATAATAACTAAAATACTAGTCGTAGACATAATTTGCTACATAAAATGAATTTTTTTTGCAATAAAGAATGAATCATAATTTGCCCTAGGTAATCCATGAATAGTGTTAAGGAAATGTAACTTCTGCTAACTATATTAGATAATTTACCTCCAGCTCCTATATTCCTAGTACCTAGATTCAGGAGAATGTGGTTGTACAGTAAAACGTACCTGTACTCCTTTATGAAATAAAATACATTGGATCAATCCCTATAATGACTATGCTGTGTGGCTCAAAGTTTTTGTGATCATCATAGAGTGAAATATGGCTCATTTCAAATACTATTAACTTCTCTAATAAATGTACATATTCAGTGTGTTTTAAGCATAAATTTTGCTTCTAGTTATTTCAATGTGGCTGACAAGGTCATAGCAGTTTTAAAAAATTATAATGAAAGAAATTTCCATCTTGAACTATATTCACACAGTGTCAGATTATAGAAAATTGAGCTCATAATGAGACACTCTCTCTTTTTTTATAAACCAGTGTTGTTGGTTTTGTGGGCATATATATTAGAAACGAGTATTCTTTTGTGGGTTATAGATAATGATATCTTTAATCCCAAAGTCTCTGTCAGCTGAAAGATTCCAAAATGTGCTTTCATAATATAGAGCCATTTTTTCATATGGAACCAAAAACTAAATGGCAAAAACATGTTTTTCGTATGATAACCTTAAGAATCATTTACATTATAAAATATTTTTTATTCAAGACCCAAGAAGCAATGCCATCTGATCAATTGTGTGTCTTTGGCATTAGGCTTTATTTGCCATGTAGTCTAAGAAACATTATCATGACTTTGCCAGATCATTATAGCTACCAGACAATGATCAATTTTTTTTTTTCCAAAATAAGGTCAAATCTCACATATTTCATAAGTTTTAGAATTCCATTTTTAAAAACAACACAGATGTCATGAATATAAACAATTTGCCTTCCAATAGCAATTCCATATATATATATGTATGTATTTATATTCCATATATATATTCCATATATATATTCCATATATATATTCCATATATATTCCATATATATTCCATATATATACCATATATATATTCCACATATATATATTCCATATATATATAAAATATATATATATTCCATATATATAATATATATATATAATATATATATAAAATATATATATATATATATATATATATATATATATATATAATATATATATATATATATTTGAGACGGAGTCTCGCTCTGTCACCCAGGCAGGAGTGCAGTGGCAGGATCTCAGCTCACTGCAACCTCAGCCTCCCAGGTTCAAGAGATTCTCCTGCCTCAGCCTCTCGAGTAGCTGGGACTACAGATGTGTGTCATCAAACCCAACAAATTTTTGGTGTTTTTAGTAGAGACGGGGTGTCAATCTGTTAGGCAGGATGGGGCCCTGCTATTAAATGAAGAGCAAAATGTTATTCCTGAGTGAACACCATAGCACATTGCAAATGCCTCTATTTCGTAGTTTCTAAAATTTCTTCTTTTAGCTTTTTATCAAGAAGCTTCAGGCATTATCTTACCCAGGGAAATGTCCAGAAATTGCTTACTTTCTTGGAAAACAGAAGAAACATTTTTTTGTTTTGTTTTGTTTTTGTTTTTCCAACTGACGAATTTTCTGAGTACAAATGTGGAGTAACCCTCTGTGTTGTAACCTTTCTCATATCATGACCACCTCATAATAATTTAACCCTCCAAATAGTCATCTCTTTTCAGATGCATGAAGGCAGGAAATAAAGAGACGGAGGACAAAAAGGTAGATCAGGAAGAAATGGGGGAAAAATCAATAAGCCAAACTCAAGCAAACTTTCAGTAATAACAAATAATGATTATCAATTAGCAAAAGCAGTTATGTGTGTGCTAAAAGTGGAACATAAGTAACATGATATTTTATTTGAAGAGACATCATGCTTTTTAGAATGTCTAATAATTATGTTGTTCCCATAATTCACACCTAACCGTGCAATTACTTTTCTGTAAGGTACAGATAACCTCCTGTAAATCTGTAATAGTGAACCGATATTGGGCATTTTCTCCACACATGCCAATTCATATATTTAAGTTAAGCTTCTTATAAGAAAATAATACTGTACTTTTTTCTAAAATTACTTTTTCATCACTAATGATTTTGAATTTAGTACCATTTTTTCCTAATGACATTCAAGTTAACCTGTTTTGACCAATTATTTTATCCTTCAATGGATAGTCATTTTAATTTTGTTCCTTTAATTCTATGTTTAACATATATTGGTGGAAGAGGAGGTAGGGTCTTGCCATTGTATAATCATTGAACTTCCGTATACTAGTTAATGGTTAAATATGTAGCTACAAGATTTAGTGACATATTAGAAGCAAAAAAGCAATTTAAATTATAATATCCATACTTTAAAATAACAATTACAGGACCATATGAATATATCTAACCTATTTCCCAATGAATAGTGAGAAAGTAGCGTTAACAAAAAATAATATAAATATTTAGAATACAGAGTACAGCAAAATAAGGAGACAGTATTATAAATAGATCTTTACAAATCATATACCTTTGAGTTGCACAATTTGATGCTTTCCTATGTGTATATATTGTGAAATATTACCACAATAAATTTACTTGACACATCTATCACCTCACATAGTTAGCATGTGTGTGTGTGTGTGTGTATGTGTGTATGGGTAGTGAGGACACTTAAGACCTACTGTTTTAGTGCATTTCAAGCATACAATACAGTATTGATAACTATCATCACCATACTGTACACTGGTTCTCCAGAACCTGTTTATCTTTCATCATAACTAAAAGTTTGTACTGTTTGACAATCATCTCCCCAATTTTTCCACACCTCAGTCCTGGTAACCATTGTCCTACCTTCTGCTTTTATGTGGTCAACTTTTAAAATTCAACACATCAGTGAGATCATGCAGTATTTATCTTCCTCTGCCTGACTTATTTAGATTAGCTAACGCCTAGTTGTAAATGACAGGATTTTTACTAAAAGTGCTAGAATCTCCTTTGATAAGCCAGTTTGAGGTGTAAATGAAAATGTGTCGATTGCCTTCCTATGAGACACATGGATTCCAACTGGGATAATATGTGATGATGGTGAAACAATAGAGCTATTATTGCTATAGAAATTAAGGAAATTGGAATTGAACATGATGACTTCCCTTTGCCTTGCATAGAGACAGACCTTCCTATGTGACCCACCCTCAGGTAAAAAAGTTAACCATGGAAGTCTGCTAATATCTGAACTCTGCTTTTATACTGAATATAGGATGTCTGCCTATTGGTCATTACACTATCATTATTGTCATCATCACTCCCCCTATTGCCATCATATTACCATCATCCCCATCATCATCATCATCACCATCACTATCGTCATCATCACAATCATCATTACCAACATTGCCATCACCATCAGAAACATCATTACCCTCATTGCCATCACCATCATCACCAACATCATTACCGTCGTCTTCATCATTATCATCCCTGTCACCAACTTCACCATCACCATTATCATCACAATCATCACCATCACCAAAATCATCACCATCATTATCATCACCATTATCATCATCATTGCCATTACCATCATCATCATCACCACCATCACCATGATCACCACCACAATCATCATCACCGTCATCATCACAATCATCTTCATCACCATCACCATCATCACCATCTACATCACAATCATCATTACCACTTGTGTATCTTTTACTGTTGACCAAGTACTTTCCTATGTTTTCTTACTTGAAATGAATTTTATGAATTTCTGTCTTCAGGAAATCGTCTGCAAAATGAATAGACAAGTTGAAACTGAAACACAAGCCATGAACAAGAGTTAAGTGCTTAAATATCTTGCAGTAAACAGTACTTAAGTCCTTGATATGCTACAGAAAAATGCTGGAAAGGGCAGATGAAGCATGTTAGCATTGGAAAAAAAAGCTAGAGCTATCAGAAGTAAACTTCTTGGAGAAGTAGACCCTGAGATCCATTCACCGATCCAGAAAATAATTTTTGAGTGCCTGTTTTATTTTGTGCAGTAGTTGTGAGGGGCTGCAAAGATACGTGAGTAAAAAGCTTCATCTACAAGAGAAACATGCAAGCTAATGAGGAAGAAAGATAAGCAAATAATGTGATTATAGTCTTACCCAGGCTTCCCTTAACAGTGGTGGGAAAAGCTTGTGGGTGGATAATTTAGGTAAGAATGTAGTTCCAGAAAGAAGGCGTCTAGAACAAAGGAAATAAAATAGAGAACACCCAGTACAATGATGCTTCATTGACTCATCCACCTCCAGAATAGCACATGTTCAATCCTGTCAGGGACCTTCTGAAAAGCCTCTGAAATACACCTTAAAATTGTCTATCTGAGACATCAAAGGGGTAAACCACTTATTTTACAGCTCCTGATAGGCAGTGGCCAAGGGTGGCGCCATTGGCGCTATGATCTGTGGCTGCCCGTGAGTGGTGGGCTTTGTGGATGTCTTATGCTATGTCAGAGAAACCCTAAGCCAAGCAGCATGGAAGACTGTTGTCCAGTTATACTCGGATAAAGCACCACACAGAAGTGACAGTGTAAGTGTTGGAGAAGAAAGGATATTGAGGAACATAAAAGATGTCAATACAACAACTCTACAAAAGTCTTCCTTCCATACCCTAATAATAGCAAAATCTAAAACAAATGTATATGCTTTGATAGAGCAAATAACTCTCACATTTATTTAATAAATTTTGAAATTTAGTTTCATTTTGCCTTGACAGGTGACCACACAATAACTACTAATTCTCTAAGATAAGAATATTTTCTCTAGCTTTCTAAGAATTGGAATGTTATGAAATTAACCATTCATTTTGTTTGTGTACTCTACAGTTTACTTTCAAAATAAGCAAATCTGTGACATATGCCCTTACAACGTTTCATACCAATTCTTAAATAAAATATAATTTGAGTTTCGCAGTGAAGTTTTATATACATTTTTAAATAATAATTTGAGTTTCACAACACTGAAGTGAGAATTTTTAGTGTTTTCTAAGATAAGTATTCTTTACTTCTTAAAACATCACCTTTATATTTCAACTCAGAAACATGTCTTTAAATAATATAAGATTATCTTGCAGGGAGAAATATGTTCTACATTTTGTAGGAAGGTAGCACCTGAAATACATTCTCCCAAAAGGAAGGAAGAAAGGACTGACAAGAGAAAGTGGTTATTCCGTGAATATGGTACATCTTGGATTGAGGATTGATATTCGGTGAATGATGGCTGGCCCCGTAGGTCTATACAAAGCCAACTTCTGTGAAAAACAGTGTTGATGCTTCAACAGTGATTCCTATTCTTGGCTCCACATTAGAATGACCCAAGGAGCTCTTTGTGTAAAATGCTGATGTAAAGGACACCTCCTTAAAGCAATAAAACCGATGCTGACCTTGATTTACAATGTGCAGCTATAGTTGAGAGCCACTTGCCTAGAGGAGATCTTCTCAATCTTAATTCTGCATGGAACTTCATTGTATTTCTCACATATATCACATGTTCATGGGGGAAAAAATGAAAAAGAATTGTGAACTATAAAGTACTCCACATTTTACATACAAAAACATCCTGAATATATGTTGAGGTTAGCAGGAAGAAATCATCTCTTACTCCTTAAGATTGGAATCTACAGAGGGAAGAATACCTTATGTCTTAAAAATAATATTTTGGACACATAGCAAATTTCAAATCCAGCTTTATTTTTTGAAGAATTAAATGGGGGTCACAATATTTTTCCAGTAAACATTCCAGATATATATATATATATATATATATATATATATATATATATATATACACACACACACACATTAGCTGTGGTCAGAGTGATGACATGAGACTTTCTAAATACACAGCTCACGCACTGTACCGCTGGGGTAATTGGCCATTTATCTCATCGCATAATAGAAAATGCTCAGACATAAACCCATTATTATCCAAAAGGTATAATTGCTATTGAAGGCCCATGAAGAATCCACTCAGAGAGCAAAAACAGTCTGATCTTAATAGTGTGTACATAACACAGCCTACAGGCAGATTTCAAATTACCCCCGTGAAATCCCAACAAATTAAGAAAGAAGCATTCAGAATTACATAGTGAAACTTTCCTGTGTGGAAAGAAAGACTTGTAGGTTCTGATTCTTACCATTACCAGGAAGGGCATAGACTTGTGGTTGGGGAACAAAATTGACAGCCTGAGTTTAGGATTCTGTCAGACACAGGTGCTTTGTGGCATTTTGTGAGAAAGGAAGATTAGTTTGCTTTCAAAAGACTCTGTTTACTTTCCAAAGACTCAGTTTGCTTTCGAAAGACTCAGTTTGCTTTCGAAAGAACTGAGCTCAGTTTGCTTTCAAAAGAACTGCTTTCTGAATTCCTATACACCACCCATTTATGAATTATCTATCACTAGATTTTTATCAAAATCTGACAACTTGTTGAAATGTTGTATTTCCTGGTGAGAACACTTCTTTGTATAAGAAATTGGAGAGTTTTCTCCACTTATATAAAAATGGCACTCCTTTTAGTTGTCCCAACATAATGTCTTTCTCATTTAGTAAGCAAGGTATTAGACCTTATTAGTTATTGATTATTAGAGAACAAAGTATTTCAAAAGTTAGTGACTTAGAACAACACAAGTGTGTCGTCTCACAATGTCTCTGGTTAGGAACCTGGGCACAGGTTAACTGGGTTCTCTGACCATAATCATGTTAAGGCTTAACAGGAAAATATTCCACTTTCAGCTCTTGCAGTTGCTGGCAGAATTCAGATTTGATTTCTTTTAGGTTGGTGGGCTAATGGATAGGTTGATGGACTTGATGACAGTTTGACAGAGGTCTCTATTTGTTCTTTGCTGTGCTAGCTTCTGACACATGGCAGCATGCATCATGAAAGTGTTTAAGTCAAAAAAGTAGTAGAGGTTGCCTGCTACCAAGAGAGTGGCTACATACCTTTCAGACCCAATCATGAAAGTAGCAGTTCATCATTTTTTGTATGTCATTTATTAGAAGGAAGTCTTTAGGTCCTATCCACACACAAAGAGGGAATTATAACATGGGTGTGACAGTTCAGGAGGTGGCGTTGTTAGGAGTTCTCTCAGAAGCAGCTGAGCCCTTAAACCTGCCACATAAGAATGAAAAGGTATTCAAAGAGATAATGAGTCCCAGGCATTGTACACACTTCTGAGTAGAGAATAACCAATCAATCAATACAGCATACTGGACCAATATCCATTGCGTTTTTTAATAGTTCTTTCTCAGTGTTACAGGGTAGGTTTAAGCAAAGTTATTTTAAAAATACTGGAAAATTATTTCCGCTGCTTTTCTTATCCTTTCACATGATATAATACTCCATATGGCAATTAGATTTACTTACACCTCTTAAAAAGTTTTGCTGTTAATAGAATAACAGAAACAAAATAATTTTGTTTTGTTTGTTAAACTTCCAGGAATGATAAATCCATATCAAACTGTATGAGATAAAGTTTCATAATGGAAGAGAGAAAGTTTCGTAGTGGAAGAACTGTACAGTTCTTTGCTGCCTGTATTTTTAAATTAAACTTAGATTTTTAATAAGATATTCTGATTATTTAAAAGATGTTCAGCTCTGGTGGCTCATTGGGCATGGTGGCTCATGCCTGCAATCCCAGCATGTTAGGAGGCCGAGGTGGGCAGATTTCTTGGGCCCAGGAGTTCAAGGCCAGCCTGGAGAACATGGAAAAACTCCATCTTTACTAAAAATACACAAATCAGCTGCACATGGTGGCATGTGCCTGTGGTCCCAGTGGCTTGGGAGGCTGAGGAAGGAGGATTACCTGAGCCTGTGCAGTTGAGGCTGCAGGGAGCCAACATCATGCCACTGTGCTACAGCATGGACATCAGAGTGACACACTGTCTCAAACAAACAAACAAAAATATGGTCACAATAGAAAATATCAAAATGTATAGAGGCAAACAAACTTCTACAACAGAAAACAAAATCACTGTGTACATTTTTAACAAATTTGTTGAGATATAATTCCCACACCACACAATTAACCTGCATAAAGTCCACATTTAGTGGTTTTAAATGAATTCATGGAATTGTGCCACCATCAACACAACCAATATTAGTCCACTTACATTTTAACATACAAACCCCTATCTTTTTGGCCCATGCATTCGTATATATATATATATATTAGCTTTACATAATATATTATGAGCATTTCTCATATTCATGAATGTTCTACAAGAGTATGATTTACAATAAGTACACAGTAATTAAAAAAAGAAATCTTACTTCTTTGATTATTTATTCTCTGCCAAACACTTTATTGAGTAATGGATTGTGCCATTTAGTCTTCACAATAATCTTATGAAATAGGTACTGTAATTTTTAAAGAATTGGAGATATTATAGAAGGCTAAATTTCTGGACCACAGTGACATGCTCAGGAAGTAAGTGGGTGGGTGGGATAAAGGGGTCTAACTCATCTTTCTTTTTTTTTTTTTTTTTTTTTTGACACTGAGTCTCAACTCTGTCATCCAGACTGGAGTGTAGTGGTACAATTTCAGCTTACTGTAAACCCTGCCCCCAGGCTCAAGTGATTCTTCTGCTTCAGTGTCCTGAGTAGCTGGGACGATAGGAGTGCACTACCACAGCTGGCTAATGTTTTCTATTTTTTTGTATAGAGATGGGGTTTTACCATGTTGGCCAGGTGGGTCTTGTATTCTTGGACTCAGGATCTCTGCCTAGGCCTCTCAAAGTTCTGGGATTACAGATGTGTGGCACTGACTCATCTTTCTTAAAACATAGGTCTCAGTTAAGTTGACTGACCAAGCCCATAGTGTTGAATATTAAAATTGTTTCCAGTTTTGAGATATGATTTTCATATTTGTAATCTATTGCTACATTAAAACATCCCCTTAAAACTTAGCAACTTAATTATTGACATCACAGGTTCTGTGTGTCAGGAATCCAGGAGCAGATGAGCTGAGTCCTCTGGCATAGGGACTCCTATAAAGTTGCAATTAAATGTCATCTGATATCAGGGGAACCCACCCCCCATATTTCAACGTAGTTTCTTTCTATTTTTGGTTAAGTGTCGGCCAGCTGAGAAATAAAGAGAAAGAATACAAAGAGAGGAATTTTACAGCTGGGCCACAGGGGTGACATAACGTGTTGGTAGTATGGTGATGTCCGCCTGAGCCTCAAAAGTAGCAAATTTTTATTAAGGAATTCAAAAGGGGAGGTGGTGTACGAACATGGAGTAGGTACAAAGATCACATGCTTAAAAGGCAAAAAAGCAGAACAATGATCACATGCTTCTGAGGAAACAGGACAAGGGCAAAGCAGAACTCCTCATAAAGGTATATGTTCGACAGTACACATATTGTCTTGATAAAAATCTTAAACAACAGAAAAAAGTGTTCCAGAGCAGAAAACCTGTCTGACCACAAATTTACCAGGGTGGAGTTTCCAACCCTAATAAGCCTGAGGGTACTGCAGGAGACCAGGGCGTATCTCAGTCTTTATCTCAACTGCATAGGACAGGCATTCCCAGGGCAGCCATTTATAGACCTCCCCCCAGGAATGCATTTCTTTCCCAGAGTTTTAATATTAATATTCCTTGCTAGGAAAAGAATTTAGTGATACCTTCCCTACTTGCACATCCATTTATAGGTTCTCTGCAAGAAGAAAAATATGGCTCCTTTTGCCCAACCCCTCAGGCACTCAAACCTTATAACCATAAGGTCTTCCCTTGTTCCCTAAAGTTTTCTATTATTCTGTTCCTTTTCAAGGTGCACTGTTTTCATTTGTTCAAACTCACATGTTTTACAATCAATTTGTACAGTTAACACAATTATCACAGTGGTCCTGAGATGATGTATATCCTCAGTTTATGAAGATAAAGGGATTAAGAGATTAAAGACAGTCATAAGAAATTATAAAATTATTATTTGGGAACTGATAATTGTCCATGAAATCTTCATAATTTAAGTTCCTCTGCTGCAGCTCCAGCTAGTCCCTCCATTTGGGGTCCCTGACTTCCTACAACAATCTGAGTCTGGGGTTTTATGTGAAAACTTGACTGGACAAGAGTCTGCTTCCAGGCACACTGATGTTGCTTTTTGCCAATCTCAGTTCTTTACTAGCTGTTGTCCAGAGATGGCAATTCTTTTACATGTGGTCTTTATTGTAGGACATCTCCAATGGTTACAAAAGGTGTCCCTCAGAGGAAGCAGGTGAATGGTGATTCACAAGATAAAATTCTAATCTCAGTAGTGATGGCCCATTTTTTGCTGTATTCTGGTAGAAGTAACTTCCTTGGTGCAATCCAAGCTGAAGGGAAGGACCTGCATGAGGTTGTAAATTTCGCAAGTGGAAAATAATTTGGGGACCCTCATAGATGCTGCTTATCATAACAACTAGTGAATATTTGTTTCTTGTGGGGAGGGCAGAGTTATGTATATAAATTTGGGGGTACAAATGAAATTACATGCATAGACTGTATAATTGTCAAGTTAGAACTTTTTGAGTATCCATCACCTGAGTAATGAACATTGTACCATTAAATAAGTTTTATCATTCATCTCCCTTCCATCCACTCACCCTGCCAAGTCTCCATTGTCTATCATTCTATTGTCTAAGTTCATCTGTACCCATTTTTAGCACCTACTTATGAATAAGAACATGTGCTATTTGTCTTTCTGTGTCTAGCTTGTTTCACTTCAGCTAACAAACTCCATGATCCTGTTTCCATCCATGTTAATGCAAACAACATAGTTTCATTATTTTTGTGGCTGAATAGTACTGCATTCTATATATATATATACCAGGTTTTGTTTATCCTATATTTGTAAATATTTATGTATGGATGTGATTGTTGTATTAGTCTCTTCTTATGCCACTAATAAAGACATACACGAGACTGGGTAATTTATAAAGGAAAGAGGTTTAATAGACTTACAGATCCATGTGCCTGGGGAGGCCTCAAAATAATGGCAGAAGATCATGAGGAGCAAAGTCATGTTTTACATAGTGGCAGGCAAGAGAGCTTGTGCAGGAGAACTCCCATTTATAAAACTATCAGATTTCATGAGACTTATTCACTACCATGAGAACAGGAAACTATGACTACGATTCAACTATCTCCACCTGGCCCTGTGCTTGACACATGGAGATGATTACAACTTGAGGTGAGGTTTGGGTGGGGACACAGCCAAACCATATCAGTCATTTAGAGATAAAAACATACAAAGTGTGTGTGTGTATGTGTGTTTAATATGAATTCATATTGTAGGTTGCCAATCCATGATCCATTTAATCTTCTTTTTAATGTCACCCATATTTTTATTTAGTATCCACCATTTATCCACATTGGCCACATACCTCAATAGAGGCTAAACCTGACCCTAGTGCTCTGCTGAATCTCAGTTTGTTTAAACTGGTCAGCACATGGAGGACATAAGACCCAAGTAGTCCAATTGGAACTAATATTGGGATTATGGCTCATCATGCATAGGTAGGAGCACTTCTCTTCTATGAACACAGTGACGTGTGCTTGTGATAGCTGGTATGCAACAGCCACTTTGGCAGTATGAAAGAGAGCAGGCTGAAAATGCAGCCAACTCCCTGCAAAAGGAAGACCAAAAGAATTTCACAAAAAAATGGAGAAGAAGTTATTAGTTAAATCAACCCTCAAAATTGTCCTACATCTGAATTTCAGCTACATGCATCAACATACATTGCTTTTTTAAAAGTCAGTTGGAGTAATATTTTTCCATATTTCTTTCCATCCAAAATTGTCTTACTAATGAATAATGTTGTAAGAAGTGGTTTGCCATAATTCACACATCTAATACGTTTAGCTGGTTGAATGAATGATGAAGAGAGAAATAATTAAGAACTCCACTATTCTGAGATGTTAGTTTGATTATTATTAATAAGTAGTTACAAAACACTAGTTAAATTATCACCAATTATTTCTCAGGATGCAGTTTCTGGGCTATCAAGGTGTAGGGCAGCTGAAAGGCAAAATGTAGGGTGTTGGAGTGAATTAGCTACTTTCTGATGTTCTCAGCAAACTTAAAATCAAGAGACAGGATTTTCCTAAAATTGGGCCATCTAAAATCAGAGGTGGGAAATACAGACTTTGTAAGAGAAGTCCATTATGCCTATCTAATATAATTCAAAGTATCTTGAAAGATCCAAATTCTCTCTCAACCCCAAGCTACAGTTTGCAATAGATGTCCACTACCATGCCCCCTTCAGTTCTGCCCCATCTGTTCTTTTGTCTTTTCTGAGTTAGAAATGAACCACTCTATTCTTCAAGCTACTGAGGTCAAAAATAGAGGGAGTCATCCCTATCTCATTTCTTTCTTACAAATTCTTCAGCCAGGGTCAAATCAAATCCAAACCTTGACCCCTTCTCCCCACATTCTCCATCCCAACCTGATCCAAGTCTTCGTCACTTCTATCCCAGGTCGTGCAGGCAACCTGCCGACGGCAGCTTATTGACAACTCAGCAGGCAGGTGGGTTTTTTGCAAATGTAGATCGTGGGACTGTGTCACTTTTCTGCTTAAATCTCTTGAATGGTTTCTCATTTTGATCAAAATAAAAATTAAACTTCTAATTCTATAACCTTTCTGGTCTTATTCCAAATTCCTTGTGTTGCTCATTCTAGTCCAGCCATAAAATCTTCCATAGTCTTTTGTAACGTCATTAATTATATATAGCCTCCTGTTCTATGAATTAGCACTTGCTAATATTTTCAACCTGGGTTGCCATTTCCTATATATCTGCATGGTTGCCCTATTAGATGTGAATGATAAATTGTACCCCGATTTGTTTCAGGTCTCTATTTAAATGTCATCTAATTCAAAATATTTTTCTTGGGTTCCTTTTCTAAAATAACAACTTCTTCCCCATCCACTGTCTAACTATGCCATTTTATCCTATGCCACTTTTCTCTGTATCTGTGATCATCTCTAGATAGATGTTATATCTGTTGATATGGTTTGGCTGTGTCTCCACCCAAACTCATCTTGAGTTGTAGTTCCCATAATCTCCACATGGCATGGGAGGGAACCTGTGGGAGGTAATTAAATCATGGCTGCAATTACCTCTATGCTGTTCTTGTGACAGTGATTTCTCATGAGATCTGAAGGTTTTATAAGGGGCTTTTCCCCCTTTTGATTTGCATTTCTTGCTGGTGCCATGTGAAGAAGGCTATGTGTCCTTCCCCTTCTGCCACTATTGTAAGTTTCCTGAGGCTTCCCCATTCCTGCAGAACTGGGAGTCAATTAAACCTCTTTCCTTTATAAATTATCCAGTCTTGAGTATTTCCTCATAGCAGTGTAAGAACTAACTAATACATCTGTTCATTTGTTTTCAAATATGTGATTCCCCCAGCAGCATGGGTGATGTTATGACAAAGATTGTGTCTTATTTTCTCTTATTTCTCCAGCACAGGGAATAGAGCTTTTGATATACTTTGGCACTCAAAAATATTTTTAAGTAAAGAAAAATTTTCTAAATCTCAGTATCCACTTCTCCAAACATCTTACACAAAAAGGAAGGTCATTCTAACACTCTTTTCCAAATGAATAGCTCTTACTCATATTGTGTGCCAACCAGATCCTGTGGAGAGGTGAAAGTTCTAAGGCACCTGGAAAGGACAGCTTCCACAGGTCACTTGCAAGCAAATTCTTTGCAGGCCTCCCAGAAACAAGGACATGCCAATCATAACTTCAGTATACAATCAATCAAAATCTAGCTCCTAACACTACACATTGATAATGTTCACTACAAGCTTACCTCCCAGATGCAAAGTCAAGACTTTTTCCTCCACCTATGCAGAGATGTCTGCATAATTGACTCTTCCTTTCCAACATTATCCATTCAGACTTCCACCTCAGCATACGGAATATGTAGTATTTGTCTAACCTCCTACCTGCCCCTCTTCCTCCATTCCTCCACACCTTTAAGGAAATGTATAAATACTAAACTTCCCGAAAACTTCTTTGGAAAAACAGCCACAGATGTGTCTGTGGCTCGTGTTTTTCCCAGACATTCCCCCAGAGATTGAGATGTATGCCCATCACTCATGTTATTCGTCAGGAGAAGAAGCAGCTGTTGATGCCTTTATTAGAGAAAATGTTGACACAGAAAACAAACCTGTCCCAATATACCAGTGCATATTCAACTTAGTACAGGTTATAACATGGGAGGGGGATGTTTAAAGCTCTGCAGGTGATTTGAATAACAGCTGAGGTTGAGAATCACTACAAAATGTTCTCTCCCTGCCAAGGAATATGACCAAGTTCTTTGTGATGTAACAGGCTGGATAAAGAACTGGGCTCAGGGAAGAGTATTCCACTGGAGAATCTCATTTCAAATTTTCCAGAGTCTGGAGTCAATATTAGTATTGACCATCATTCAACAGAATGGTTGGAGTATTGGGTAGTCTATGCACACCCACAGAGAATTGCATCTAAGAGATGGAGATTCTGAGACTCAACAATCATGAAGAGATCTCCTCTATTTTCAGCCCTTTGGGTGACTTGAAACATGCTAGACTTAAGGTAATTGTGTCACAAAAGTATGACCAAGCTTTGCCAGCACCCCTCTTCATTGGCAGCTCAAGATTTAAGATGGTCATCTCTTTACTCTTTCCACATCTAGTATCCCATACTTCCAGTCTTATTTCCCAATATCCTCTTCCCAAAGGGACATGCAAATTGCAGTTCTCTTTTTTCCTCCCCACTTTGGCCTATAGAAAGACCTAATTGCCCACTTACAATGTATAGCATTGACCTTGCCACCTGACATTTACCAACATTGTCCATTACTTTTATTTCATTTCATTCCAATTATGAAAAATAGATTAAGAGATGGCATTGTTTTGATTTTGCTTTTCTTGAATAGTTGAGATAGTGAACAGCTGATAGACTTATTTGCCTGTTTCTTACTTTTTGATCCCACTTTTATTAAGACTTTTATTTGCTATGGAGTTACTAAAGCCTTCTTTCTTCCATTTTACTTTTATATTTTTGTAGAGACAAGGTCTCACTATGTTGCCCAGGTTCTCAAACTCATGGCCTCAAGTAATACTCCTGCTTGACCTACCAAATCACTGGCATTATAGGCTTTATCAAAGAAGATCAAGCCTGGCCAAAGTAGAGACCTCTTTCTATCAGCCAATGTGGGGTATTGTTATAGAGCCAGAGCATCTGGTCACTGTTATGTAATGGTTTGTCTGTCTTATGAGGCACAAGACTAGCAAAAATGTGTGGCCATGTTTGCATTCCCTGAGTAACAAGCAAGCAAGTTCTTTTATGCTCTTTCGCTATAAATGACTTCAAAGATTTATTTGGAAACTTGGAATGATACTTGCCTGAGTAAAGGCCTAAACGCATTTTACATAATATGAGCTGGCACTCACTTGCCCAGCAAAAGCTATGGAAAGATTCATATCAGTTGCTTTTGGAAAAGTTGTCCTCATATTCTCTTGGAGGATCTAGGTGGAAGGCCAATATCCGCCTCTTTGTCATTTGCACAGTCATCAATATTCAGTGAGCCATACAATTGGAAGGAGTGTAGAAGCTTCAGATAATTAAAGTTTCTCATCTTCAGAGGGAAGGCTGAATGAACATATATTTTGTTGGGCAGTAACAACGGATAAGGGCAAATAGAACATTTGACCAGTCTGTCCTTAGAAAATTAAAAACAAAAACTATGTATGATCCAGACTAATGGTAAATAACTTATATTCCATGGACCCAGACTGTTTTGTAATTAAAATGTTATTAGACCACAGCCATGCCCACCCACTTAGAGACTGTGGATACACATTTTTCCACTACCTGACTCTTTATAGAAAAAGTTTGCCAACTTCTTGTCTAGATGAGAAAGGGAAGAGATAGGTATAATGTTAGCAAACACTAAGGCAGAATTATATGTTGCAAATAGTTGTGCTGGTCCTCATTTTGCATTCATATTTGCATATGGATTATGTTGGTTGTAGTATATTGGTACATTTTATATAGTTTATAAATCTACAAATATATAAACGACTTTATACAGTTTATCAACCTGTAAATCTTTACAATGATGGGTTCTTTCTATGGTTTTATAGCTAAGAAAGTTTATTCTAAACATGGAATTAGATAATATTAATGTTTGTTATTTTATGCTTGTATTGGAGCTTTCTCTTCTTTGTTTATGTGACTTAGGAAAAAACATTTTAGACATGCAAAATATACATAGAAAATTTTTATATCTAAGGGTCACCAGCATTATGAAATGAGCTAGGAAGATTTTACATTTACATTTTTGAAAGAGTTTATGAAGTTAATGTATTTTCTTTATTGAAATTTTACTAAACTTCACCTATAAAACTGACCAGGCATAGTGCTTTTTGGAAGGGGCAGAACATATTTTTGACTGCTATTTCAACACAATGGAGTCCCTGGTCACAGTTACCAAAATAGTCAAAGAATAGTCTATATCCATAGAACATTATGAGATGTGAAGACAGAAAACAGTAATGGAATGTCTGAGGTCCATGAGAGGTGGAAGAAACATGTCCTGTATATAATATCACATTTTCCATTCAATCTTGTGTGGTATATTGCAGTTACAAAGAGAAAGCTATATTGGAGTTTCACAGCTGGCCCTAACAGTTTAACCTTAGGGGATAGATTCTGAACAGTCCTAGTTTCTCTTAGCAAAATCAATTAATTCTCTGGACCAGATTTTTTGGGGTGGTACAATTGGTGGGTAAACAAAACCACACTACTCAGTTTAAACTTGTCTTCCTGACACAACTTAAAACTTAACAAATTTTTTTTATTATCAAACGCTTGCTAATGAGTATAATAAGCTGTTTGTCACATGGATGGCCCCAAGGATTGGATTGTTTCTAGGGTTATTTTGACATACAAATATGAAAAGAGGTGTCTTTAAATATTTCTCCCACCTAAAAATACATGTTTTCAGTCAGAAATTTCACACTGTAGAGTTGATTAATGATTAGCAAATACCATCAGTTCCCTATTCAAGAAATTTCAGGATAGGCGGTTGATGCCAGTGAATGATATTTTGTGAGCAAACTTTCCACATTAATTAGGTGGTAGTGCTTTTACAATTTTACCATTTTTAATCTATCCTTGTAAAAAAGTTGATGAGTAAGACACAGATTTGTTGTATATCATTTCATAGCAGGTGAGAGGTAAACATGGTAAGTAGAGTGTTTGCCATCAGATAACAAAAGACGGGCAATCCACTCCTGATTCCAGAAATATCAGACTGCTTCCTAAAGCGAAGAGACCATGAGAAAATTACCTTCTTTGGAAAGTAGCATTTCATACAATACAATACAATACAATACAATACAATACAATACAATACAATACAATACAATACAGTACAATACAGTACAATACAGTACAATACAGAAAAAAAGATCATTTTTGAATATTTTCCTGAAACATACTAAAAAAAAAAAAGTCTCCTGAACTTAGAAACCCTTCTCAGAAATAACCAGCTATCTAAACGAGATTTGCTATATAACTTGCGTATTTCTATGCCTTCTCTTTCACTCTTTGGCCTTCAAATACACATTTGTTGTTCTCAAATTCTATTGTCAATCTTAGGAAGACTGAAACAATAGGTAACAAGAAAATGAAATATAATTTTGCATTTGAAATTCAGCAAGGTCTATCCATACTGTAATAGCTGCCTTCATTGTAATTAATATATCATATGGGTGATCACTGAAGAGACAGAATTTAGTTATATGAAAATCACAGGAATCCCTATCTACTGCCTCAACTAGGGAGACTCAGTCTATGAAAGGGACTTTAAAAAAAGTCAGTTCTTATTGTAGTATGTGGTGTGCTGTCAATCTTTTCTAGAGACACTGCTCTTTGGTCTAATAAAACATCGTATTTTATCTATTGTTCTTTGCCCATGTTTTAGTAACAAATCATGAGGGCAATCCTATTGCTCCATTTAAACTTGCACCATATAATAAAACTACTTTCTTAGGGGGCACCCTGCGTTGGATATTGGATATATGAATATACCGTGCTCCAAGAGATTCAGACTTTGGATAATTCTGTCCTATCCTGGAAGTTAAAATGATGGTATCTCATTACAGAATCAGCTGTGACTGTAATGTGGCTTATTTAAAGGGGTCACTTATTCTTTGCATTTAGCAGAGTTCCTCACAGTCAGAGGCAAACCACCTACTTCCTGTGAATCAATACCATCGTATAAAATTTTTAAAGCTCCCAATTTGTAACTCATCTTGTTCATTGTCATGTATAGATTAAGCAGACTTTGCTATCCATGACCCCAGTCCCTCCTTCATCCTGACGGTATATTAAAGTCAGTTTCTGAAGCAAATGATCTGAGTTTAGAGTTGAAAAATTGCATCTTCATCCTAGATTTTACAAAAATTCATGGCAAGGTCATCATCCCTCAAGTCTTCCTGGAACAATGCTGTTTAGCAATTTTGGTCCCAAAGCCTTATTTGTTAAATCATTCAAAATATCAAAATTGTACTTTTGCTCCTAAGACTTAAATTCTGGGAAGTGTACCAGGAGTCAGTTAGTCATAGTCATTTACAATTGCTAAATGATTTTATTTGAGAGTAAATCTGATAGCTTTGAGAAAACATACAAATGGAAATCCAGAGAAGAGACTTTGTACAGAAAAACAACTATTTCACAAGGAACTGTGCCTGATCAAATGATATTAAAGCAACTTGTCAATGAGAATGTGCCTCTTTCCTTTCTTCTTTATGGGCTGCTTTAGAAATAGTTTCAGTTTAAGAATCAATTAGATTGATTAGTCCATTTTCACACTGCTACTAAAGATATGCCTGAGAGTGGGTAAATTATAAGGAAAAAGAGGGTTAATGGACTCAAAATTCCACGTGGCTGAGGAGGCCTCACAATTATGGTGGAAGGTGAATGAAGAGGAAAGTCACATCTTACATGGTGGCAGGCAAGAGAGAATGAGTACCAAGTGAAAGGGCTTTCCCTTTATAAAACCATCAGATATCATGAGATTTATCCACTACCATGAGAGCAGTATGGGGGGAACTGTACCCATGATTTAACTATCTCTCACCAATCCCTCCCTCAACACATGGGAATATGGTAGCTAAAATTCAAGATGAGATTTGGGTAGGGACAAAATGTCTTCTCATCCTCAAATTCAAATGTTGCTGTATCCAAATATTCCCTGTTTTTCTGGGTTCAAACCAAATGTCACTTCATTAAACACAGAGCCATAATTTTCTTTCAGAGATAATCTAATTTAGATACATGCACTTGTATGTTTATTGCAGTACTATTCACAGCAGCAAACACATGGAGTCAACCCAGGTTCCCGTCACTGGTGGATTAGGTAAAGAAAATGTGGTGCATATGGGCCATGGAATATTACATAGTCATAAAAAATAACAACATCATGTCCTTTGCAGCAACGTAGTTGTAGCTAGAGGTCATTATCCTAAGTCAATTAACAAAGGAATGGAAGACCAAATGCCACAGGTTTTCACTGATAAGTGGGAGCTAAACATTGGGTATTCATGGGCATAAAGATGGGAACAGTAGACACTGGTAGTTACTAAAATAGGGAAGGATGGAGGGTGGTGATAGTAAAAAAACTAGCTGTTGGGTACTCTGCTCAATACCTGGGTGGGGAGATCAATTGTACCCTAAGTATGCTATATATCCAGGTAACAAATCTGCATATGTATGCCCTGAATCAAAAAAAAAAGTTAAAATTACTGATAAAAAGTAAACTTTTTTCTCTAAAATCCAATATGCTGCTATTTGTTTTTTGCAAATTACATGCTCCATACTTTATCTTGTATAACATCTTTTTGTGTGTTTGCTTTTTAATCTTAATTATATTGTCAGTTTCTATTTTTCATTTTAGAACTTCCAGGATATTGTACTGCATGCAAGAGGTACAAAGACAAATATCTGCTTAATGAATTCATAATTTCCCTCAATAGACCCTCACATATAAATTTGGATCAACCAGTAATTATCATGAAGTTTCTCAAATATCATCAGGCCATATAAATAATTGAAGAAGTCTACATCACAAAGAGTTCCTGCTATCATTATGCAAGCGCTCTCTCCCTGCAGTGATGAAATTACACACTTTAGATCAACCTAGGAGGAATTCAAACATTAGCAAATTCATGAGATGTGTTTCTGTTTTCACCTCAGCACTCAATTTAGCTGTGTCAGTATGGTCTTTGCTTGACTCACAATGCCATTACTTTATGCCATTTACAAGGCTGGTCACTCCATTTTGCAAAATGCTTGTGAAATATAGGCTTTCATGCAAAAGGCATTAATAAGAGCAGAAGTCTTCATCTAAGACAAGCAATTTTAGTCCTTAACAGTAACAGGGTAAGCAATGGTTAACAAATTTGCTAATTGTTTTTCCATTCTTTGGAGCTTTATGTGATCTTTTATTAAAGATACTGTAATTAAGGGGAAAAAATGAATGGCCATTTTTCAATATTTATCTTCTTTTTGTTTCATTTCTCTTTTTTTCCTACAGTGAACCAAAACTATGAAGGAAGGAAGGAAAGGAGGAAGGAAGGAAGGAAGGAAGGAGGGAAGGAGGGAAAGAAGGAAGGAAGGGAGGGAAGAAAGAAGGAAGAAAGGAAGGAAGGAAAGAAGGGAGGGAGAGAGGGAGCAGAAAGGACGAAAAAGAGAAAACTGGGGCATACTTTCTTAACTTTTTTTCTTTTTTGAAACAGGGTCTTATTCTATTACCCAGCTGGGTGCAGTGGCATAATCTCAGCTCACTGCAGGCTCAACCTCCTGGACTCAAGCTATCCTCCTGCTTCAGCCTCCCATGTAGCTGGGAATACAGGTGTGTATCATCATATCTTGCTGATTTTTGTATTTTTTTGCACAGACCGGGTCTCACCACATTGCCTAGGCTGGTTTTGAACTCCTGGACAGAAGTGATCTACCCACCTTGGCCTCCCAAAGAGCTGGTAATACTGGCAGGAGCTGCCAAGCCCAGTCAGGCTAAATTTAAAATATGGTTCAGTTAGACTCTCTTTTGCACCACAAGTAAACTAGATAGTTTGTTAGCCTTTCTCACTAAGTAAATAACACATTCACGTGCTTGACACAATGCAAAAATCCTGGAAGTTATTCATGTATCAACGTTAAATCCCCCAAAACACCCCAGACACACTCAAATGCCCACATGCTGTCACTTCACCCAAGCTGCTATTATGTCTTAAAGGGAGTTCCTAGTGGTCATAGCAGGGCTGTTTTCAAGCAGCTCCAGCAGTTATCAGCATTCAACTGTTAGGAATCCCCTGCTTCACTGGGCTTACCATAGAATGTAGGATGTAAACTAAGCTCCACTTTGAAGTCTATGAGGACTGTGTGACTGCCTTCTTTCCTACTTTTCACCCTAAGTCTAACCATGTCTCCTTCACTGTGATCCTGCAACACCAACCTTCTCTCTCTCTTTCCTGAAACCATAAAGCTAATGCATACCTCAGGGCCTCTGATTCTTCCAGCCACTGGCTAGCTATCACAGCCCTCAGATCCTCCTGGGATGCCGTCTCCTTACCACTGAGTTTCAGGTACCATCTTCAATGACTGACTGACCTAAATTTTCCTTTGGAAATTTTTCTTTGTCTCTCCTTACCTGGGTTTATTTTCTTTAACTACATTCAGCTTATCTAAAAGAGGCTTGATCACATACTTTTCTGTTCATCTCTTGCTAGATAACTCCACATTCAGTAAAATATAAGATCTGTGAAAGTATAGACGTCCTCTGTTTTCTCATCATTGTGTCCTATTACCTAGAGGATGCTTGGAGCTTGGGTAGGGACATGCAGTGAATAATTGTTGAAATAATTATTTGCTTTCCCCTAGACTCCATTTAATTGTCATTGTGCCCATTTGTATGCATAAAGCATTTATCTAAATACACATTCAAAACATGGTATCACTCTTGTAAGTCAGTTGAATGTGTATTGAGACATCGCCTACGAAATGTAAATAAATGCTGTTTGATTCTTCAGGGTTTCCTCACGCAAGAGCTAAAGGAAAACATCTCCCCTGAAGTTTTGCTGAATAATAAGCTCTCAAAAGGCAGATTAATTGCAAAAAAATGTATACAAATTTTATTAACATGTATGTGGGTTCATTCAGAATGAAAACCCAATGACACAGTGAAACCGTATTTTTTTTGCTTAGGTTCAATGAAGTATGGAGAGTTGTATAGAAATAGGATTGGATAAAAAGGGTCTGATCTTATGCTGATGATCTGATGGGGGAAACCTAGCCAGGTCTATCTGTCTAGATTCTTCTTGGGATCTCTGAGGAGCTCTCTCTTTCTTTTAGGTGTGGGGGCAGGACCCTCTCTGGAACAAGGGTCTTAGGACCTACAGTCAGGCAAGGTACATCAGGTCATTTCTTCATGGCCAATTTTTACACCAAAAGGTGGGTGTGAGTAGACTCATTTATTTAGGCTTTATGGCTGGCTGTGGGGAAAAGGGATTCTGGTTTCCAGAGCATGCCTTGAGGAAGAGGGATTAAGGTTTCAATGGCACCTCAGGAGAGAATGGAACTGAGAGACAGGAGGGCAGGAGAAAAACTTTTGCTTTTGCAGCTGTTGCTGAGGTCTGCGTGTAGGGGTATTGTTTGCTGATCCCTAGACACTCATTAAGTGGCTAGTCTGTTCATGTGAACCATTCTCATGTTGTAGCCTAAATCATGGTGGAGCTACAGTAATTAATAAGTCACTCAACCTAAGTTGCAATCATCATTTTCCCCCTCTAAGTTAAACTGAGTTTCAAGATTTGCTTTTTAGAAATGGTGCATAGAATTTCATTAAAACAGAACTATTTTACCAGTAGGGTGTTATTTGAACTTCCATCATTAGAATTGATACTAGATAATTGCATCACACTGACATCCAAGTGTTCAAAAAGGTAAAAGACATAGGATTGTACTCCTTGAGTGTGCAGTTACTGGGGACATACATTTGCATAAGCTATTACAGAGATTCCTTTGTGGTGGAAATTAACTTGCAATTTTTTTCAATGACTATTTCATCTGCTAAGGTGTCAAATCTCTTTTTATTCTCTGCATGCTACAAGTAAGTAGAGCAGGCCTGGTGTGATTCCTTCACTTATGGTGGGCAGTTAGCAGCCTGTCCAGTTTCACATACCCAATAAAAAGCGTCAGCCTGGAGGTGGATCAATAACTAATTTAACCTCACACCTAATTCTTTTAATGATGTATCAATCACAGCCCCTTAAAACACCTGTATCAGATGAAAATCTACAGCTGCAGATTGAATTTAATTAATTTATGCAGCATTCATTTTACCTTAATGAACACCCCTCTACGTGGCCTGAATGCTTACGAGTATACATAAATTGCAGTTCCAATTTTCTCTGTCCATGAAAAGTAAAGACAAGCAAAACAAAGTAAAAAATAATTATCCAACTGTTAATGATAGGTGATGTTTTCTTTTAATCATGGGATGGAGGTGGGAAAAGAAAAGCAGGAAGAAAACTTCAAAAAAACACCTGAATAGATGTAATCACCTGTGTTAATCAATGTGTGAGACATTTTAAATATTTTACCAGATGTGGTCTTCGAGAAAAGTCTGTGAAGAGGGAAATAGATTCTTACATAGGGAAAGTGGTTTCTACCCAAGATGACTTGGTTTGGAATGGATCACTTTTTCTTTCCATTATGCTGTAATGCTACCCTTTGAAGCTGATGGCTGGCCTGATTAAACCCACCAAATGTCACCTGTGTTGCTTACTTATAACTGCCTATGTCTAGTTAGTCTTACTTAAAAGTGAGAACCTTCCATACTTGATTTTCTGTTCCTGCATCAGTTTGATAAAGATAATGACCTCTTCCTCCATCTGTGTTCCTGCAAAAGACAAGATCTCTTTCTTTTTTATGGCTGTATAACATCCCCTGGTGTATTATGGTATATACTATATTTTCTTTATCCAATCTGTTATTGATAAACATTTAGGTTGATTCCATGTCTTTGTTATGGTGAATAATGCTGCAATGAATATTCATGTGCATGTGTCTTTGTGGAAGAATGATTTATATTCATCTGGGTATATACCAAGTAATGGGATTGCTGGGTCAAATGGTAGTTCCGTTTTTAGCTCTTTGAGAAGTCACTATACTGCTTTCCACAATGATGGATTTAATTTACGCTCTCTCGGATACTGTGTAAGTGTTCTCTTTTCTTTGAAACCTCACCAGCATCTGCTATTTTTTGACTTTTTTTTTTTTTTTTTTTTTTTTTTTTTTGAGACGGAGTCTCGCTCTGTCCCCCAGGCTGGAGTGCAGTGGCGCAATCTCGGCTCACTGCAAGCTCCGCCTTCCGGGTTCACGCCATTCTCCTGCCTCAGCCTCCCGAGTAGCTGGGACTACAGGCGCCCGCCACTACGCCCGGCTAACTTTTTTTTGTATTTTTGGTAGAGATGGGGTTTCCCCGTGTTAGCCAGGTTGGTCTCGATATCCTGACCTGGTGATCCGCCCGCCTTGACCTCCCAAAGTGCTGGGATTACAGGCTGAAGCCACCGCACCCAGCCATTTTTTTGACTCTTTAATAACAGTCATTTTAACTGGTGTGAGATGGTTTCTCTTTGTGGTTTTGATTTGCATTCTTCTAATGATCAGTGATATCAATTTTTTTTTTCATATGATTGTTGGCCATATGTATGTCCTTTTTAGAAAAGTGTCTATTCCTGTCCTTTTCCTACTTTTTAATGGGGTTATTTGATTCTTTCCTGCAAATTTGTTTAAGTTCCCTATTGATGCTTTAGTATTTAAAAATCCCTAAGTTATAGCATGTTTACTGTAGGGAGCAAACGTCTTTTACTTTAGTGCATTGGCGTTTACTCTGTGGGGTCAATGTTATCCTTTTTGAGGAGAGAGAGGATCAAGAAAAATAACTAATGGGTACTCATCTTAGGAACTGGGTGATAAAGTAATCTATATAACACACCTCCATGACAAATGATTACCTATGTCATGAACCTGCACATTTACCCTTGAACTTAAAATAACTTAAAAAAAAAAATATGTGGCCGGACGCGGTTGCTCACGCCTGTTATCCCAGCACTTTGTGAGGCAGAGGCGGGCGGATCACGAGGTCAGGAGATGGAGACAATCCTGGCTAACAGGGTGAAACCCTGTCTCTACTAAAAATACATAAAAAATTAGCCGAGGGCGGTGGGGGGCTCCTATAGTCCCAGCTACTTGGGAGTCTGAGACAGGAGAATGGCGTGAACCCGGAAGGTGAAGCTTGCAGTGAGCCGAGATGGTGCCACTGCACTGCAGCCTGGGTGACAGAGGGAGACTCCATCTCAAAAAACAAAACAACAGCAACAAAAAATGTGCCAAAGTGTTGCCTGATGTGCTACTTGTCATAACTGTTGAGTGAAGGTACTTTAATATTTTTCTATAGAGATGAAATGGATTGATTAAATGTTACAACCTCATAGTATAGAATTGCATCAGGGAATTAAAATAAATGAACTAGAATCCGTATGTATTAACATGAAAATAAATAGTGAAATGTCTTGTCAGGGAAAAAAGAATCCTTGAATGAAAAAAAAAAGTCTGTAAAAAGGTTGGAGACATTATGGTTTTGTTAATGGCATGTTTTAGCTTTAAGGGCATCCATTGACTATCTGCCATGAAAGATGAAACACTTTCTAGTGATGTCTTCCTCGCACCTACACTCTCTCCAGCTCACCAGTTTTGTTGGTTATATTGTCATTTTGAAAAAGCAAAATCTGTAACAGTTAAATCCAGTTTCCAAAATTCTTTCAATAATTTTATCTTAGAACTAAATTGGGATGGATATGTTTCACACCAGCACTCATGAGATCAAGCCTTCTGAATTTTAGAATAATTTTCCTATAATCTGTTTGAATGGATTTCAAGAGTAAGTAGTAGCTCTTCTTCAAGAAGAAACCCTGGTTGCTGTCACATGTCTTCATACTTCAAGGACAGTTGTGAAGAATATATTGTATCAAACTTTACAGCCATTGTTCCATTCTATTCTGACATAGAACTTCTAGGCCAACCTTCTTTTTCTCCATGTTCTTCTGGACTTCCTTTTCTTCCTTAATGCCCTCATCTTTATTTTTAACATTTTGTAATATCCTTAAGCCATGGTCTAATGAGAAATTTATTGTGTAGCCGTTTTTCTGAAAACCAACTTGGAACCACTAGAGTGAAGTCCTGATTTATTCTTAAAAATGCCACTTCTGTGACATCTTTAATTTTTTCTTCTCTTCTCATCTTCATGATGTCCAACAGTCATCTGGAAAAAAGTTCAACATCACTGATTATTAGAGAAATGCAAATCAAAACCACCATAAGATACAATGTGACACTAGTCAGAATAGCCATTATTAAATGTCAAAAAATAACAAGGTTACTGGCAAGGTTGCAGAGAAAAAGGAACACTTACACACGTTAGGAGTGTAAATTAATTCAGCCATGTGGAAATCAATATGGTGATTCCTGAAAGAGCTAAAAACAGAACTACTATTTGACCGAGAAATCCAATTACTGGGTATATACTCAAATAAATATAAATCCTACTATAAAGATACATGTATCTGCATGTTCATTGCAGCACTATTCACAAGGGCAAATGCATGGAATCCACCTAAATGCCTATCAATGTGGACTGGATAAAGAAAACATGGTACACCATGGAATACTTTGCAGCCATAAATAGGAAAGAGATCATGGCCTTTGCAGGAACAAGAATGGAGGAGGAAGCCATTATCTAGTAAACTAATGCAGCAATAGAAAGTTGCATGTTCTCACTTGTAAGTGGTGGCTAAATGATAAAAACATGGAATATATAAAGGGGAACTGTTGGGATTCCCTCAGGATAGTGGCAGAAATATTAAAAGGAAATACTAGGGAAAGTTATACGGAATAGTCACAAACCTTTTTGAAAGGCCGAAAGATTACATAGCTTGTAATAATTGAACAGGCTGAAGGTGGCCAGTTCTTACCTTAGAGCTTAGGTCATAAAATAAATACTAGGGACAATAGAGGCTTCCTCAATTAAGTCTGTTTACCCTGCCTCCATTAACTAAGCTTTGAGCCACATGGCCCTCTTGCAGGGAGGTCCACCAGGGACATCGCCCCTTAATGGTATTTACTTTAGACCATGGAACCAGAGCTTTAATCATTCCTAGAACTACTCTCTTAACTGTGTTAATTATCTACAAATGTGTTTATTCAAAGCTTCTGTTGTTAATTCTATACTAAATAAATTCCTGGAGTGCAAGCTGCTCAGGGCCACAGCTGCCATTATTTACAGAACTGTCCTTGGAGTGTGTGAGTGGCCTCGGATCCTCAGCTGGACTGGCAATGCAGAATATCTGTGTGTCAGTGTACTTTATTCATCCATTGCAGGGTCAGAGGTCTGTGAAGCACAGACTCCCCACAGCTAGTGCCCTACAGCAAAAGGAGAGCTGCCTCAGGCAACAACACTTTGGGGCATGTTGGAGGGTACAGGGTGGGGGGAGGGAGAGAATGAGGAAAAAAAAAAACTAATGGGTACTAGGCTTAGTAGCTGGGTGATGAAATAATCTGTACAACAAACCCCATGACAAAAGTTTCCCGATATGAGGCACCCTCACATCTACCCCGAGACTAAAATAAAATTTTTTAAAAAGGGAATGTCAATTATGCAAACATTGAATCCTGCTTGTCTTTCATTGCTATCTAATCCAATGTAAAACATGCTTATCTTTCCTTGTGTCACTTGGAGTGATTTCCTAAAACCTATCCACTGTGTTTCTGGCAGTATTTCAGTCTTTAAAATTGTATTTTATTGTAGTCCAAATAACCATTGTCAACCTTTTTCTTCTTGTTTTTTCTGTCTTATGAGCTCTCCCAACTTAATTTAAATCAAGTGATCTGTGATTTCTGCTGTTTTGTAATTTTTTTTTTTTTTTTTTTTTTTTTTTTTTGCTTAAAGGCATGTACTTATTTCAACTCATGTTGAAAGCACAATCATGTGTTGAAAATGTGTTGTAGAATATGAAGAATGATACTGGAAGAGTTTTCTGAAATCAATATTTGCTTATGTGAACATTATTTTTCTCTCTCTTTTTGTTGTTTGTTTGTTTGCTTTTTGTTTTGTTTTGGTTTTGTTTTTTTTTGGCATGTTTCTCTTTCCACACTCCCCACCTGCCTTCCTTGCAGTTTTTAAGCTAGAGTTTTCTGGTGGGTATTTTGACTTTTACTTCTCTTAGAACAGACCACTGGCAATCCACAAAGACTAAAATTGAAGGGATCTGTTCTATAGCTGTCATTTTAGTTTGCTACTTTAAACTCCTTCTTGTCAAATCCGTTATTGTTTGTCCTGGGTTCCTTTTTCTTGGATTGGATAGTTTAGATAGTTGGTATAGATGATTGCAAAATCCCTATATCAGTACGTTGCTGATAAAGACATACCCGAGACTAGGTAATTTGTAAAGAAAAAGATGATAAATGGACTTACAGTTCTACATTGTTTGGGAGGCCTCACAATCATGGCAGAAGGTGAAAGACATTTTACATTGCTGTGGCAAGTGAGACTGAGAGCCAAGTGAAAGGGGTTTCACCTTAAAAAGCCAAAAGATCTCATGAGACTTATTCACTTCCATGAAATCATTGTGGGGAAAACCATCCTCACGATTCAATTATTTCCCACCAGGTCCCTCCCACAACCCATGGGAATTATGGGAGCTGCAAGTCAGGATGAGATTTGGGTAGGGACACAACCAAACCATATCATCCATTAACCCATTGTTTCTCTGTGGTTGTATTTATAATTTTGTGATGACTTCCTCTCAAACTTAACTTGCTTCACCTCAGGCAGTCTTGTAGAATTGGACATGTAAGTCTTACGAAAATAATAGGGGTGACAGGTTTTTTTTATATATTATTATTATTATTATTATTATTATTATTATTATTATCATTATTTTGAGAGAGAGTCTCACTCTGTGGTCCAGGCTGGAGTGTAGTGGTGTCATCTGGGCTCACTGCAACCTCCACCTCCCAGGTTCAAGTGATTTTCCTGCCTCAGCCTACCAAGTAGCTGGGACTACAGGTGCCCGCCACCATACCTGGCTAATTTTTTGTATCTTTAGTAGATATAGGGTTCCACCATATTAGCCAGGATGGTCTCAATTTCCAGACCTGGTGATCCACCCACCTTGGCCTCTCAAAGTGCTGGAATTATAGGCATGTGCTAGCACACCTGGCCTGGGGGTGACAGTTTTTTTTTAAAAACTCAGATGTTTTATCAAAAAGCTTATCCACCAAGATCAAGTGGGCTTCATCCCTGGGATGCAAGGCTGGTTAAATATACACAAATCAATAAATCCAGCATATAAACAGAACCAAAGACAAAAACCACATGATTATCTCAATAGATGCAGAAAAGGCCTTTGACAAAATTCAACAACCCTTCATGCTAAAAACTCTCAATAAATTAGGCATTGATGGGATGTATCTCAAAATAATAAGAGCTATCTATGGCAAACCCACAGCCAATATCATACTGAATAGGCAAAAACTGGAAGCATTCCTTTTGAAAACTGGCACAAGACAGGGATGCCCTCTCTTACCACTCCTATTCAACATAGTGTTGGAAGTCCTGGCCAGGTCAATTAGGAAGAAGAAGGAAATAAAGGGTATTCAATTAGAAAAAGAGGAAGCCAAATTGTCCCTGTTTGTAGATAACATGATTGTATATCTCAAAAACCCCATTGTCTCAGCCCAAAATCTGCTTAAGCTGATAAACAACTTCAGCAAAGTCTCAGGATACAAAATCAATGTACAAAAATCACAAGCATTCTTATACACCAATAACAGACAAACAGAGAGCCAAATCATGACTGAACTCCCATTCACATTTGCTTCAAAGGGAATAAAATACCTAGAAATCCAACTTACAAAGGACATGAAGGATCTCTTCAAGGAGAACTACAAACCACTGCTCAGTGAAATAAAAAAAGGATACAAAGAAATGGAAGAACATTCCATGCTCATGGGTAGGAAGAATCAATATCGTGAAAATGGCCATACTACCCAACGTAATTTATAGATTCAATGCCATCCCCGTCAAGCTACCAATGACTTTCTTCACAGAATTGGAAAAAACTTTAAAGTTCATATGGAACTGAAAAGGAGTCCGCATCACCAAGTCAATCCTAAGCCAAAAGAACAAAGCTGGAGGCATCACACTACATGACTTCAAACTATACTACAAGGCTATAGTAACCAAAACAGCATGGTACTGGTATAAAAACAGAGATATAGATCAATGGAACAGAATAGAGCCATCAGAAATAATGCTGTGTATCTACAACTATCTGATCTTTGACAAACCTGAGAAAAACAAGCAGTGGGGAAAAGATTACCTATTTAATAAATGGTGCTGGGAAAACTGGCTGGCCATATGTAGAAAGCTGAAACTGGATCCCTTCCTTACACCTTATACAAAAATCAATTCAAGATGGATTAAAGACTCAAACATTAGACCTAAAACCATAAAAACCCTAGAAGAAAACCTAGGCATTACCCTTCAGTACATAGGCATGGGCAAGGACTTCATGTCTAAAACAACAAAAACAATGGCAACAAAAGCCAAAATTGACAAATGGGATCTAATTAAACTAAAGAGCTTCTGCACAGTAAAAGAAACTACCATCAGAGTGAACACACAACCTACAAAATGGGAGAAAATTTTTGCAACCTACTCATCTGACAAAGGGCTAGTATCCAGAATCTACAATGAACTCAAACAAATTTACAAGAAAAAAACAAACAACCCCATCAAAAAGTGGGCGAAGGACATGAACAGACACTTCTCAAAAGAAGACATTTATGCAGCAAAAAAATTCATGAGAAAATGCTCACCATCACTGGCCATCAGAGAAATGCAAATCAAAACCACAATGAGATACCATCTCACACCAGTTAGAATGGCAATCATTAAAAACTCAGGAAACAACAGGTGCTGGAGAGGATGTGGAGAAATAGGAACACTTTTACACTGTTGGTGGGACTGTAAACTAGTTCAACCATTGTGGAAGTCAGTGTGGCTATTCCTCAGGGATCTAGAACTGGAAATACCATTTGACCCAGCCATCCCATTACTGGGTATATACACAAAGGACTATAAATCATGCTGCTGTAAAGACACATGCACACGTATGTTTATTGCGGCACTATTCACAATAGCAAAGACTTGGAACCAACCCAAATGTCCAACAATGATAGACTGGATTAAGAAAATGTGGCACATGTACACCATGGAATACTATGCAGCCATAAAAAATGATGAGTTCATGTCTTTGTAGGGACATGGATGAAACTGGAAATCATCATTCTCAGTAAACTATCGCAAGAACAAAAAAACAAACACCGCATCTTCTCACTCGTAGGTGGGAATTGAACAATGAGAACACCTGGGCACAGGAAGGGGAACATCACACACCGGGGACTATTGTGGGGTGGGGGGAGGGGGGAGGGATAGCATTAGGAGATACACCTAATGTTAAATGATGAGTTAATGGGTGCAGCACACCAGCATGGCACTAGTATACATATGTAACTAACCTGCACATTGTGCACATGTACCCTAAAACTTAAAGTATAATAATAAAAAAAAAAGTGACATGAACACACACACACACACACACACACACAAATAAAATAAAGGGTCAGCCAAGGACTGGAAAAAAAATTGAGATGTTTTTTCTCGTTTTTGTTCTCACCGATATGATTTTATTCGGAACTTCCCATAAGCACCTCTCTAGAAAGATGAGGCAGAGGGGAGTTTACAGTCAGCTTTCAACATTCAAAACAGGATTCTGAAGCAAGCGATATCATCTTGATACACAGGATTTGTTGAGAAAAGGGATTTACACTCATCCATTTGTATTTATATTTAATTACTGGGTATTACTCTCAAATCTCAAACACTTTTTTTCTGAGAACTATTTATTCTGATGGAACACAGGCTATCATTATCTACCCTTTCTTGAGTAGACTTCACAATTAGCCAGAAAGTGTCTTGGTAAGTGGCCTGAACTTGTCATCATTTCTTGCTTTCATTGAAGATGAAGTTTTCTTCCACTTATTTGATTGAGAAAGAGATTGAAGTTAAAAATGGCTTTACAACATTTAACAGAAATACTGGATAGTTTTAATTTAAGTTATCCATCTTAGAAGAAATTTCTGTAAAAGCTTGACTTTTTGCATGTAGGGATCATCTTAAAGTCTTTCAATCATTTATTCAAGGAATATTCTCAAGTTCCAGCTCTAAGACTGTGATTAAGCTAAGTCCTGAATATGTATCAATGAATAAATGAACATAGCCACCCACATGTTAGAAAGAGAATAATCCCTAAGATAAACAAAAATAGAGCAAAGAATATGGGTCTATGTGCTAAGTAGGAGAGGATGGTGTCTGGGGAGGGGTTGCTGTGGAAGATTTGTGAACAAGATGTCTTTTCAGTAAATTTATTCAATCTTACTTTGAATGGCATTTCCCACTCATAATGTCCCTATTTCTAGCAGAATTAGATTTGTAAGCAAATTTCCCATTGTAGGCATAAAATGTATTTCTTCATTTGAACCAGGATTGAGTTCTTCTTGAAACAGAATAAGCCAATCTCTATTTGAAGAGTGAACACCAGCTTCATTCAGTGCCCTTCTCTCTTCTCTCCATTTCAGACTAATTTTCAAGTTACTGTCCTCTCTCGTTTTAGATCTGATGTATGTCACTACTTTGGAATTATTTCTTTACATAGTTGGTTCTACTGAATGGAATTCCTGATTTATGGGCAATTCTTTATAATGGGCATTATATCATTTTATTGAAGCCCTGGTGTTCAGTTTGGGAGAAGGAGCGAGTCACCTTCCAGACATTTTTTTCCCCAATTTAAGGTCTTAGAAATTGACATGATTAGTCAAAAATAAGTAATTAAAATTGAGTTGAGTTACTTAATAATCATGTAAGCACCAATGTTTTCTGTTAGAAAATTAAGTAATTAAGGTGACTATTGATTATTATGGATGATAATATAAATTCATATTTCCAAAAGGATGAGCTCTCATTTTTTCATCTATATGTTTAATCACTTAAACTGAATCTTGTCTACTGATAAATGATGCTTAGATAGTACATAATAAACATATTGCATTGTTGGGCAAATTGAATAAATGTTGAGTTTGAATTATTAAATTGAAAGAAAGCATACTAACTAAAGAAAATGACCACTCTCTCAATTCCTCAGGCATCTCTAAGAATACGGAGAAAATAAAATAGGGTGTGGTTATTAGGGCCGAATTATTATTGGACCGGGCATAGATTCAGGAAAAGAAAACTGTGCAATTTAAAGCTATCATAACTCCACAATTTGAAATTTACCCTAAAGAAATCATCAGATTTACCAAAAGATTTATGACTGAAAATGTTTATTACAATTTTATTGCATGGTTCTCCAGGCTGTATAGAAAGCATGGTGCTGAGATCTGCTCAACTTCTGGGTAGACTTCATGAAACTTACAATCGTGGCAGAAGATGCAGGGGAAGCAGCCCCATATTACATGACTAGAGCATAAGAGAAGAGCCAGGGAGATGCCACACATTTTTAAACAACCAGATCTCACAATAATTCACCATCACAAGGACAGTACCAATGGGAAAATCCACTCCCATGATCCAATTGCTTTCCACCAGGTCACAACTCCAACATTGGACTTTACAGTTCAACATGAGATTTGGATGGCAACACAGATCCAAACCATATCAGAGGCTGAGAGAGATGAAAAGCTTTCTGTTATTTTGAGCAGATGAGTAAAATAACTTGATAGATATACTTCCCTAGGATCACAGCTAAAGTCCTCTGTTGCACCTGTAGTGCCTTCAGAACAAAGTTCACACTTTTTTTTTTTTTTTTTTGAGGTCTCCTCTCTCACCAGGCTGGAGTGCAGTGACATGATCTCGGCTGACTGTGACATCTGCCTCCTAGGTTTAAGCAATCATCCTGACTCAGTCTCCCAAGTAGCAGGGACAATAAGTGCAGGCCACCATGCCGGATTCCATTCTTCTTAATATAGTTACCTGATACATTCATCTGTCAGAGCCACCCAGTATATGTTCCAGCCTTTTTCGTACTATTCCTAATAACCTAAGTGCACCATGTAGTTTACTTCACCGTGTCTCTGTGCATCCTGTTTTGTCTGACTCAAAAGTCATTTCTTCCACTCTTTAAATAGTCAACTCTGACCTGTGCATTTAAACAACCAATTTAGGGTTGCATTTCCTATCCTGGCACTACTTGGATTTTATGTTAGCATCTCTTGCTCCAGATTGGGCGCACCCAGAGGACCAAGACTCTTCTCAGAGGAGCTTGTGAGAATTGATGAATTTAAAGAAAAAAGATATAGAGAAGAAAGTCCATACACATTAGAAAAAAATGCCAAACAGAGTAAACAACGGGTAAAAGGGCAAATCATTACAAAATGACAAAAAGGGTGACTTCAGAGCAAAGCCCTTTCTTAGCATAGCAAGTAGGACAGACATTTATATTTGATAACATTATTCCACTCTCTTGCTATCCCACAGCCACCTGGTTCAAGATGCAGATATCATGAAATGGGGCTATATCATTTAGTAGGAAAGAAGACTGTGTAACATAAGATTACCAGGTTTCTCAGAGATGTTTTGCTGAACTATTTTTTTAAGGATGTGGAGGGAGCTTTGAATATTTTATTATATATCTTGTCTCTACTGGAAACAGTCCTTGTTCTCAGTTTACTGGGATGCACTATGCCTTCTCTTTGGAAAACAGTCTTAGATTCTAATACAAGAGAGCTTGGGACATTGCCAGAGGTGAAAGGCTGGGCTAAATTTCTGTATCCAAGGCTCTAGGCCTAAATGAGAAGCTGTCTCCTGTGCTGCACAGTCTAGTTCAACAGAAATGAAGACTGTAATTAGGGAGCATTGGAGGAATAAGCCAGTGTATTGGGCAGGGCCTTATATTATGGTGCACTGTTTTTTTTTAGTATGATTCACAGGCAATTCCTATACACAGGCTCCCACTTACAGATTATGGAGATCAGTTAACACATATATCCAGAGATGATCCAACAAGATGATGGAGTATTCTAGAAGGATCTTGGTGTACACACTGATTTTCTTCTATTAAGAAAACACTACAAAATAGGGCTGAATTAAAATGAGTTGTAACAGCAAGTGAAATCACCTTGAAAGATTGTCTAAAATGTTGCATGATTTATTTACAAAAAGACTTTTTTTTCAACTTTTATTTTAGATGCAGGGGGTACAAATTCAGGATCATTGCCTGGGTGTATCATGTGATGCTGAAGTTTGAGGTATGGTTGTTGCTGTCACCCAGGTACTGAACATAGTACCCGATAGTTAGTTTTTCAACCCTTGCCTCCGTTATCCCTATCTCTTCTAGTAACCCAAGTATCTATTGTTCCAATGTGTAGGTACATCTATTCTCAATGTTTAGCTCTCACTTAGAAATGAGAACATGTGGTATTTGGGTTTTCACTTATCTTAAGTGAATTAACACAGGAAGAAAAACCCAGGTATTTGGGTTCAAGAAATTCTCAGGTATTTATTTTTTTCATTCTGTGTAATTCACTTCGGATAGTAGTTTCCAGCTGCATCCATGTTGCTGCAAAAGACATGAGTTTATTATTTTTCACATCTGTGTATTATTCCTTGGGGTATATGCACATTTTCTTATCCAGTCCACTGTTGATGGGCACTTTGGTTCATTCCACTATTTTGCTATTGTAAATAGTGCTATGATAAGTATAGAAGTTTAGGTGTATTTTGGTACAAGAATTTATGTCTCTATGTAAAAATTTTTTATTTAGTGAACTTATTTTTTAAAGAAGTTTTAGTTTCGCAGTAAATTCAGGTGAAAGTACAGGCAATTCACATGTAGCCTCTGTCTCCAACAACAAAACATCTCTTTGAGAGCATACAACCTCCACCACACCCTTCTAACATGTAAGCAGTCATGATTTTCAGTTATTATTTTGGATTAACTATGCCACTGTCATTTTCTGGGAGCCTCCTTTCCTTGTTTGGCTCAATATTTTTATTATATTTTATTTGTAAAAGCAATTTTAGGGTCACAGCAAAATTAAGCAAAAGGTACAGAATTTCCATGTGCCTCTGACCCCACACATGCACAGCCTCCCCCACTCTCAACGTGGCATTTCACAGTGGTGCATTTGTGAAAACTGATGAACTTACACATCGTTGTCCCTGAAGTCCATAATTCACATTACGGTTCACTCTTGGTGATGTTCATTCTAGAGGTTTGAACAAATGTATAATGACATGCATCCATCATTATATTAGGTGGGTGCAAAAGTAATTATGGGTTTTGTTAATACTTTGGTACAATAATTTTGCACCAACCTAATAGGATCACACAGTATAGTTTCCTTGCCTTAAAAATCCTCTATGCTCCACCTATTAAATCATCACTTATTATCTGAATTTTTACTCTAGCCATCCTTGTGGGTGTGAAGAGGTATCTCTTTGTAGATGGCAGATTATTTAGAGGCTAACACTTGGTTGTGTGTCCAACCAATTGGACAAGGCTGAGTATTCATGAGGACGATGAAATGAATCCATTTAGCTGCACAGTGAGAAGAGGGTATGTGCAAACAGACAAGAAAACAAGATGCACCCAAACATTACAAACCACATTTCAAACTCTTCTCTTTGGACAACTATCTCATAATGCATCCTTGTCTTAGGTTGCCTGACTGGAAGACAGCATGGATGATCCCTTGTAAATTTATTGACATTGTTGTGATTCCAAATTCATAGCCCGCAATGTTAGGTGAAAAGCAGCAGTTCTATCCAGGATAGCAAGAACATTGTGTTACAAAGTGATTCAGACTGAGAATGAGAACAATTTTGGAAGTATCCATGAAATTCAGCATTCCAAATTAGTTTGGGATATAGATCACCACCATGAAATATGTGCCTTTATCAAAGATGTTAAGATTCTACTATAATTTAGCATAACCTTCTCTTATTTTTTCTCAGGGCTTTCATATGATGAATATCTCCACTCCCCTAACACAGCTACCATCAAGAGACAAAATTGAGTTCCAGATATTTATAATTTTCCTCATCCTTTCCCCGGAATAATTGTGTAAGGGAATGATATAGTGGAACTAAGACTTTAAACATAATTAACGACTATGATTTGGGCTGTGAATATTGAAGATATTATTGATGATGATGATGATGATGATGATGATGATGATTATGACCATAAAAATAGAGTTTGTCAGAGCATTGAGTACTTCCCAGCTATCTTCAATACTTTGTCATCACAGTTTTTCCTTTGTAGGCAGCATTCACATTGGATAATTTTATTAGCACCTGACTCACCAGGACAACCACTGTCTCTTGCCTACCCACTATCTGTATCTCCTTTTTTAATAAATAGACCTAAAGCTCACTCAGAACACTGCAATGAGACTGTTTAAACCCATTAATGCCCCTGGGTTCCCTTGCTGCTTTGCATGGCTGGGACTGCAAACTCTTTGATATAAAAAGACAAAGATTTACTTGGAAGACCTTCACTCCTTTGCTCTTCTTTTTTTTCAAGACTAGGGATTTTGAAGCATGGAGTTGTCACGCTATCTTGTAATCACAAGGCTATATAAGACATGAAGCTCAAGCCTGGAGCCTAGGGATATGGTGGCTTCATCCTTAGGAAAGAGGAGATGAGTCTATATACCTCAGAGTATCATTGAGCCATCACACCAACTCACTGCTCCGTGCTAAAGCTGGAGTAATGTTGCTTTTCTGTTACCTGAATCTGAATGCAATTTTGTCTGATACATCCTGCCAGCTGCAGGAATTTGCGGACTGTTTTACAACTCAGGACATTGAAATAGCTGACATTTTTCTTTGTGATATTCAGAAATCATTGAACATTTTGAAGAGATGCATAATGAAAATGGAATTGCCCAGTCACTCCAGACTTCTAACATTAGGTGCCAGGTAGGTGGCAGACTCCCTATGCAGCTAGGGGAACAGGGAATGGTGAAACATAGATGAAAATTAAGGACTCACATTTGGACATAATGAGTTGTGAGACACACACTTGCAGAAATCAAGGAGGAAGTGGGAGCTCAGAAAATGGATCTGAGAAGGAGAAGTCAATGCATATATAATCAGCAAGATGATAAGGTTCAGTTGAGATTATCCATGGAGACTCTGTGAAGAGAGCTGAGAGTACCCACCACACACCCTCAGGAAGTCCAGCACTTAGAAACTGATTAGAGGAGGACCCTGTAGAAAGGAGGATGAGGGGAACACTGAGAAGTAGAAGGAAAACTAGAAGAAGTTACCAAGGCCAAGAGAGAAGCATTCTAGGAAGAGATCCCCTTTAGCTCCCATCAAATGAGGCTTAAATGGATGTAATAGAAGACGCAGCATAGTATCTATTGAATTTGCCAAGATGGAATTTGTAACATGATACAAATGTCTCTGAGGATGATGCTAAGTAGAAAACAGTTTCAAACATGGCATGATTATTTAAATAGAATATATATATATATATATATATATATATATATATATATTTATGTTTCTAGACTCTGAGACTAGTATACACCTTCTCTTGGATATATTGGTTTCCAAATGCTGACAGTTAGGTGGTGAGATCTGGGGTGATTCATACCTTCTTTTTAATATATGCTATACTTTTTTGTTCTTTTTATACATTTTCAATCATTTCTTGATTAATTATATGAAGTGACAAAAATAGCTAGATAATGTGGAGTCCATTCATGTCTTCATTTCAAGTAATCCTGTTTTATTGACAGACAATACCCAAAATTTGGGAAATGATCCATTAACTAATGTATTTAACTCAGTCATATAATTTATTCTTTTTTTTATTAGAGTCATGATCTCACTAATATTGCTGATATGGTTTGGCTGTGTCCCCACCCAAATGTCATCTTGAATTGTAGCTCCCATAATCTCCACCTGTTACGGGGGGTACCCAGTGGGAGGTAATCAAATCATGTGGGCAGATCTTTCCCATACTGTTCTTGTGGTAGTGAATAAGTCTTATGAGATCTGATGGTTTTATAAATGTCAGTTCCCTGACACAGGCTGTCTTGCCTGCTCCCATATAAGATGTGTCTTACTCCTTCTTTGCCTTCCACCATGATTGTGGAGCCTCTAAAGCTATGTGGAACTGTGAATACATTAGCCCTCTTTTCCTTGGTAAATTACCCTGTCTCTGGTATTTCTTTATAGCAGTATGAAAATGAACTAACAGATTTGCTCAGACTTGTCTCAAACTCCAGAGTTCAAGCAATCCTCCCAATTCTACCTCCCAAAGTGCTGAATTACAGGCATGAGCCATCATGCTCAGCCAGTCACAGAATTTTTGCAATAATGGGTCTTCTGTTTTTGTCTTGTCCTGACATTTCTAGATTATTGCCTAGAGAGAAATTACTTCATTTTGAACCAGGTGTGCTATAATAAATAATGCTATCTAAAAAAAATGGATAACTTTAAACTCCTTTGGATTCATAGATTGTTATAATTCCAACAGTATCACATTCTTTTCCATCTCAAAAACCTGCCTCATAACAAATGCTCCTTTTGCAGGAATATTAACACAGTATTTTTTTTCATCAAAGAATAACACAAAACAAGAAGGACAGACATGCATGTATGCTTTGGTATCCCAGATGAAAATATATATATGGTGTATAGGAGATAATCACAGCATCAAATTGAGAAAATTATGCATCTTTAGTGACTTCACGATTTTAAGATCATAGAGACACATCTGTGGTCAATGAGGCAAAATTGACAGCTGCCTGTTCTTGTGAATAAAGTTTTGTTGAAACACTGCCAGGTTCATTCATTTACATATTGTCTGTGTCTGCTTTTTCATGATAAAGACAGAGATGAGTGGTTGTAACAGAAACTATGTTGTCTGCAAAGCCTACAATACTTCCTACTTGGTCCTTTACAGGAAATAGTTGCAGAACTCTGATTTAGAGTATCTACTATGTGCAAATAACATAGGAAAAAGAAATCTTTTCGTGTGTTTAAAACTCAGGGCAGTAACAAAATTATCAAAAATACTAGAAAAGGTTTCCAGAAGATAGAGAGATAATTTCCAGCAGGGTGACTTCAGAGATTAACAGGAGAAGAATGTAAATGAGGCTTCTTTCTTAAAGCAAAGTTGTGAAGCAAACATAACCGGAGAACTTGGCCCTTTTCTATTGAGCCAGTGTTTCCTGAAGGAGGTGTTCCATTTTCTTGATGAGAGCTCCTGAGGGCATGCTCATCTATGACTAATCAAATGCACATCAGTCCACTCAAGGTTCTAAGAAGGTCTGCAGAAATAAATGCAGAAATTCTCAAATGCATAAGAAGTCATGAAATAGAGGCTGGGGTATGATCTCGTAACTATGCAGAATGAAGCAATATTTTGGGAATAGGAGTGCAATATTCTGGGAGAGTTGGAACTTGAGAGAAATTCTATGTAGCCAGGAAATGAAGTTCTAGATGGATGGTTGAATGTTGGCAAAAAAAGCAGACCTCAGAAACTATTACATCCAGCTGGCTAAATGACCCACTTAAAAAATCAATTATATGGCCAGGCATGGTGGCTCAGGCCTCTAATCCCAGCACTTTTGGGAGGCTGAGGAGGGTGGATCATGAGGTCAGGAGATCGAGACCATCCTGGCTAACATGGTGAAACCCTGTCTCTACTAAAAATACAAAAAAAATTAGATGGTTGTGGTGGCGGGTACATGTAGTCCCAGCTACTCGGGAGGCTGAAGTAGGAGAATGAAAAAAAAATACAAAAAACAAAAAATCAATAGTATTCACTTCTTAAAATCTGTGCAACAATGTTGAAATACTTGCATTGAAGGAACATATAACAGTAGTTTCTATAGCTGACAGGAAGTCAAATTAGAAAAACTTGACCATGCCTTACACAAATTTCCCTGTCTCTCTTCTCTCTAGTTACTACCCTGCCTTAAATTCTACCAAAATAATTTGAAGCTGTGAGTTGTTTTTGCATACACATTTTTTTTTTTTTTTTGGATCTTGGATCACTGCAATCTCCACTTCCTGAGTTCAATCAATTCTCCTGCCTCAGCCTCCTAAGTAGTTGAGATTACAGGTGAATGCCACCATGCCTGGCTAATTTTTGTAGTTTTAGTAGAGATGGGGGTTTCACCATGTTGGTCAGGCTGTTCTTGAACTCCTGACTTTGTGATCTGCTAGCTTCATCCTCCCAAAGTTCTGGGATTACAGGCATGAACCACCACGCATGGCCTGCATAGGTCTTAAACA